>NC_000007.14:88264354-88567385 GCF_000001405.40 Homo sapiens
AAAGACTAAGCCTTCACATCCAGCCCATTTTTATTCTAACTGTTACTCCTGGTCTGGTGCTGTGGCTCATGCCTGTAATCCAAGCACTTTGGGAGGCCGAGGTAGGTGGATCAGTTGAGCTCAGGAGTTTGAGACCAGCCTGGCCAGCATGGCTAAACCCCATCTCTACAAAATACACAAAAATTAGCTGGGCATGGTGGTGCACACCTGTAATCCCAGCTACTCAGGAGGCTGAGGCAGGAGAATCGCTTGAGCCCGGGAGGTGGAGGTTGCAGTGAGCCAAGATTGTGCCACTGCACTCCAGCCTGGGCAACAGGGAGAGACCCTGTCTCAAAAAAAAAAAAAAAAAAAATTGTAATAATACTCTTAATCTTCTCGTTTTTTATTGTCTGTTGATTTCCTATGAGAATCAACGCTTAAAATAGCTACCTACTGCTTTCTCTTTTTCCCCTACCATTCAATTTTATTAAGTAGTTTCGTTACAGGAAAGGGGTCCCTATTCAGACCCCAAGAGAGAGTTCTTGGATCTCACGCAAGAAAGAATTCAGGGCAAGTTTATTAGGAAAGTAAAGGAATAAAAGAATGGCTACTCCACAGTCAGAGTAGCCCTGGAGGGTTGCTGGTTGCCCTTTTTAGTGGTTATTTCTTGATGATATGCTAAACAAGGGGTGGGTTATTCATGCTTCCCCTTTTTAGACCGTATAGGGTAACTTCCTGATGTTGCCACGGGATTAGTAAACTGTCATGGAGCTGGTGGGAGTGCAGCAGTGAGGACAACCAGAAGTCACTCTTGTGGCCATCTTGGTTTTGGTGGGTTTTAGCTGGCTTCTTTACTGCCTGTTTATCAGCAAGGTCTTCATGACCTGTATCTTGTGCCAACCTCCTATCTCATCCTGTGACTTAGAATGCCTTAACCGTCTGGGAATGCAGCCCACATGTCTTAGCCTTATTTTATCCAGCCCCTAATCAAGATGAAGTTGCTCTGGTTCAAACAATCTGACAGTTTTGCCTTCATTTTAATCTTTATACTCTTAAGTATACTCAAAATGCTATTTGGTTTATCAGCTTCAAATGATATCCTTAGCTTACATTTTTTTTCATCAAGTATCTTTTTTTTTTTCATTTATTTATTTATTTATTTTTTTATTGATCATTTTTGGGTGTTTCTCGCAGAGGGGGATTTGGCAGGGTCACAGGACAATAGTGGAGGGAAGGTCAGCAGATAAACAAGTGAACAAAGGTCTCTGGTTTTCCTAGGCAGAGGACCCTGCGGCCTTCCGCAGTGTTTGTGTCCCTGGGTACTTGAGATTAGGGAGTGGTGATGACTCTTAATGAGCATGCTGCCTTCAAGCGTCTGTTTAACAAAGCACATCTTGCACCCCCCTTAATCCATTTAACCCTGAGTGGACACAGCACATGTTTCAGAGAGCACAGGGTTGGGGGTAAGGTCACAGATCAACAGGATCCCAAGGCAGAAGAATTTTTCTTAGTACAGAACAAATTGAAAAGTCTCCCATGTCTACCTCTTTCTACACAGACACGGCAACCATCCGATTTCTCAATCTTTTCCCCACCTTTCCCCCATTTCTATTCCACAAAACCGCCATTGTCATCATGGCCCGTTCTCAATGAGCTGTTGGGTACACCTCCCAGACGGGGTGGTGGCCGGGCAGAGGGTCTCCTCACTTCCCAGTAGGGGCAGCCGGGCAGAGGCGCCCCTCACCTCCCGGACGGGGTGGCTGGCCGGGCGGGGGGCTGACCCCCCCACCTCCCTCCCGGACGGGGCGGCTGGCCGGGCGGGGGGCTGACCCCCCCACTTCCCTCCCGGACGGGGCGGCTGGCCGGGCAGGGGGCTGACCCCCCCACCTCCCTCCCAGATGGGGCGGCTGGCCGGGCGGGGGGCTGACTCCCCCACCTCCCTCCCGGGCGGGGCGGCTGGCCGGGCGGGGGGCTGACCCCCCACCTCCCTCCCGGACGGGGCGGCTGGCCAGGCAGAGGGGCTCCTCACTTCCCAGTAGGGGCGGCCGGGCAGAGGCGCCCCTCACCTCCCGGATGGGGCGGCTGGCCGGGCGGGGGGCTGACCACCCCCACCTCCCTCCAGGACGGGGCGGCTGGCCAGGCAGAGGGGCTCCTCACTTCCCAGTAGGGGCGGCCGGGCAGAGGCACCCCTCACCTCCCGGAGGGGGCGGCTGGCCGGGCGGGGGGCTGATCCCCCCACCTCCCTCCCGGATGGGGCGGCTGGCCGGGCGGGGGGCTGACCCCCCCATCTCCCTCCCGGACGGGGTGGCTGCCGGGCGGAGACGCTCCTCACTTCCCAGACGGGGTGGCTGCCGGGCAGAGACGCTCCTCACATCCCAGACGGGGCGACAGGGCAGAGGCGCTCCCCACATGTCAGACGATGGGCGGCCGGGCAGAGACGCTCCTCACTTCCTAGATGGGATGGCGGCCGGGAAGAGGCGCTCCTCACTTCCTAGATGGGATGGCGGCCGGGAAGAGGCGCTCCTCACTTTCTAGATGGGATGGCGGCTGGGCAGAGACGCTCCTCACTTTCCAAACTGGGCAGCCAGGCAGAGGGGCTCCTCACATCCCAGACGATGGGCGGCCAGGCAGAGACGCTCCTCACTTCCCAGACGGGGTGGCGGCCGGGCAGAGGCTGCAATCTCGGCACTTTGGGAGGCCAAGGCAGGCTGCTGGGAGGTGGATGTTGTAGCGAGCCGAGATCACGCCACTGCACTCCAGCCTGGGCACCATTGAGCACTGAGTGAAGGAGACTCCGTCTGCAATCCCGGCACCTCGGGAGGCCGAGGCTGGCGGATCACTCGCTGTTAGGAGCTGGAGACCAGCCCGGCCAACACACCGAAACCCCGTCTCCACCCAAAAAATACGAAAACCAGTCAGGCGTGGCGGCGCGCGCCTGCAATCGCAGGCACTCGGCAGGTTGAGGCAGGAGAATCAGGCAGGGAGGTTGCAGTGAGCCGAGATGGCAGCAGTACAGTCCAGCTTCGGCTCGGCATCAGAGGGAGACCGTGGAAAGAGGGGAGAGGGGAGAGGGGAGAGGGGAGAGGGGAGAGGGGACTTCATCAAGTATCTTAAAAGATATAGGTGGGAAGCTAATATCTGATATCTATTCTACTTTTCCTGTACCCTTTTTCTTCCCTTCTCCATTTTCCTTACTATTCTCCGTTTTCCATTACTTACTATTCTCCATTTTCCTTACTACTCTCCATTTTCCATTACTTACTATTCTCCATCTTCCGTTCTCCAGTTTCCTTACCATTCTCCATTTTCCATTACTTACTATTCTCCATCTTCCATTCTCCGTTTTCCTTACTATTCTCCATTTTCCATTACTTACTATTCTCCATCTTCCATTCTTCGTTACTTACTACTCTCCATCTTCCATTCTCCATTTTCCTTACTCTGCACTTGTGGCATCTATTTGTGTGTTTCCTTAAGTATAGTTCTTATTTCTTATTGTTTGCTCTTTGACCCTCCTAATTCTTTCTTGGCATTTGTTAATTCTTATTTTCTTTTCTTCTATAAACTTGTGGCACAACTCCTAGGTATAAGGAATGCTACAATTTTTTAATTTTGTAAGTCAGAATAACTTTTTGTGGAGCTACTGTGCACCTAGCCAATATCACATTCAATTTAAGTTAATTTTTGTGTCTTTTTTTCTCTCATCCTTCTCTCAAATCAGGGTGCAGAAATTGATTAGGGCTAGAAGGTGGGGGAGGGTTCTGGTCTGTGCCTGTGGTGGTTGACATCTTTATTCTGGCTCTTCTGGCCACATGATACTGCTGTTAAGAGTTGGGTCGATGTAGTCACTTTGCTTTGCATGGCCTTTGAAGTGTTTCTCAGAGAACTTTACTGTATTGACTGAAGATTCTTACTAAAAGCTTTGTGTCTTACTAAAGTAATGAGTCATCTCTCAGCATTTGGGATACTTCATTCTGCAATCCTCGTTCCTCTGCCTCAGATTCAGGGTGGTGGAGGGATTAAATCCATACCTTTTTCTCAGATTCAGCCATTTTCAACTTTTGCTCCCCAAGCATCTTTTCTTCACTATCTCTTTACCATGTTTAGCCCTTCTCTGAGACTAGCAGCTTCATAATGTTCAGTGAAACAGAAATGCATTTTTTTCTTTCGTATGTATTTTTAGACCTTAAGAATCACATATTTTCTTCTCTTTCATAGGTAGGGGATTGGAACTTGGAAAAAGAGATATGCTTCCCTAACACACTCTGTGATGTACATTTGTCACTTATTTATGCTTAACATCTTAGGACATAACAATTGGCGAAACTATCTGTTGAGGATTATATTTGAGTGAAAGGGTTAATAAATGTCATAATTATTATCTAATGTTATTAACAAAAGTTATTTATTTTGCTGCTTTTCTGCCTGTGATGCTTTGTCAGTTAGGTTCTCCAAGAAGCAGGTACCAAGATAGGATGGGAGATTTATTGGAAGAAATGACTTAAAGGATAAAGGAGGAGGGAGCCTTCATATTGCAATGCTGGTCTTACACGTGCAAAAGATGAAGGCAAGGGAAACATTGGATAGGAGGAGATCCAGATCATAGTGCAGATGTGAAAAGGTCTTGGCTGGCCCAGTGGGAACATCCAAGCAAATGCTGCCCATTAGAGGAAGCTCATATGAGGCAATGATCCATTAGAGGAAGCTCATATGAGGCAATGATCCATTAGAGGAAGCTCTTTTGAGGCAATGATGGCTTTGTTCTAGTATCTCTGTTATGCATGGTCATTGCCTGGGAGCAGCCCAAGGGCAATGTGGATCATGTGAATAACGTGGTGCTTATCAATAATGTGGGCCAGTTGAAAGTTGTTTATTTGTTATGTTTCCTTGCAGCAGGTTCTCTTGAAGGAACATCTGAGTAGGTCATCTTCCATGACTGCCACTGATGTCTACTTGGTATTTTTAGCCAGTTTTATAAAAACTATTTTTATTGTAAAATTATTTTATATTAAAGCAGTTTTAACAGTCTTCTTCATATGGGGAAGAATTCCAACAGAGATGAAATAATGGACAACTTTTTGTTGTTGAATATTCCTAAAATGTTTACTAAGACTTTAAATATTATTTTAATGAGAGAACGTTAAAGAAGGGGAAAATGTTGTGTATCATTCTTTAGAATTCCAATAATCACAGTCAGCCTAAATATACCACTAGATAATTCTGTTTCTTTAGTCTCTGTCATGTTTTTTAAAGGCAAAGTACTCATCACAGACTGAAAAGTCCAAAATTGTCACTGGATATACCTGTTTCGGATCAGCCCTTTTGACCCCCATTTTTTTTTGGATCTACAACCAGCTTGTTTTCAACTTAATCACCTGATTTCAAAAGGATCGGAAAAAACCCTAGCCTGAAAATCAGTCATCTGTGGTCCAATTCTGCTTTGTTGCAATGTAGCTATGTGACCTTGCAGAAATTACTTCACCCTCTTGGGTTCAGTTTCCACATCTGTGAAATGAATGTATACTATTAGATAATCTCTAGGCTTCATGTAGTCTAAAAAACACTATAGTTGGAGTTGGAGGTTATGGATAACGTTTCTGTATTTCCTATCAAAAACTAAAATAAAGACATGGAGGCCATGTTTAGGAAATATGTGTAGAGCATATCTTTTGGAAAAGGGAATTAATATTTAAAACAATTTTCTATGCTGAAGGATAGGTTAATTTATATGAGATAAACTTTAATAAGAATATGGTGAGTGCTTTTTTTTAAGTAAACCTTTTATTTTAGAACAATGTTAGGGTCATAGTATTTTAAAATAATTTTAGATTTATAGCATTATTGCAAAGACAGTGCAGATAGTGCAAGATATTTTTGCTTTGTACTTAGGTTTAAAAATATTAATGGTAATCAGTGTAGGGTGGATGGTTTGGTGGTGGAAGGGGGCAGAGATGGGGCTAGAGGGGCAGACTATGGAGAGACTGGAATTAATGCTTTATGTGAAAAGAAATTAGGCATATTATTTGATGTGATCCTGAAATTTTGCGACTATAAAAATTTACAGTGAACATGTACACTAAATTAATAGAGACTCACAAGTTAGAATAACAGAAGCAACAATCACGTTATACTCTAAACCTGCACCTCAACTGGAGTTATATTTTTGATGCCTACTTGCTATTTTTAGCCAGTTTTATAAAAACTATTTTTATTGAAAATTTATTTTATATTAAAGTATTTTAAGTCTTTTTCATATGGGGAAAAATGCCAATACAGATGAAATAATGGACAACTTTTTGTTGTTGAATATTCCTAAAATGTCTACTAGGAATTTAAATACTATTTTAATTACAGAATGTGAAAGAAGGGAAAAATATCATGTTTTTGGTTTAGGGAACTGTGTTTTAAAAGGAACATTGAAATGTTTGTAGATCTGAACAAGAGGCACCAGAAAGATGAAAGATTTAGAAATTTTTATACAAGAGAAAACAGTGAATGTGCTGGTGTTTAGCGTAAGATAAGATTTAGCAGGGATATGCAATCAATTACTTTAAAAAATTTTTTGTTTATAATTTTTTAATTAAAAATTTTTAATTGACACACGATAATTATACATATTTATGGGGTACATAGTGACATTGCAATACACAAAATATACAGTGATCAGATTAGGGTAATTAGTATATCCATCATCTTAAGCATTTATCATTTCTTTCTGTTGAGAACATTCAATATCCTCCTTCTAGCTATTTAGAATATATATTATTGTTAACTGTAGTCATCCTACAGAGCTATAGAACACTACAACTTAATCTTCCTATCTAGCTGTAATTTTGTATCTTTTAACAAATTTCTTCCTATCCCCCATTACCTTTTAAATTAAATTTATTTTAATAATTAGGTAACCTACTCATGTAATTTAAAAACCAAAATGATATGAAAAGGTCTACAGTGCTTCTACTCCTGTCACTACTCCTCTGTTCTCCCATCTTGTTTGGTATGGATCTTTTGAATCCTTCTGAGAGTTTCTTTAGGCAATTAAAAGCAAATACACATATGCAAAAGGAATCATACTATATATGTTATTTTGTACCTTTTTAAAAACTGAACAGTATATTTTGGACATCTTTCCATATATGTGAAAGAAGGTGTCTTGGTTTGTTTTAAACAGCTGCATAGAATTTCATTCTGTGAAAGCATCATAGTTTCCTTAACCAGTCCCAAAGATGAATGCTTGAATCACTGCCCATATTCTACTTTTACAATGTTATTCATGAAAAACAAGAAAAACAAATAGCAATGCTTCTTTTTCATCTCAAATGCTTGTAGGCATATCTATAGCATAAATTCTCAGGAGTGAGACTCCTGGATCAAAACTTAACTCTGCATTTTTTAATTTTGAAAGATATTCCCTAACTGCTCTCCACAGGAGCGGTCCTAATCTGCATATCCAAGAGCAATGTATGTGAACCTACGTTTCCACAGCCTCACCCACAGAATGTGTGCTCAAACATTTGGATTTTTGCCCATCTACTAGGTGAGAAATGGTATTGATACAGTTACAATTTTCATGCGTCTCATTATGAATGAAGTAGAATATATTTTCATATGTTGCAGAGCCTTGTTTCTCCTGTGAACTTTGTTCATACTCTTTGTATAGTTTCCAGCTGGTTGGTGTAGTAGTTGTAGTTGGCACTGCCAACTACGAGTTCCTCTTGGCGGCCACCTCTACAAGCTGAAAGCTGGTGGTATGAATGCTGGTACCTCTTTGCCTGTGGGCCTTTTTCCCCCTAGACATGGTGGCATACACAATAAGTGTGTAGGAAAAGCCAGAAGTGCCACAAAGTTAATGTCTTGGAAGCATCTGTATTCCAATGTTAAGCAAGGATTTGGTGGATGAAAAGCACAGTTTCCTTTCCCCTTGATGGGAATAACTCTTAGTTATATCTGACACTGTCTTCCAGACTTTCCCAGCAAAACTGAGCTCCAGTTGCCCAGATGGGTAACCAGCTTGAAAATTCATACTTTATTCCTTCCCTGCTCTGTCTACTTTACTACTCCATTCCCAGTATCTAATAATTTGATGATTTTTAACTTCCAGTATAAACTCTTTTACAAGAAGCCTTGCCTCAGGATCGGTTTTTAGAAGTGCCAAGCCAAGCCAGGTTGTTAGGCCTACGTTTGAGCACTGTGCAAAGTGTGGTCTGCCCGTGGTGCTGGCTTGTGAGCTGTTTTTTACCAGTCTGTGATAAATTCAGAAATTGGGGTGAAAAGTTTAGAAACTTTTATGGCAATTTGATGTTGCCATCACATTTAAGGGTGTGATTTTGTGTTTTACAGACATATGCATTGATTTGTAATGAACTGGAAAAAAATGAAACAAAAATTACTGGCCCCCATCTCTGATAGTTGGTGAGGCACTGCTTTAAATGATCACACTAAGAAAAATGGGTAGAAGTACAACTAGGGAAACTTTGGTTATCTACAGAGAGAACTCCCTGATAATTTCCTGGAGTGCCTAAAACAAAAGATTTCCTGTTGGTGATGGTCAATACTCCATCATGAGAAGAGTTAAGCCTGTAGAAGGCTAGCTATAACAGACTCTATAGAAAATTCCTGCATTTGGTAGCAGATCTCTTCTGCTTTTTTATTTTCTAAAACTGACAAATAACAGTTGTACATATCCATGAGGTACATAGTCATGTTTATGTATGTACAATGTATAGTGATCAGATCAGTGTAATTAGCATATCCATCATTGCAAACATTTATCATTTCTTTGTGTTGGGAACAGTCAATGTCCTCCTGGCTATTTGAAATTATATGTTATTTTTAACTATAGTCATCCTACAGAGCTATGGAACACTAAAACTTATTTATTTTGCTGTAATGAAATGAGAACAGGAAGTCTGTCATTCTTTTTCATCTCTATCTTAGCATGAAAGAAAGGATTAGTAAAAATGAAATGAATACACTGGGTGGGCTCCTTCAAAATCTGTTGACTTTCTAAAAATCATAAGGCCAAGTTTAATTCTGGGTTTCTATTTTATCACAATCTGATACTTTTTGATATACAATACTGTGAGTTCCAGTCCAGCAGCCTTTCATTTTCACAAAACTGAGAAAAAAATCTCATTTTTACAGCTATAGGTAATGGAACTAAGCCTGGTGTGTGTGTGTGTGTGTGTGTGTAACCCTAGATTCTTCAACTAGTATTAAAGTACTAAATGAGAAGTGTTATGAAATTTCTTGCATGGGTTACTGGATCTCAAAAACAAATAAGTTCACTCAGTACACAAAGCAATAAGGTGAGAAACCAGGGAAAAAGAAAATATTTGCCTTTAAGCTCTGGAGAAGAGCTATCCTCTCCTTGACTGCCCCTTCGAGTCCTCAGGTCTGGGGATTTTACCTCCCTCCACCAGAACAAAGCTCCCTTTAGAGTTTAGGAAACCTTGTGGCCAGACTAGAGTGGGAAGATTAAAATGGCAATTGCAATGGAATTGAACTTAATGCGGGAACCACAGATCCTGTGTTTCTACAACCTTAGAGGACGAATTGAAATCAGCATAGATAAACCTGGAGTATTGAGGACTGGGCAATCAGGAATATTTAAAATGCGAATAAGCTTCTTGTCTTTAAAAATGTTTTTAAGAAGAGTTGCAGTGGTTTCGTTCACTTAGTCTATTTTGTGGATTCAAAGGGACATTTAAGAGGACAGCATGGGTGTCCCCTATTATATCGTTGTGTTAAAAGGAGATGGGCCTGGAGTCAGACTGCCTAGATCCCAGCTCTGCCTCTCATTAGTTGTGTGAACTTAGTCAAAGTACTGAGATTTCAAAGCTCAGTTTCCTCTTCTGATAAATAAGGATAAGAAGAGAACCTTAGAGAACTGTTATGAGGATTAAATAAGATAATGCATGTGAAATTGTTAGCATAGGCTTTACGCATGGCACTCTGCTGTAAGTATCATTAAAAGCCTTCCAAAATTCCCTTACAGCAGAAAGCAAGTAGTACTGGATCCTTTTGGCTTTTGCTGGGTAATGGCAAGAGCACTGTCTTGCTCTTCCACACTCCCCTTTTCTCAGTCCCTTTGCCCTCAATCCCTTCATCCTTCACCTCCCTCATATGGGTCTTATCCGAAACTTTAGGACTTTGCCTCGAGCTTGAGGAGAGGTAATGCATATGTTACCAGAAAGGGGGTCCAATACAGACCCCAAGAGAGAGTTCTTGGATCTTGCACAAGAAAGAATTTGAGGTGAATCCATAAAATGAAAGCAAGTTTATTAAGACTGTAAAGGAATAAAAGGGCTATTTCATAGGCAGAGCAGTGGCATGGGCTGCCTGGCTGAGTATAGTTATAGTTATTTCTTGATTATATGCTAAACAAGGGATGGATTATTCATGAGATGTTCAGGAAAGGGGCAGATGATTCCCAGAACTGAGGGCTCCTCCTGCTTTTAGAACATATAGGGTAACTTCTGGATGTGGCCATGGAATTTGTAAACTGTCATGGTGCTAGTGGGAGTGTATTTTAGGCTGCTAATATATTATAATTAGCATATAATGAACAGCTGAGACAGCCAAAGATCACTTTCATTGCCATCTTGGTTTTGGTAGGTTTTGGACGGCTTCTTTATTGCATCCTGTTTTATCAGCAAGGTCTTTGTGACCTGTACCTTGTGCTTACTCCTATCTCATCCTGTGACTAAGAACACCTGCTGTCCTGGGAATGCAGCCCAGTAGGTCTCAGTCTTATTTATTTATTTATTTATTTTGAGACGGAGTTTCACTCTTGTCACCCAGGCTGGAGTGCAATGGCGCGATCTTGGCTCATTGTAACCTCTGCTTCCTGGGTCCAAGCACTTCTCCTGCCTCAGCCTCCAGAGTAGCTGGGATTACAGGCATGCGCCACCATGCTGGCTAATTTTTTATATTTTTAGTAGAGATGGGGTTTCACCATGTTGGCCAGGCTGGTCTCAAACTCCTGACCTCAGGTGATCCACCTGACTTGGCCTCCCAAAGTGCTGGGATTACAGGTGTGAGTCACTGCGCCCGGCCAGTCTCAGGCTTATTTTACTCAGCCTCTATTGAAGATGGAGTCACCTGGTCCAAATGCTTCTGATACATTGAAGAGTAACTTATACTCTTTTCCCAAATTCTACTGAACAAACCTTTAGAAGAGTGAAGGATTTTTCTAGAATGTAAACCTAATTCATTATAGAAAATTGAAGTAGGACCCTGTAAGGCTATCTGTGGGCTCTCATGGGGTGTGTGTGTGTGTGTGTGTGTGTGTGTGTGTGTGTTGGAGAAGTGGTAGTGAAGATGATGGTTGTGATGATGGAGAATGAAAATTGCAACTACTGTGTGCAGTACCATGACTGCCATTACACCTTAATTTTGGAACAGAGTTCCAGAAGCTTTTATGCTCTCAGAGGTGAAATGCATAATATGCATTTATCATTATCATGGCTCTTTTGTGATCCCTGAACAATAGATGAATGAAGAGCTCCTGAATGAATTTCTAATTGAAATGGCTTTTTCAGTAGGGGCTTTCCATTTGCTTCCAGCTTCCTCCAGGTTGTCAGTCCTCTCTTTATTTGTAAGTTTTAATACTATTTTTGAAAGCAGGATAACACCCATCAGAGCTGCAGCAGTCCAGTTGTGCAAGGCATTTAATGCCCAGTCACGCAGTCTGAATCCAACCTGAAGTCTGCTTGTCAAGCCATTAGCCTTATCCCTGTGGCGTCTGCATGGAGAAGGAAAGCCTTTTTTACCTCCAAATTCTCACAAAAATCCAGCGTGGGATAGTGCAGTCCTCCCCATTTAGCCATCTGATGCTCTCCCCTCTCTGAGGGTAATACTGAAGCACACACAGCATACTGGACTGTGCCACCCCGCTGAGCTCAAGCTTACATTGCAAGAAGCTGCAGATCTGTTAATGCACTTTCAAACCCATGCACTGCCTTCTCTTTTGCTTATCCCTGAAGGGAAGTATTTTTAGTCCCAGATGCTGGAACTACTGTGATTCAAAACCTTTTAGTAACTTTATTTGGAATGCTGATGAGTTAAAACCAGAATTAAACAAAACTAGGAAATATTTTTAAAGTAACATTTAATGAATACACATTTATAAAAGCCATCATCCCTTAACATGGGGAAAGTGTACAAAAATAATGTGAAAGTGTAAAAATTTTTCTAGAATACAGGAAACATATCAGCAGTAAAGAAGTTTAGTTTAACTTTTTTTTTAAATGTAAAATAGTTTGGATCTGTTAAAAGGAATACAGTTCGCCCAAAGCACTTATTTTCATCTGTTGTAAACTCATTCTTTCTACCTTAAGTAAACTGGAGGAGTCAGCTGTGTTAATATGGTCAAATTAATTTCATAGTTTTGGGAGCAGGGAGGTTGTGGGAAGGACAGAAGGAGAACTTGGGCTTTCTTTGGTCAGCTGGTGGGGCTTGGAGCACTTGTGGTTGGGGCCAAAGGTCAGGTCTGGAAATGCAGCTATTATGCCAAAACCATCAGAGTGCTCTTTAGCTTCAGGCTTCATGAATTGCTTTTAACTACTCAGGTAGAGCATTTTTACTAGGCTATAAAAGTAGAGTTCATTTTTTTCTATAGGTCAGCATTTTACCTATGGATGGCATTTTCTATTTTCGGTGACGGACTATGAGCCAGGATAAACACATTACTCTCTTCTTTAACAAAAAGAGCATGGTTAACTCCAAAGACTTCTCTAGACCAGCCTGGATGGTACCTAAACTTTAATCAACCAATGCTCAAGTAAAAGAGCAGTATCCAGCCCCAGCACACCTAACTGTTTTGCATAACATAGGTGAGTAGTGACATTTTCCTTATCTTTTCCACTGATACTGTAGGGTCAGCACCGTATACCATGACTCTACTCAATGTCGTCCAACTTTTTGTATCCTTGCTTGGGTTTATCAAAGATAAGTTGAAGGAGCGTGTGTTCTGTGTACCTTTGCAACCAGTTATAAATAAACGCAAATTGAAATAAAAAAGACAATCTACAATGGTGCGATGAAAGCAACACCCTCATCCAATGGTAATTAAATTGATAAGGTCACTTTAGAAATGGCTTGGCAACATTATCAGTGCAAAGATATTATCTGAAATGTTATTTATTTTAGTAAAAAATGGATATAGTCTACATGTTTAATAAGGAAAGAGGTTTGAAAAATGCCTATTTGATGTGATATTATGCAGCCATTAAGAAAATATATTACGTAAGGCCAGATTCATGCCTGTAATCCCAGTGCTTTGTGAGGCGGAGGCAGGCAGATCACTTGACGCCAGCATTTCAAGACCAGCCTGACCAATGTGGTGAAACCCTGTCTCTACTAAAAGTACAAAAATTAGCTGGGCATAGTGGCACATGCCTGTAGTCCCAGCTACTCGGGAGGCTGATGAACAAGAATCACTTGAACCTGGGAGGAGGAGGTTGCAGTGAGCTGAGATCGTGCCACTGCACTCCAGCCTGAGCGACAGAGCAAGACTGTCTCAAAAAAATAAAAAAGAAAAAAATAATAAAAAGGAAAACAAAGCCTTTAGAAAAACAAAGCCTTTGAAAAAGGATGTAAAATTGAATATATAGATACAATTATTTTTAAAAAGTTTTATAGAAAAATATCCTGGATTGTTGATGTTGTTTTAATATATTTTAATCATTTTTGTATAATGTCATGTATAATATGTTATAATGAAAGTAAAAAAAAAAAAAGGTCTTAGCAGAGCAGGCAGAAAAATGCCAAACTCAGTGCCTTTTAGTTATTTTGATATGTGGGAAGATCATGCATAAGGCTCCTTTTAGCTCATTGCTTGAGCTAGGAAGGTTAATCCCCCTGAAGGTCACCTTGGAAAGGGTACTATCAGCACAGAAAAACAGTGAGAACCATCCTAAATTTCAGCAAGGATTTGAGAAAGATCCAAATTTCACATAATGATGAATCTTCACACCTCTCTGCCCTATGATTTTCCGTAATTTTCGATCATCTATGCATTGTTCAAATTTATACCTGCAGACTATTCATTTAATTTTACTCCTTACAATTATAATAGACTAAGACAGATATAGAAGCTACTTATTTACACTAGAAATTAATTTAATAGATGAAAAATATTGAGCAATATTTGGAATATAAAATTTACAAAGCATATTATAATACCTAAATAATACTTAACCTAATATAGTGCAATTTTACAATATTTATTTAGCTTGCTGTCTAAAATTCTGGTTTCTTTGAACTTTTTGATCAAGAACTTTTATCAACCCTTCTTTGCTTATTGCACAATGCAAGTGAAATCCAAGGGGATATCCCTCCATTTTTATTCAGTCTTTCCTATACCTATTCTTTATAGAGGAAGAATTACATGCCAGCTCTATAGATACGTATGTATCCAAGACATGGATACTTTTAATCAATTGTAAATTTTTCTTGTGTTATAAAAATAGTTCCTCTCAGTAAATATCTGTATTAAGAAAAGCAAAGTCAAGGGGTCATTTCACTAGAATTCATCATGGTAATATTTATGTTTGCCTTTACTTCCAAAAAACAACAAAAACCTCATTCCCTTTTTACATTTCATGTGACCCACTTCCTCAGATATACCTAATAAAGCCTTTATCAGTGGTCACCATTGTGCTGTTTTTCCTTTCACTTAACTCAGCCCTTGAGCCAGAGAAGGAAGCTGCAATACTTCTATTGGATTTTGCAAGACATTAGGTCATGCATGTTGCCCATAACAAGGAAACTCTTTAGTGTGAAACCACAAGGCTAGTCTCAATCTCAGCTCCATGGCCTCTGGGAAAATAAGAGTCAGGGACCTGCACTGATTCTTCACTAACCTGAGATAAAATGGTGTTCTCTTCCAGTATGTCAGTCAATTTCTCAAAGACAAGCAATGTTTCCCTCAGTCACGGTGTAAGAAAAAAACTTTCCTAACTGTACCCATCATTCTTCTTTAAACATTCAAAACCATAGTTCAGAAATCCAGCTAAATTGAACTTTGTTTTAAATATTGATTTTCCATTCAATGCTTTTTCTAGTGTTTTGAGTTCCTTTCCCAGCCCTGGCGGATCCTTGTAAGGGTGTTGTCTACACATGGCATGATTAGGACAAACTTGATCACCAGCACAGTGCAAGGAATGATAAGCCCTAACACGTAGGCTGCAGGAAGATACCATCTGAGATTTGAAGGGCTGAGGAATCTCTTCCCACCGTACACCAGGGTGTGGGCTGTACACAAGATCAGGGTCAAATAACCCAGTTTGGACTATAAACAAGAAACAAAAATATGTAAGTTAACATTATTTACATCTTAAAGTGAAACACTCTAAGCCAGTGACAGATATTTGTCAACAACCACAAACATTTGAGACCTATAATGTTTAGGACACTTTGCCAAGTACTGAAAAAAAGCACTAACCCTTCTTCAGGATGGTAAATACTTCATTTAAAACAAGATTATTTCTTACAAATGACATAGTAGCTTCACCTTAACCTAGCTGGATGGAAAAGTTTCCCAGGAGTAAACTCTTCCAAGTTAGAATAAATAATGTAGCTTGTCTTGGTTCCCAAAGGTGAAACTCTTTTATTTATCATCTTTTCTAGAGGTCAGAGATGAATATGACACAGTATGACCTCAAGAAGCACCATCTTAGTATATGTTACTGACTAAAACCAGATCCTAGCTCATTTCTATCACAATAAAGAGCAATAGCCAATCTTGTTTCAGCCTACATTTTAAAGCTTATTGTTTATTTCTGCCTTAATACCTTGAACAAAACTGCTAATGAGAACATGTTGACTGCATTTGGTCCCTGGGAGAAATTGCAAGACTTAAGATTCCAATAGTTCTATAAAATTCTAACCTAATTTTAAAGACTAATGCTCTTTTCTATTATACTCATAATAAGCATGCATCAGAATCATCTTGAAGGCTCATTAAATTTCTGGGCCACAGGTTCAGAGTTTCTGATTCAGTAGGCCTGGGCATGGCCTGGGGCTTTGTGTATCTAACAAGTTTCCAGGTGATGCAGATGCTGCTGGTCCTGGTGCCATATTTTGAGGACCACTGGTCTACAAGAATGTGTAGTTACTAACTGCCTTTAAAGAGGGGTTGGTTGGTGCTTGACATGTGGAAGAAAACAATTTTCCCTCTTACAGAAGAGCATTAAGTCTTCCGGTGTGATGACATCTATCAAATCTTGCTGTGAAGATTTTAAACTTTATCTCAACATCTGGTTTTCCATATCTGTATGTCCATGTTGTAAGGTTAATTTTTTAGATGGTGAAATTTTGTCTTGGGGTTTCTTTTTGCCTTGTACCTAGTACATCTCCACACATAAATTGTAATAGTTCTTAGTATTTTTCACCCTATAGTCTTAGCTGTAGATATGGAGGCAGTCAGGAATCTTGGCGAGTATTAAGAAATCAAATCATTATGGATTCTGCCTTTTGTACCTGGGTTCAACATTTTCTAATTTGAATTTTTAAATATGATTGCTAGGGAAGTGATGGAGCAAAATGAAAAGTTAGGAATGAACTTGAAGTTCTTACCTGGACAAATCGGAACTCTCTCCAGTTGACTGCATTGCTAACAGATGGCAAAGAAGTGATTCCCAAGAGTACAAACAGAAAAAACCCAAGTATTCCCAAAGCCACATATGAATCACTGAGCCAGGCTGAGGAGGTGCTAAATGGATTCTCCTTCTTGAGTATTGCCTAAGAAAAATTATAAGCAATTACAAAACTACATTTTTACAAACTACATTTTACAAACTGCCCACACTTTGACAGTGGGCACAAATTATTTGCTCAAAGCAAATTGTATGGCATTTCTTAAAAATTATTTTAAAATAACTTTAGTGAAAAATACACTTAGAAATTATATTTTTTGGCAAAAAAAGTAATTGGTTCTGTTTGGACTTGATTCTAGGAGTTGTGTAGAAAGTTTCGATTTTCCCTGTAAATTCTAAAAGACAGTAAACACTCACTTAAACCTTCATTACCATCTGCATTTTGTTCCCCAAGCAAAACTTGATGTTCTCAAACAATTACATCAGAATTCTGTTTTTCTGCTTTATATGTGGATTACTCACACTCTCAAAGTGGGTTCTTTCATGTTTATTATACATGATAATAAATACATCATAATATAATACATCAGTCTTGCACCACAAGTTGAGAGGAATCAGACACTTGTAGTGTGACTCTTACCCAGGAAACTTACATGTATTTGTTGGGAAAATAATGTAGAGAAACCCATAGAAGCATCATTAATGACTAACTAATAATTTTTGAGACTGAAGTAAGATCTATCAAAACTAGCTATTTCTAAACTAGAACTGACTTATAGCACTTCCTCTGAGAATGTCTTAAAACTCCTTCAGCTGATTCTCACTGAATCTTTTGATTATGCATAAGACAATATTTGATATTTGCTCAGAATTATTTGGTTTTCTAGTTATTGAGGTCAACTTCCCCCAAGTCAAACATTAAGGGAATTATAAGCGCTCTTTTGTGAATTTGTTTGCTTTAGTGTGGCACATATTTGGTTAGCCCTCTTACTTAAAAGATGGTTGGTTTTGACTTCCAAAAGGAAGTAACATGCCTAAGAATAGAAGCTTGAAAACACACTAGTTAACATTTGACTGCCAACCAAAGGAATTCAAGTAGGTGTCTTTAGGTTTCTTGAGCCATGAAATCTGTCAGTTTGCCAATATCTCTATGAGCCCTGGGAATACAGATCTGGACCCAAGCGAACCTGGAAAGTATCATTTTTTTTCTTTCTTTTTTTTTTTTTCTTTTTGAGATGGAGTCTTGCTCTGTCACCCAGGCTGGAGTGCAGTGGCACGATCTCGGCTCACTGCAACCTCTGCCTCCTGGGTTCAAGCGATTCTCCTGCCTCAGCCTCCTGGGTAGCTGGGATTAGAGGTACCCGCCACCATGCCCAGCTAATTTTTGTATTTTTAGTAGAGATGGGGTTTCACCATGTTGGCCAGGATGGTCTTGATCTCTTGACCACATGATTCACCTGCCTCGGAATCCCAAAGTGCTGGGATTATGGGAGTGAGCCACCGCCCCCGGCAAACTTTTATTCTTAATAGTTGTATGAGATCTAAACTGGATTCATTTTAAAAAACTGACATGACATTTCTAATTCTAGTTACTTTAAAAAAGAAGATGCTTAGAAGAGTGACTTTCTATAATTATGAAATGGAATATGATGTAGCAATAGTCTCTGATTTCAGGAGCAGAAGAAAATATATAAGAAGAGATTTACCTGGGTAACGGTTAAGTTTCCCAATCTCCATCGTACATAATATCGAATAGGAATCACAAGTGTGTAGAGGACATGAAGGAAGGCAAATCCCAGAGCTACCAAGCCAAGCTGCTTTCGGCAAAGCATCCAGTGGTCAAGCCAGTCTGGGAATCGACGGTATTTTGTGCCTCGGTACAGTTGTAGAATGGCAGCAATAACACCAGGGAGGTAAACCAAAGCAAGCAGTGTAAGTGCTGTTATTGGAAAGATACGATTTGGAATGGAAATAGCCATACGAAATGTATTATCTTTCTTTTCATAAACATAAGGGTAGATTACGTCTCTTATAACACAATAGAAAAACAAGAAGACACACAGCACAGCAGACAAATAGAAGGGGAACCTCCACATTGGAAATAGCTGCAGGGGGTACTTTTCAATTTCTTTGGCTGCCATGAGTGATCCTTGATCCATTGGAGTAAGTCCAAGATTACGAACAATATCCATCACTCTTTGCTTGGCTTTGCTGTCATTTCCACACACAAACACCTAGTTTAAAAACAGTTAATTAATTCTGTATTTACTCCTTTTCCTTATTTAATAATTATTTTGAAAGGCTACAACAGCACCATGCCAAATGATGACGTAAAACAGTGAACCGATTTTAAAATAAGGATGTAGAATTAACATATGTAACAAGATGTTTTAAACTTGTATGTGGTGTCTTAGATAGGTAAGTACCAGGGTTTTTAGTTGATGATGGTTTTAGGCACATCACACTTATAAAAGACATGGTTCTCCACACTGTGAGTAGTTTGATCTTCTGTGTTTGTGGTGCCGCATCACTTATGAATGCTTCTAATCTCAGTGTATAAATGGAACCAGTTTCATACAAGGTAATGGAAGCAGAAAAGGATATTCACCAAGTATTAGTTTCTAGTACTGACAAGAAGCCTCCAGAGGCTGACACCATGGGGTTCCATCAAACTAAAATCTGAGGGTGCAGACAGTGGGAGATATAACAGTTGACCACCTTATTTGGTCAAGCTCAAGAAAATTATTCACAGCACATATTAGCAAAATGTAATATTTAGTGGGCATTTCATCTTGGAATTATATTTTGGAATCTTTGAGGCAAGTGCACATTTAATGATTCATGTTTTAAAGATTGAGTGTAAATTTGTTTATTCTTACCTGCCGACTTGCATCCAGTGCTCCTGACTGGAGAGCCCAGGCTGAGATGGTGTTAAATGCTTTTACCACGTGGGCTCCTGGCACCAAATGAGCAAGGTACTCTGCATTAGATTCTGGATATTGATTGATTTTGAGGTTGTTGCTGATGTCTACCAATATTTTTCCATTGAGAACCTCAGTTAATTCTGTGAGAAAATCATAATGCTCTCTGTGGATTGCTATGATTATGATGCCAGACTTCTTGGCTGCTTCTGAATAGCTCAAGACTTCTGCACCACTGGGCAGTAGGGTGGTCTTCTGGGGGTTTCGACTTCCAAAAACAACAGAATAACCACACTGGAGCATTTTCAATCCCAGTGATCTTCCAAAATCACCAGTTCCAAAAATACATACAGTCTCTTGCTTTTCTGAAGAATTCATAGTAAGAGGAAGTGCATCTATACAAGTTTTCTCCATAACTGAAAAATAATAACACAAATGCCCAACAAAATATAAATGCTCTGTGCCTGGAAAATTAAAGAGAGCTATATTCAAGAAGTAATGTAATTGACTTGTTGTAATCTAATTATCTTAACTATATTTACCCCCAAATTTGGAAGGAGTAAAAATTGTCATATATATTTCCCCCCAAATTTGGAAGGAGTAAAAATTGTCATATATCTTTTCATATGTGTCTTATTTAACAAAATCACTGGTGAAAAGCTTCTGTTTGATAAAAGGATACAGGGCAAAATCTGACAAAAAATATGCTCCAATAAATTATAGATAAATTCACTTGTTTAGTGATACCAAAAAAAACTAAATAAAACATTAGCAAACACAATCCAGCAGCTTGTTAATAGAAGGTTTATGTTGATCAAATGGGGATTATTCTACAAATGTGAAGATTAGTTCTATAAATTCAATTTTTGAAACTTCATTAATATAACTTAAAAGATTAAAATTTAATTTTATATTAAAAGATTTAAGGAAAAAGTCTGTCATATCTGTGTATGTTAAAAGGACATCTGTTAAAATTCAACATTTATTCTTGATTCATAGTGAAAGAGAAATACATAGATATTTCCTTAACATATAAAAATTATTGATCTTAACCTAAAATTCAGCATTATGCCTAAAAACATTAGTAGAAACATTTCCAACAAAGTCAGGAACCAGACAAATACATCTGCTATGACCACTTTAGTTATTGTTCTGAAAGCTCTAACATAACTAGATCAGAGAAAGAAATCAGAGGTACAGAAATTCAAAAGGGATTCCAGATGATCGAACTAGATCAAACTTTAAAAACTGGGAAAATCAACCAAAAAAGTATCATACATACAAAAATAATTCAACATCTAGGCTGGGAACTCGATTAAAATAAATATTCTTCATATATTAAAAAAGAAACCAGTAAGAAGATTTAATACATGAAAGGATCCTACTTATAGCTGCAACAAAATAAAGACAATATGTAACAAGATAGCAAGATATGTGCAACATATGTATGAAAAATATTTTAAATGCTCTTAAGAATCAGGAGAAGAGAACTTATATAAAAGAAAATGTACAGCATGTTCTTGGATGGCAAGGCTCACACAACGTCAGTTTTCCCTAATTCTATAAATTCTGAAAAGTAGGTTAATAAATGGGATGCTAGTCATATTAAATATTAAAATTTTTATAAAGCTAAAATAATTAAATAATGTGGTACTATCAAAGAAATGGATAAAGTTCTGGCCAGGCACAGTGGCTTATGCCTGTAATCCCAGCACTTTGGGAGGCCAAGGCAGGTGGATCACTTGAGGCCAGGAGTTTGAAACCAGCCTGGCCAACATAGTGAAATCCCATCTCTACTAAAAATACAAAAATTAGCTGGGTGTGTTGACACGCGCCTGTAATCTCAGCTACTCAGGAGGCCACAGCACTCCAGCCTGGGCGACAGAGAGAGACTTTGTCTCAAAAAAAAAAAAAAAAAAGAAAGAAAGAAAAGAAAAAAGAAAAGTAGAAAAATTTTAATGAATAAGTTTTAAAAAAATTCAGAAATGGACCCAAACACATATGATAAAAATAGCATCTCAGGTCAATGAGAAAACAGATTATTTAATAGCTAATGTTGTAATGACCCAACAGGTTTGCCTTGCCTGCTACCTAGACAGAGCTGATTTCTTCATATGAAAGAACATTTCAGCTCTTTATGAGAGTCCCGAAAGTTTTTTCCTTTATTTTAATGTCATAATCTCCAAGGTTATCAGAAACTTGCATTCAAGAGCACCTGTCAAAGTTTTATAGCTGATTATAAAACCATCTCCTAAAGAGGACCAAATCAAGACAACAATTGTCTGCAGATGACAGAAATGTTTTAGGGAAGCCGCAGTCAAAGAAATTGACAAGGAAATTTGTTACCTCTGTGGCACACAAAAATTCAACATAACAATTATAATTATTACTGATAACATATACTGAGGCATATTAGAATTATAGAAATCTTATACAATTTTATAACACATACTAATAACATATTTATATGAGTATAACTCAAAGAAAGTTAAACACCATTTTATATTTGACAATGTTTCCTGCATGATTTTAATACATTAAATAAGCCTAATATATCTTTTTGAACTTCAGGATATCTAATTTTTTTTTTTAAACTTATAATTTGATCTTGGAAGGTTTGTCAAATATCAAAGATTTAAAACACTGGATATCACAAAATAGAGTCCCGTGTCACCATAAGTCATTCATTTACCCAAAATGATAACTCAGGGCTGGGCATGGAGGCGCACGCCTATAGTCCCAGCTACTCTGAGGCTGAGGCATGATAATTGCTTGAACTTGGGAGGTGGAGATTGTAGTGAGCTGAGATTGCACCACTGCACTCCAGCCTGGGCAACAGAGTGAGACTCTGTCCCCTGCCCCCAGAAAACTGCTGTGAGCAATTCCTTCAGGGCCCTCCATACATATAAACACACACACACACACACACACACACACACACACACACACACACGCAAACAATGTAAGATGAACAGAAGGCCTTCAAGACACAGATTCCAGACCCAGTCTCAAACCAAGAGTAGTCCTCCAAACAAGTTCCTTAGTCTCCATCCAATTAGACAACCCCTAATGGGGCTACAGACAGACACTCTGTAATGGGGCTACAGCTACAGACACCTTGTAATGGAGCTACAGGCAGATACCTTGTGATAGGGCTACAGACAGACACCCTGGGAGGTTACTAAGAGACAGCAGCACCTCCAGAGAGGCCAATAAATCAGGAGAAGGAAGGGGCTGTTGGTAGCTGCCTGGAATACTCACCAAATCAGACACCTTGCATTGAGGCTACAGCTACAGACACCCAGTGATGAGGCTACAGTTATGAGATATCTCCCTAGCATTACTTCTCCACTGCAATTGAATCCATGCACATTGGGTCAGCAGCACCCCACTGGCAGAGAGTGCCAGAGTCAGCCCCTAGTCCAAGAGAACTAGGTGGCCACTTGGGTTGGCCTCCAGATCCATCACCAGAGGTGGGCTACAGAGCAGGTAACAACAAAGGCAATCCTGGTCGAGCCCCCAAATTTGTAACTGCCCAATGGATTCACCTTGCCTGCTGCCTAGACAGAGCCAATTTATCATGACAGGGGGATTGCAATGGAGAAGGAGTAATTCAGGCAGAGCTGGCTGTATGGGAGACACGAGTATTATTATTACACAAATCAGTTTCCCAGAGCACGAAGATCAGAGTTCTTAAAGATAATTTAAATTAAAATAGGAGCTCGAAAGTGGGAAGTGCTGATTGGTCAGGTTGGAGATAGAATTATAGAGGGGATCGCAGAAGTGGTTAAGCCAGATTACCAATCTGGGTGGTGTCAGCTGATCCATCCAGTGCAGGGTCTGCAAAATATCTCAAGCACTGATCTTAGGTTTTATAATAGTAATGCTATCCATAGGAGCAATCTGGGGAAGGTCAGACTCTTGTAGCCAGAGGCTGCATGACCCCTAAAATGTAATATCTAATCCTGTAGTTAATCTGTTAGTCCTACAAAGGCAGACTGGTCCCCAGGCAAGAAGTGGGTCTTTTTGGGAAAAGGGACATTATCAATTTTGTTTCAGAGCCAAACCATAAACTAAATTCCTTCCCAAGGTTAGTTCTGCCTGCAACCAGGAATGAACAAGGACAGCTTAAAGGTTAGAAGCCAGATGGAGTCAGTTAGTTCTGATCTCTTTCACTGTCATAATTTCTTCAGTTAGAATTTTTGCAAAGGTGGTTTCAACGTTGGGGCAACTCAAGAGTTACCTGAAAGAAAAAAATAAATTTATACCTTATACTCCACCCCAAGGTAAATTCAAAATAAATTAAAGATTTATTTTATTTATTTATTTTGTGAGACAGAGTTTCGTTCTCGTTGCCCAGGCTGGAGTGCAATGCTGTGATCTTGGCTCACTGCAACCTCCGCCTCCCAGGTTCAAGTGATTCTCCTGCCTCAGCCTCCAGAGTAGCTGGGATTATAGGCATGTGCCACCATGCCTGGCTAATTTTGTATTTTTAGTAGAGACAGGGTTTCTCCATGTTGGTCAGGCTGGTCTCGAACTCCTGATGTCAGGTGATCCGCCCACCTCAGCCTCCCAAAGTCCTGGGATTACAGGCATGAGCCACTGTGCCCAGCTAAAGATTTATTTTTAGAAAAATGAAACTAGAACAGAACTAGAAGAAACCATGGAACATTCTTTTATAATCTTAGAGGGGAAGGTCCTCTTCCTACATCATTAAACCATTAACAAATAGTTGGACAAATGTGATTGCATAAAAATAAATAACTTCTGCAATGCAAAACCGCTAAGCAATGTCATAATGAAGATAATCAACGAACTGGAAAAAATATTTTTCAACTCATATAAATCAATGAGAAAAAAACAATTGCCCATTAGAAAATTGGGCAAAGAATATGAGCTGATAGTTTATCCTAAGGAAATATATAAAAGACTTCTAAACACAGTAAAATATTCTTAATATTACCCAAAACTAAAAAAAAATGCAAGTTAAAACTAAACTGAAATACTGTTATGAACCATGTGGCTGTAGAATTTAAATAAAAAACAAACCAGTTTGTATGATCTCCTGCAATAATCTAGGTTGTTTTTTATACTTTTGAAGAATATCTTTTCTTTCAGTATTGAATTTTTCTCAAAAATGTTTCTTTTCCAATATGTAGTTTAAGCTTTCAGTTAATCTTTTATTTTTTTTGGTGCATGCATGCGCGTGTGTGTGTGTGTGTGTGTATGTGTGTGTGTTTGTGTGTGTCTATTGTTCAATGATGTATCTTCAGTGCTCAGAAAAGCACTAACTACCACAGTCTAGGAAATTTATAAATATTCGTTGAACTATATTAAAAGGGTGGGATGAAGGGGCTGGAAGTACAAAAGTTTACTCTGTGTCCCAGGCACAGTGTGAGATAAATAAAAAGGAAGATGCTGAATGATTAAAGAGTAACCAATGGAGAAGAGTAAGAAAGAAGGAAAGAAGTGGAAGAGATGTTGTAAGGACATTATTTCTTTCACCCAAATGGGTTGAAAGTAAAACTCTGTGAATTTGATGCAGAATTTTCAAACCAGACTTAATCACTACTCAATTCTCCTATGGTGGATTTCATGCAGATTGCACAGTGTATGTAGAGTTTGCACCTTTTTCCTGGGGTTTCAGAAATTTGTGCTTTCCATTTTAGCCTATCAAAAACACCTATATTCTTACCGGAGCTTATCTGAAGTTGCACGCCTCCATCAAAAGCAGAGCATTTAGGCCTTTGTAGGGAGGTAGAAGTTATGGGAGAAAGGGACAAGAAATACAGGACATTCCTGCACTCCCACAGAAACTCTGAATAATCTAATTAAGTACATCTGAATCATTTTATAAACAAACTGGCGACTGATATCCTGAATGGGTGTCATCAAAGGTCATGACCACATGTGGGGAAGTACCTGTAGATGATCAGGGAACTTTGTATAAAAGTGCAGCTGTGCCTTTGAAAATTTCTTACTAGCATCTGCACATGCAGACTAGTTTAGCAATTTACCTTCTATTGGTTGATTGCCAATCAGTTAACACCTAGTTTTATAAATCAAACCTTCAAACTGCTGAACAATGCCTTCATTATTCTACTGTAGAACTGGTTTGTGTCACAAAAGAATGTGTGACTGCCTATCTCCTCACTTAAAAAAATTATTTTATCCTAATATTTTTATTCTCTCTTTCATACTGGATGAACATTTGCAAGCAAAATGTAGATTTGATGCAGTTGCCAGTATCCTGTAATGAGATGGATTTTGTTAACTGAAATATTCTCATTTGGATTATCTTAATCATTGCAAAGAGAGAGTGATTCCAGACCATTTTGACTATTTGGTCACTATATTCATTTATTCTAATCTTTCATAAATTTTTTAATGAAGATATTGACTTCATGGTCCTATTTTTTGCTTTGCCTCTTACCAGCAATGTCACCTTGAGAAAGTTACTCAAACTCTGTGTCTCAGTTTCATCATCTGTAAAATGAGGGATTGCTAGTACCTACTTGAAAGATACTGCGAGTGAGGACAGCAAAAATCAGCTAATGACCATGAACAGGTACTGGAGACAAAAAACTCCGTATCTGAGGAATTTAGAAGTATCATGAAGGGAGCAAAGAACACCTGGTGACCATCAACTAGGCCATCAGAGGCAAAACTCCGTATCGAGGGAATTTAGAAGTATTTAAAATTCTCTAGTATCTAAATAGGCATCTGGTTCCAGGCCTCTTTCAAAAAAATTTCTAAGTAACTAAAATTTCTATACATCTCCAGAACGCTATGCTGAAACTCATTGTGCAACCCTTGCTGACACAAAGGCACCAAAATGACTATAAATGTCATCATTTATCATGACCTGTCTGGCTAATATGGTCCAAATTACCCTCAAGCTTCTGTCTTAAGGTCCATAAATGCTCCCAAGGAGAATCCACCATGGCCCACTCAGTTCTATCTTGCTAAGGCGCCCTGCTGCACTCTTCTGCAGTGTTCTTTCTTTCTACTAAAACTTTCCTTTTTCAAACCTATTCTGTTGTTATTAAATTCTTCTTACCAACTCGCAAGTCGACCACTTTCAGATGCTAGGGCTCTCACACCTCGCCCGGCAGTGAAAATTAGATGAATTCCTGCATCTCAAAACAGTTCTTGAGACCTAGTAAGTGTTTAAGAAAATGGGTATTTTAAATAGATTGGTAATCTATTAGTTATTGAATCAAGTATCTAATTAATGTAGCCTTTATATAAACTTTACAAATTAAGGGTTAATTATGCTTATATAACTATGATTATTATAAATATATAAAAAATATCTGAACTAGAGTGCAACGATTCTTAAGAATCTCCTACTTGTCCCACTTATTTCTTATAAATAAAACTCTATATAAAATGGCGTTTGAGGATCACTTGAGGTCAGGAGCTCGAGACCAGCTTGGCCAACATGGTGACACCCCGCCTCTACTAAAAATACACAAAAAATTAGCCAGGTGTGGTGGAACACACTTGTAATTCCAGCTATTGGAGAGGCTGAAGGGGAAAGATCGCTTGAACCTGGGAGGTGGAGGCTGTAGTGAGCCGAGATCGCACTGCTGCACTCCAGCCTGGGCAACAGAGCAAGACTCCATCTCAAAAAGAAAAAAAAAAAAAAAGAAAAGAAATAGATATATGCACACTCTCAACCACAAGGGAGATCAAGTTGAGGGTGCATTTTGCATTAGGTACTATCTAAAGAATGCTGCTACACCCTTTTCAGGCATCTTGAAACTCAAAATAGCTGTGTGTAAATATACGTTCATGGAGGTTCCTTGTTCAAAGACTTAAAAAAGTTTTCTAGTCCTACTTTACTCTTATATCCAGGATAGAAATAATAAAGAAAATAATAAAAAAGGTAGTAAACAGGAAGAAGAGTTATTAAGGGAAACGTGGGTTAAAATAGTTAAAACACAACATAGGGGTTTCCTCTCCTTCCTTCAGTCTCATGGGCTCTCCACAAACCTCAGTTATGTAACAGGAAATACAACAGAAATATTTCTGGGTTTGGAAAATCTGCAGGACTGGTTTTGCCTCTTATGGAATCATTTCCCAGAGATGACAGCCAAGATGCGTAAAGTGATCTCACAAGGGTGTTTACATAGATTAGGAATTAGCAATCAGTGACGCAGATACAAAGGTGGCAAAGATGACAATGAAGGCCATGGTAGCAGCTGACTCTGAGAAACCATGTGTGTGTGTGCGCGCGCGTGTGTGTGTGTGTATGTGAGTGTGTGTGTCATATGAGGGACCAAGTGTGGGTCAGGAGGAGTCCTGCTTATCATCCCTCTCTTTGCAGATCTCACCCCACAGGCCTTGGAAACCTGAGGCAGTATTCTTCTGGGATGTTTCCAACTAGGCTTCCCATGAGGATGTTAGAGCCAGCCTGGCTGGTGAATTTTACTTCTCTCACCTCTCAGAGGTAAGAGGTCTGAGAGGCTCAGGCCCTTCCAGCTTTTGAGGATTCCAGCATAGTAGAAACATAAAAAGGTCCAAAGGGAATTACAAAAATAATCTATTTTCAGTTCTTATACTTAACAAGTCAATTCTTATTAAAAAAATAAATCAATCAAACTTTTGTTTGATATAATTATAGATTCCAAGGAAGTTGTAAAGATAGTACAGGAGGTCCCTGTGCATCTTTCACCCAGTTTCCTCCAGTTTTATGCCACTAGAGTACAATATCCAAACCAGGACATTGACATTGGAGCCATATGCATGTATATTTCCATGTCATTTTATCTCATGTGTATGCTCATGTACCCATCACTTCAATCAGGTTAGAGACTAGACCATCCCTCATGCTGCCCTCTGAACTACCAACCCTAACCCGTGGAGGTCATTAATCTGTTCTTTATCACTACAATTTGGTCATTTTGAGAATGAATAAAATCACACAGTAATGCAAGCCTTTTGAGACTAGCATTTTTTCACTCAGCATAACATACTTAAGATCCATCAATAATTCTTCCATTTTATTGCCGAGCGGTATTCTACAGTATAGATATACTAAAGTTTAACTCTTCATCTAAGGTAGGACATTTTGGTTGTTTCCAGTTTTGGCTATTACAAATAAAGCTTCTATGAGTATTCACCTACAGGTTTTTGTGTGAAAATAAGTTTTCATTTCTCTGCGATAAAGACCCCGGGATACAAATTCTGGGTCATATGGTGTTTGTTTAGCATTCTAAGACTTGGCTATACTGACTTCGAATGTGTACTAATTTACCCCTTACCAGGTATTTATGAGTCATGATTTTTTATTTTAGCCATTCTGATATTTCATTGTGGTTTAAATTTGCATTTGTTTAATGGTTAATTATGTTGCATATCTCTTAATGTGTTTATTTGCTCTCTGTGTGTCCTCTTTGGTGAGAAGTCTCTTCATGTATTTTGCTTATTTTCTAATTGGACTGTTTGGGTTTATTTACTGTTGAGTTTGACAATCTTTATATATTCTACATATGAGTCTTTTGTCAGATATGTGATTTGCAAGCATTTTCTGCCAGCCTATAGCTTGTTTTTTTCATGTCTTAACACATCCGAAGTCATAAAACAAACATTTTTTAATTTGATGATGTCCAATTTATTTAATTTTTTTTCTTTCATGGATTGCGCTTTCAGTATCTTACCCAAAAACTCTTCACAAAGCCCTAGGTCCTGAATGTTTTCTTCTAAAAGTTTTACTTATAAGTCTATGATCCATTTTAAGTAATTTTCATACATAGTGTAAGGTTTAGGACAAGGTTTATTTTTTGACCTATGAATACATAACTACTCTTCTACCATTTGTTGAAAAGACTATCCTTATTTTTTGCTGAATTGCTTTCACATTTTTGTCAAACATCAGTTATACATAGAGGTGTGGGTCTATTTCTGCATTCTCTATTCTGTTCCATTGATCTATGTGTCTATCCCTCTGCCAATACCAACAATGTTGATGGCTGTAGCTTTATAATAAGTCTTAAAATTGGGTACAGTGATTCTTCCCACTATGTTTTTTTTTGAAAACTATTATAGCTACTCTAGTTCCTTTTCAGTCCTATAAATTTTAGAATAATCTTGTCATAAATTTTAAAAAATGTACTTTAAATGCTTAAATTAAAAAAAATGCTTAAAAATATTCCAAAACTTCAATGCAAAGCAGTTCATGTTTTAGGAGAAAAATATAGATGACTGTGCTAAAAAATTAATTCATACAAAAGCATAATAGCAGTGTGTAGATACAGGTTAAGCATCCCTAACCCAAAAATATAAAATCAGAAATGCTCTAAAATCCAAAACTTTCAGACATGATACCACCATTGGATAATTCCACACCTGACTTTATGTGACGGGTTGCAGTCAAAAGCAGTCAAAACTCTGTTTTATGCACAAACCTATTAAACGGTTTGTATAAAATTACCTTTAGGTTATGTGTATAAGGTGTATATGAAACATAAATTTTGTCTTTAGACTTGGGTCTCATTCTCAAGATATCTCATTATGTATATGCAAGTAACTTAAAATGAAAAAAAAAAATCTGAAATCCAAAACATTTCTGGTCCCAAGCATTTCGGTTGTGGGATACTCAACCTGTATCTAATAAATGGGCACAAGTTTAAAGTTATATGATGGACTATATGCATAGATCTCATTTAAATAATAAGTAAAAATCAATTTTGAAGGTCTTTGTGTGTAAGCAGCCTGGGGCCAAATGGTCCCTTTGTCCCTCCCATTCCCTGGAATAGATCCTGTTTCTCATTTCTTTTAGTAATAAGAACAAAGATCAGCAACCTAACCATATCTCTTCTAAATGGTGGTACTTTCTTTTCTTACACTTGGAAAATGGGCCAATTGTTTCCCCCTGAAATTTCATAAAGATAAAAATATATAAATACCTATGCATATAATGCCATTTGTAGAAAAAGAAAAGGCAAGAAAATCTTCCCTTTTCTTTGGTACAGATAGGCCTGGAAGGGAAAATTAGCCTCCATGAATCCCTCTGATTTCTTTTATTTTTAAAAAACACACAAAGTATACAAATGAAGATAGATTTCTTTATGCAAAGACTCAACCATTGTTTATGCACACCATTAGGAGTCTAACTTGTTTCTTAGCTCACCTAATTTTACAAAAATATACAAATTTAAAATGTAAAAAAGTTTTATATGAAAATTTTGGAGGTAATCATTATAAAAACAAGTGTAAAGACAACAGTCTTTCATCAGTTTCAATCATCACAACATAATTTTTAGTAACAGAGAATAGTATGCTGGGATCCGTCATTAGATAAGTAGGCATAGAAGAACCTATCTACAAAGATTGGTTTGGAAGGGTTCAGAAAGAGAGAGGACATGGTGGTGGTACAGACAGACAGATGTTTTCCTAGCACCCTTTCCTGTCTTTAATCATTGAAGCAACTTCTTAGTTGCTTATGAAAATACAAATAACTCTGCAAAGGTCTACACTAAGGCTTATGAAAATGCAAATACCTCTGCAAAGGGTTACACTAGAAACCAGTGGTTCTCAACCCTGGTGCACATGAGAATCAGGTAGAGAGCCTGAAGGCCCAGACTATTGGAGAGTCTGAATCAACTGGTCTAGGGTAGAGCCTGGGCACTTTTTTAAGCTCCCCCAGGTGATTCAAATGTACAGCCAAGCTTGAGAACCATTGCCTTAAAGCTTTTATCAGCTTTTATGTTAGCTTTCACTTAATGGCCTGCTACTGCGGTTCTTCTTCCTGGTAACACATTAGAATCAGCTGAGGAGCCGTTAAAATGCTAGGGAACCACCTCCTGAGATTCTGAATCAATTGATCTGAGGTAGAGCCCAGGCATCTGTATTTTAAAAGCCAAACTAAAACAAACTTAAGCGATTCTGAAGAGCACCCGTTTTGGAGAACCACTGGAGGTGGAAAAAGGTAAAGTTATCTTTTTCTTTTCCTTTTTATTTTGGAGAGGTGTGGTAGGGAGAGGAAAGATAAGAGGAAGAACAGGATGTTAAGGTTGTAAGGAGCTGCAGAAACTTCACCTTCCTTACAATTTTTTCCTCTAAGTCTTCTTTGGCTGAGAAGCTAGAATTCCTCTCTTTTTGAGAACCGGAGGCAAAATGAGTATGTTTTGAGTGTGCAGGCCTTGGAAAAGAGAGAGTTCAAGGTATGCCAGATTCAAGACTTGTCAAACTGTAGGTAAGGTTTGTTCCATAACTCTCTCAAGGAAACCTTAAAGAGTTGTCTTCCAAGAGCCATGAAATTATAATTTGATCAGATCTACTTATACATCTACTCGGTACCCCTAATAGCAACTATCACATAGTACAGCATAATGTGATAACGTGTTACTAATCAGTTGGGTGAAGCCATTAATAAAATCATTCTGCCTCTTTCTCTTTTTGAGAATTCAGCTTTGAATTCTGAAATAATCATTCATCCAAACATCTGAATTCCTCAGACATTATCCCCTCTGGACACATACAACCACTAGTGTAGCACACAAATCAGAGATCTGGCTTGGCACCTTCCAGAGAGTTGAAATGCAAATAACACCTTCAAACTGTTTAAGATGTGACAGGATTTTTTATTTTAATTTAACAGCTGTAAATAGGAGGGTTTTTTTAAAGTCCTTCCTTCTGTTTTATTATTCTTTCTGAATTTCAACCCAAAAGCCCTTGATGACTTGATAACATATTTGTAATGAGCCGAAATCCATCAATCAAATGTTTCCTTTCATCACAAGGCAAAAGGGCAGGAGGGGGTTCTGCAACTATATCAGTCTTCTTGTGATTCACAGCATTTGTTTTAATATATCCCAGGGACAATTAGAAAGCAAAAAATATTAAAAAAAATAAAAACCTTCCATGAAAACACAAACGTATCCAATTTATTCACTGAGCTATTTCTGTATTTAGTGAGATCAAGGCTCCCTAGGGATAACAAACATTCACATTCAACTACATATTCTTTTATTGGCAGGTAGGTATTACTGTAGCAAAATCAGTAGACCTTGGTTTAAAAAGATCACTGATTACAGTTTATTAAAAAAAAGAATGCCCATAATAAATGGCTTTTTCTAACATTTTTTGGACAGTTCAATCTTTAAGCCATATATAAGTCATTTGAAAATATAAATGTATATTTTAAAATTTAGCTTTGTAGTTAGAAGTAGTGCTGTTTGCAAGGGCAATTTCTTCCTGGTGATATTTATGTATAATTTTCAAATTCTTTCTTTTAATATACACATTAACACCTTCCTTCATCAGATATTTATTGATCACCTATTGTGTACCACATGCTATTCTATAGGTTGAGGGTAAAGAGGTGAAGAATACAGATCTCATATAGAGTTTGGAAATGTTATCTCCTTACAAAGTGCTAAGACTGATCTCTGAATTTGTGTGCTTCAAAAACAGTGTGTGTGTACATTATTATAAGAAAGTTGGACAACACACACATAAAAATAAGATAATTTCAGATGGTAGTAAGTGTTCACAAGAATTCAGAGCAGAGTGATGGAATAGAAAATGTTGGGAGGAGACAGAGAGGGAGACTAGTTTTGAGAACTGTTTAGCATAAATCTCTCCAAGGAGGTGCCAGTCAAGTGAGGGTTGCCAGATTTAGCAAATAAAAATACATAATGCCGATTAAACTCAAATGTCAGATAAACAATGAATACTTTTTTAGTGTAAGTATATCCCCTGCAATATTTGGGACACATTTGTACTAAAAACACAAATGTGTTTTAATATGAAATTCAAGTTTGAGTGGGCATCATGTATTTTATCTGGCAACCTTAAATCAAGCTGAGACCTGACAGGCAAGAAGGAGTTTGCAGGTGAGTTTTCCAGGCAGGGGGGAAAGTGAGTGCATATGTATGAACTAACTGTGGTAGCAAAGGGCAACCCTTACAAAAATACAGCTGCTCCTCAATTTATGATGGGGTTACATCCCAATAAGCTCATAATAAGTTGAAAACATTGTGACAGAAATGCAGTTTATACACCTAAACTGCCCACATTTTAGCTTGGCCAAGCCTACCTTAAATATGTTCAGAATACTTAATTAGCTTACAGTTGGGCAAAATCATCTAACATGAAGCCTATTTTATAAGAAAGTGTTGATTATCTCATGTAATTTATTGAATACTGTATTGAAAGTGAAAAACAGAATGTTTGCTTGGGTACTCAAAGTATGGTTTCTCCTGAGTGCATAGTGCTATCGTGCCATTGTCAAGTAAAAAAATCTTAAGTTGAACCATTAACTTACATAAGTTGGGGACAATCTGCCCTCCATTTAAAATAGCCTAATTTGCAACTAGATTAGTAAAGAAGCTATTACTGACATTTAAAGATAATTTAATAGCTGGGTCATATGAAATGAAAGATTATGAAATGCTTTTATATATTTGTAGCTCTTTTTAACTGAGTGAGAATTGGAGAATGTGGTCAGAGGAACAGGGTCCACTGGAAAGAAACTTCAAGCTTGTGTATTAGTATCCCTTTTTAATTGAATGTCAACTAGAACTAAGATAAACTCTTCTGATATTAAAATATAATTTGATTAGAAATTTAAATTCTAATTACATCAAACTGGTTCTTGTAAACACACACACACACACACACACACACACACACACACACACACACCTTTTACTCCAGGGGGAGAGGAACTTGAGTTAAAGAGAGCAAAAGCTTATCCAAACTAATTTTCAGAACCTACATCTAATTTCTTAGACATGTGCACTTCTCATAAGTTCATATTGCTGCCCATTCTCTTACTATCAGTTTAAGTAAAAATTAGAGCAATCCTGTAGCATGATAAATCATCAACTTGTGATTTCCAAAATAAGTTCTAGTAACTACTTAAGTTACTAATTGCTATAGATTAATATAAATATATCATTTAAAGCTCTTTTTCTACATAAAGAAACTACTTCAGGTTGGTTGCTAAAAAACTGATTATTTCAATTGTTTTGTGAGAAAATGTTTTGTATCCCATAGCAACTGAATTTGCTGATTATTTTTTATGCTAGACAATAGAATGGCACACAAAAACACAGTAATCTTAACTTGCACAGTTTCATCAAGTCACAAGAGCATAATTAAAGGCAATCTTTACATTAATGTTCTATAGAGATGTATCCTACATGAATTGCTAACAACTAGCTATGAACTAACTATGTCATATGCGGCAACTAAAGTGATTGTTAGTAATATTTTACTAACACTATAAATTATGAGGAAAGTGAGGTAATAGAGATCTATGTTAACTATTTTAATTGTATTTTAGGATAAACTTATTTATCTTAAATTTAGGTTCTTTGTCGAAATTCTAGTTCAATTAAAAATCTCATTAATACATGTTGCCACATTTCGATCTCAGCAGTATCTGTCAAGATAAATTAAGATTGTTTTATAATTCTCTGGCCAAGAATTTCATCAGGTAGGTTCATTATCTGCTGTCCAAGCTGGTTAGTTTATCTGATTAAAGCCCAGGACTCATGACAACAAGGTCAGGGATTCAGTCGTGTCTCTGGGTTAATTTACCTTGACTTCCATTTACATTTTAAATCCTGAACAACTTCTTACAAATCTGTGGGTCACCAAAGATTAGGCATCTGGTCATGACCAGGACCAGTGGATTGCCACTATCAGAAAAACAGCTCTATCTCATGGCTTTGGTGGCATTTGGCTTGTACATACTACATAAGCATTTGCTTAATCTGATGATCTGCATCAACTCCCCTAATATTTAGTGTTCATTAGTGGGTTTTGCTTTTCTAGGTCTATTGTGGTCAGAGATATTTGGGAAGTAATTTGTAATTTCAATTTTGAATTAACTTTGTTCAAATAAAATTTCTTAAGAATGGGCATTTATCTTTAGATTAAGGCCAATAGGAATTATCTAAATATCAATAACTGCCAGTTAGTTTGGAGAAAGCAGTTTTGTTGTGGATCTTGACCCCACCCCCATTCCTTGCTGTTGGAGGAACTCCATTCTGCTTTAAGGTATCTCCCAACCATTTTTAGAAATCTCTGGGGGCAGTCCACAATGCTTATGAATATAGCCTACTTCATCTTCTTTTGGGTAACTTCTAATACGGCACTCAGAGGCAAGGACTCCCCATGGCCCCAGTGCCTCTGATGTTTGCTGAGACCCATCAGATGGAGCTGCTGGCTATAATCTGGCCTTGCAGCTGCTCCATTTCTGACCTCAGGGGAGAAAGTGCTCTTGAAATTCCTTCTTCTAACCTTTTGTAATATTCTGATATACAAGCTTGAGAGCATTGCTAGTTGATAAATATTTTAAAATAAACAGCTCTTTCTTTTTAGTTTCAAGGTTTTTATTTTATTTTAGTTTTTGAGACATACTCTTGCTCTGTCGCCGAAGCTGGAGTGCAGCGGTGTGATCTCAGCTCACTGCAACCTCTGCTTCTTGGGTTCAAGTGATTTTCATGCCTCAGCTTCCTGAGTAGCTGGGATCACAGGTGCGTGCCACCATGTCCAGCTCATTTTTTTTTGTATTTTTAGTAGAGACTGGGTTTCACCATGTTGGCCAGGCTGGTTTCAAACTCCTGGCCTCAAGTAATCAGCCCCTCCCTCCACATCCCCTATGCCACTTTGCCCACCTTTGGCCTCCCAAAGCGCTAGAATTACAGGTATGAGCCACTGTGCCTGGCCTAGTTTTCAGGTTTTTAATCTCAGCCTTTCAGTGGTGTGGCTGTGGCCAGCTTGCCAGCTGGGAGCTTGAAATCAGTCACAGTAGGAGTTTTTACCTTATGACAATCACCAAGTGCTACAAATCAGGACTTTTTTTTTCCTTAGAGAGGCATTTACCAACATACCACTGGTTCTTCCCCTGCTTCTTTTACCCTTTTCCCCAAGACTCTGGAATGTGACCACAAAAATGGGAAAATATTTGGGCTGATGGGATAATACCATTTTCCCAGTCCTGGCTGAATCTGAGCATAAATCTATTTTCTTATGGCCTCACCTTCTTACAAGGCTCCTAAGTTCTTTAGGAAAACAGAATCCTTGTGGTTTCCCTACCCCAACAAAGGTTCCAGACCCTCTCTACCTCACACATGGCATCAACACAATTTTAGCTATAAACCTGATAGCTTTAGACTCTTGGTTCCCTAAGGGAGATAGATACAGGGACCCATCTGTGTACCACCATCCCCAGCACGTATTTTAAAGTTATTCAGACACACCTCAGAACTAGGGTAAGTGCAGTTTAGGATCTCAACTATGAAAACCAGAGGCAACTGGCACACTTTCATTATTAACTGCAATGAACCATTTACCAACCAGCTAATTGCTTTCTCCTCAATCTCCTCCCATTTCTTGTGCCACTTATGTCAGGGAATTGAATAGGATGAATAAATCACTTTAGTACTTTGGTACTGGAGAAGAGCATATCATTCTTAGACAGGGTCTTGCTCTGTCACCCAGGCAGGAGTGCAGTGGCATGATCATGGCTCATGCAGCCTTGACCTCCCAGGCTCAAGAGATCTTCCCACTTCCGCCTCCCAAGTAGCTGAGACTACATGTATGCACTACTACACCTAGCTAACGTTTTAATTTTTATTTTTTGTAGAGATGGGGTCTTACCATCGCCCAGGCTAGTCTTGAACTCCTGGTCTCAAGTGATTCTCCTACCTCAGCCTCCTAAAGTGCTGGGATTATAGGTGTGAACCACTGCACCTGGCCCCATATCACTTTTTTTTTTTCCAGACAGCTGGAGTGCGGTGGTGCCATCCTCTACCTCCTGGGTTCAAATTATTCTCCCACCTCAGCCTCCTGGGTTCAAACTATTCTCCCACCTCAGCCTCCCAGGTAGCAGGGACTACAGGTGTGCACCACCACGCCCAGCTAATTTTTGTATTTTTGGTAGAGATGTGGTTTCACCATGTTGGCCAGGCTCATCTTGAACTCCTGAGCTCAGGCAATCCGCCCGCCTCAGCCTCCCACAGTGCTGGGATTACAGGCGTGAGCCGCCGTGTTTGGCCCCATATCACTCTTTAAAACGAATTAGAATACAAAATATTACAAATAAATTTGTAACTACAATACAGTATAGCAACATAATAGGGACACTAAATCAGGAAATACCAAGGTTCCTGCAGTTTCTTCTACTTTAAATAAAATGTTATAATAATTTCAACTATTCACTTTATATGTGCTATACAGTTCAAAGCAACCTCATGCCTCTCCCTGAATGGTAGGAAGTTAAAATGTGGACTTTGCCACTGCACTTTGACCCTGTTAACTAATATTGTGCAGGCAGCATCCATACTCATTATGTACTATGTCCATAAGGTAAGTATCTTCCAAAAATAAAAATCAGTGTTATTAGCAATGCCTTGCTTTCAACAGAGATTTATTGAATAGCCACACTAAGAGGGATAAAGTGAGAAACGAGATGGACCCTGTCCTCAAGGAGCTTTGGTCTTGGGAAAGATGAAGCATATAATCAAATTGTTGCAATGCATAGTGTAATGGCCAGAGCAGACGAATGTGTAGAGAGGATGGGCGCCTACAGGCTAGGAGGGACTTGAATCTGCCAGGAAGCGGAACAAGTAAGTTTTCCAAAGTCTGTGCAAAAGTTTTGCAGCCACAATTTAACTTGAGCTCAAAACTGTTTTCACACCCTGTAAAAAGAGCAGGTATAGATGAAAGATGAACAATCAGCGATGACCATTAATTATCCCTTCCTATTTCTACGCTCCACAGTGCTGGTGCCATCAGCTCTCTGAGCCCTGGCTCTGTTCTTAATGCATTTTTTTTTCCTTAATATTGGGTGCTGGCCAGGTGCGGTCACTCACGCCTGTAATCCCAGCACTTCGGGAGGCCAAGACAGGCAGATCACTTGAGGTCAGGAGTTGAAGACCAGCCTGGCAAAAATGGCGAAACCCCATCTCTACTAAAAATGCAAAAATTAGGTAGGCTTGGTGGTGCATGCCTTTAATTCTAGCTACTCAGGAGGCTGAGGCAGGAGAATTGCTTGAGCCCAGGAGATGGAGGTTGCAGTGAGCTGACATCGCGCTACTGTACTCCAGCCTGAGTGAAGGAGTGAGACTGTCTCAAAAAAAAAAAAAAAAAAAAAAAATTGGGTGCTGAGGCCAAACTGACTAGCTTGTATTCTACTAATAATCTTCCAAGAGCTGTGCTATATAGTTTTATTTTCTTTTAGCCTTCTTTTTATTTAGAATTATAGTTCCTAACTTTTCAAAATTACTCTTTGCAAACATTTTCCTTCCTTTTAAGATGAAAAGGGAACTTTATCCTGATGTTAGGATTGATCATATAATCTGCATTAAAAAAAAAAAAAAAAAAAAAAAAACTCCAACCGGGCGCGGTGGCTCACACCTGTAGTCCTAGCACTTTGGTAGGCCAAGGCGGATGGATCACCTGAGGACCGGAGTTCCAGACAAGCCTGGCCAACACGGCGAAACCCCTTCTCTACTAAACATAAAAAAATTAGCTGGGCATTGTGGTGGGCACTTATAATCCCAGCTACTCAGGAGGCTGAGGCAGGAGAACTGCTTGAACCCAAGGAGCAGAGGTTGCAGTGAGGCAAGATCCTGCCACTGCACTCCAGCCTGGGTGACAGAGCGAGACTCAGTCTCAAAAAAAAAAAAAAAAAGTCCTCCCAAAATAGCTTTTCAGAAATATGTGACTGCCAAAGTACAGTACAGTAAACCTCTCCACACATGGCTGAATAAACTCTTACAGAACATTGTGGAGAAGAATTTAGATTGGGATGTCAATGTCCTGCCTAGTTAATTAGAGTGTATATACTTCCTTTAGTAGAATAGTGTGTTCTTTTGCAATGATATGTTTCTGAAAGAGGATCTTTAAACAGCACAAGGATTCATTGTTTTCTATTCCTTAATGATTTGGGAAGAACAAATTGTTAATCTATGTAGGCCAAGAATGTTTTCTTAGCATGCCTTGTTTTATGCATTAATTATTCTTTAGTTATTTATTTAGTTTGATTCCTTCCAGGACTGATTTCTTCTTAACAAAAGGACAAATACTAATTCAAATCACTTTGGAAATGACCTAAAAGTCATCAGAAATATCTTGAGTGGAGTTAACACAGTATATAGAACTGTTCAGGAAGTTTTCCTAATTAGTAAACCAGTCTCTTTTCATGTCCTTTGTAGGGACATGGATGAAATTGGAAATCATCATTCTCAGTAAACTATCGCAAGAACAAAAAACCAAACACCGCATATTCTCACTCATAGGTGGGAACTGAACAATGAGAACACGTGGACTCAGGAAGGGGAACATCACACTCTGGGGACTGTTGTGGGATGGGGGGAGTGGGGAGGGATAGCATTGGGAGATATACCTAATGCTAGATGACGAGTTAGTGGGTGCAGCGCACCAGCATGGCACATGTATACATATGTAACTAACCTGCACATTGTGCACATGTACCCTAAAACTTAAAGTATAATAATAAAAAAAAATCTGTGAAGAACAGAGACAGGTAACTTCAGAGATCTTATCTCTGTAAACCTTACATTATTATTATCTGGCATAAACTTACAACAAAAAAACAAACAAACAAACAAAATCCCACCCAGAAAACTTCACTATCCCCATCCTACTCTGCATTGTTATAGTAAGAATTATTGGTAGATGTAGCTGCAGGCACTAGCAAATTACCTTCTCAGAGGACAACCCAGAAAAAACTAGCTACAAAGTGCCCTAGCAAAGTGCCCAATCTTCAGGTTTTGAAGGACTACTGTGTTGCTGCTGTTGTGTGTGTGTGTGTGTGTGTGTGTGTTTGCTAGCAACTTATCAGATTTCCTAAGATTTTCCAAAAAAAAAATGATTTTTAAGTAGCATTTGATAAACACGTCTAAATTAATTATGAAGAGAACTAGGTGGTAAGGATCCTAAAACAGTGGAATGTGTTCCTGAGAGTGACAACAGAATCAGCTACCCAGCCTTTAAAAGGAGAATTTATATCCTTTTAATAACAGTATTAATAATAGTAGGGTGATTCAGGGGAAGTCCTTCAAGAGACAAAGTAATGCAGAGTGACCACTCCAAGTTTCTTTGAATATAAAATTCCATAACAAATGACCTTATTTTTCTTAAAATTGTTCACACATAGTGCAAGGCCTGGGGTTTTTAATTTATTAACAATCTTAAAAAGTCTGTTTAGTTCCTTCTAAACAACAGTTAGCGAGCTTTAGTAAGGCAGAAGTCTGGAAATTGTTCTTCAGCTAGGGGCCAGGCCTTGTACACCTGGTTTCTGAACAATGTGAACTTCAACAATGTGAACAACGTGAACCTCAGTGGAACTGTAAACGTTACCAAATAGAAAAACTGCTATGACCCAATTTCTCTGTACACATGTACCATTTACTTTACAGCCTTGGAGCCTGATAAATAGGAAGTGTCTCATCCTGTTTTCTGGGTTGGCAGTGTTTGCCATGCAGGTAGAATACATGCAGGTCAAATCTCATATTGTGCTAAATCACAGCATTCTGAAAAACTTGGGACCTTGCAAAAGGCCATATCTCAGAAAAGTTACTGCTTCAAATAAATGTGCCATTTTACAAAATTATACCTACTGTATCAGAAAAAAAAAATGTTCTCTCATGTGAGTGACATTTATATGACTGCCATTTGTAGGGAATAGGACATTCTCACATAGCAAGGCTGAAGAATGGTTTTGAAAGCTGAGAGTATTCTCTGAATGATAAATGTGGCAGAACTTTAAGATGCTCCTGTGGGAAGAGACTCTTCCCCCGACAACTGGAGAGTTTCCTTATAAAAATGGAACATGCATTATTATGAAAAAAGTAACCACTGAATTATAGTTGTAGCATTAAGGAGATTTTCTATGTATTTCAAACTTGCAGGCATCTTTAGTCACGGCTTTTCACCTTGTTAGAGTTGAACTTTCTGGATCATCTGGCCCAGTAGCCAGCCTTTTATTTTACATCTGTGGAAACTGAGGCTGAGATAATGAGGTTCTAGTTATTATAGAACTAGGAATAGTATTCTTCCTCCCCTCCCCCATTCTCTATCCAATTCACTTTCTCAGCTCACTGCAACCTCCACCTCCCAGGTTCAAGTGATTTTCCTGTCTCAGCCTCCTGTGTAGCTGGGATTACAGGCACCTGCCACCACGCCTGGCTAATTTTTGTATTTTTAGTAGAGACTGGGTTGCACTATGTTGGCCAGGCTGGTCTCGAACTCCTGACCTCAAGTGATCCATCGGCCTTGGCCTCCCAAAGTGTTGGGATAACAGGCTTGAGCCACCGTACCCAGCCTCAGTACACCAATCTTTTAAAGAAAGTTCCTAAATTACCATCTAGAGGTGGGAAAAAGAATAATAAAATTCTGTCTCTGGACAAACAAACGGAACTGAGGCTTTATTTACTCTTCACAATAAATTATATTCTGAACAATCTTCCTCCAGAAAAATAACCTTTAAATTGCAAGAGGAAATTTAAATCAAGATAAAAAAATGGAAGTGGTTGCAGGTATCAGGACAAATTTTTAGTGCCTGGTCAAGAAGCAGCCTCGGATCTGAGACCTTGGAGACTGACTGCTAAAGCCACATTCTTCCAGCCTACTTTTTGATGGGCGCCCCAAGAGTGCGCCAATCCAGAAGTAAGATGCAGAGAAGAATCTAACCCCTTAATTTTCCCCCTTTGGGCTTGTCTGCACCCTGGGGTAGGGATGAGCCTTAAACTCCAGGAAGTTAGAAGCTTGCTGAATCGCGGAGCAGCCTCAGGTGACTTTCCTCTAAAGTGATGCCGGGGCGCGGCGGGGAGTTTGCAAGCACCTGTTCTTCAGTGCGATGGGCTGGGGAGTGGGGTCCTAGCAGCAGGGACTGGAGGTGAGCTGAAGCAGATAAGGGACGGGAGCCTTGTGGCGAAAAGTGACCCACCTGAGGGAGAGGCGCTTCCAAGGAGGAAGCGTCCAGCGCCAACGGTGCGCGCCGCGGGCCGGGCGGGTAGAGGGAAGTTTCGCCGCGCCTGCAGCTCAGCGCTGTGGCTTGTGGCTCTCGCTGCTATAAGAAGCCAGAGAAGGGCGGGACGGTCTGCTGGATTTCGCAAGAGAAGCGGAAAAGAACTTGTTTCCTGGAAGAGTTCAAGCTGAGAATCCCAGCAGCTGGAAGGACCGGAACTTCTATACTGCGGTGCTGCTGATGGTGCCGCTGACCCCCGGGAAGCGGGGATTTTAAGGGTTACACCCGAGCCCTTGGCATCTGTGCATCCCAGGGTGATTGAGGTTTGGAGAGGTCTAGGAATCCCCCTTTCCTAAAGGAGCAAGAAGGATCTCTTTGAGTAGCTGAGAAAACAGCACCTGGACTAGGCTTCTAGGCAATTCTTTTGCCATCTTGTCTCAGTTTATAGAAAAGGTGGTATCTTTCCCCTCCGCCTGGAAGCCATGGGTTCTTATGGGGCTCATAACTTGGAAGATCTTGAGTTTTCAGGTCTTAATTTAGGTAGATTAAAGAAATAAAACAAATGAAAGAGGGATCGGGATACCTTATGATATACATGCAAATGTGTCTTTCTACAGAGAAGGTCAAAAACCACAGCCCTGGTTGTTTAAGATTGAAATAATCCTGATAAACTATGGGGCAAAGCATCCATACACTCCCAAACTCTGTAATCTAAATCCCAGAGTCTTCCCAATGATCTCCACTCAGCCATGGGTCTTAAATTCCACAGCATACGCTTGCCAAGCTCCAGAGGCCCGGCCACATGGGAGGCCTGTTCCTCCCATGGAAAGGGGTTGTTGAGTCAACCTTCCCTTTGTCTGGATTGCAACTCTCCTCATAGCTTCTTGTGGGGTTGGTCAGACCCCATGTCTTTCAAGAGGTCTTTTCTTAGCCATTAGTTGCAATTAATATTTTCTTTCTCTATACAGTAGTTTATACTTTTAGCACAGCAATTAAGACAATTTGCCTTTCAAAAGAGTTATTATCATGTGTGTGTGTCTTGTCCTGGACTGCAGTCTTCGAGGGATGACACCCTAGTTTTTTCAGTCTGGAATTTTCCATAACACCTAGCAAAATGCATTACTTAACAATGGGGATTTATTCTGAGGAATGCCTCATTAAGCAATTTATTAAATATATTCTGAGGAATGTCTCATCAAGCAATTTCGTCATTGTGTGAACATCATAGAGTGCACTTACACAAACCTAGATGGTATCACCTACTACAGGCCTAGGCTAGATGGTATATAGCCGATTGCTCCTAGTCTACAAACCTGTTCAGTATGCTACTTTTCTGAATACTGTAGTCAGTTGTAACACAATGGTAAGTATTTGTGTATCTAAGCATAGAAAAGGTATAGTAAAAATGTGGTATAAAAGATAAAAAATGGTATACCTGTATGGAACACTTACCATGAATGGAGCTTACAGGACTGGAAGTTGCTCTGGGTGAGTAAGTGAGAGAGTGTGAAGGCCTAGGATATTACTATACACTACTGTAGACTTTATAAACACTACATTTAGGCTATGCTATTATAAGAAATATTTTTCTTCCTTCAATAGTAAATTACCCTTAGCTTTCTGTAACATTTTTACTTTTTAAACTTCTAAGTTTTAAAAAACTTTTTGAGTTTTGTAATAACGCAGCTTAAAACACATATTGTACAGTGTGTACAAATAGTTTTTGTCTTTATATCCTTATTCGATAAGCTTTTGTCCCGTTTTTAAAAGTTTTAATTTTTTTGCTAAAAATGAAGACACAAACACACATATTAGCATAGACCTACACAGAATCAAGATATGTGATATCACTGTCTTCCACCTGTATGTCTTTTGTTACTGAAAGGTCCTCAGGGGCAGTAACATGCATGGAGCTGTCTTCTGTGGTAGCAATGCCTTTTTCTGGAATATCTGCTGAAAGACCTTCCTGAGGCTGTTTTACAGTTAACTTTTTAAAAAATACAAGTAGAAGGAGTACACTCAAAAATAATTTAAAAGGTACATATAATAAATACATAAGCCAGTAACATAGCTATTTATTATCATTATCAAGTATTATATACTGTACATAATTGTACATGCTATACTTCTATATGACTGGCAGCATAGTAGGTTTCTTTACACCAGCATCACCACAAATGTGAGTAATGTATTGCTCTGTGATGTTATGACAGCTACAGTGTCCCTAGGCAAGAGGAATTTTTCAGCTCCATTATAATTTTATGAGACCGTTATTATATATGCAGTGCATCATTGACCGAAACATTGTTAGGTGGTGCGTGAGTGTAATTGGTACTGAATATTTATTGCACTCATTAATTAATAAATCTACTGCCAATTATTATATTTTGCAAAAAATTCATCCGATAGTATTCTTTGGCCAGGGAAGAACTTAAAATATTCATTGATTTTATAGCATCTGATTTTCCCAGTTTGCAGACTAATAGGCAAGAGAGGGGTGTGCACCCATGGAAGAAGGTCCGCTGCGTGTCCCTAAGAGTCTTCATAGATGGTCAACACAGTTTTGGAGACTTGCCCTTTGTCTACCATTTGGTTTTAAGCCTTGATGGGCACAGAAACTTGATAAGCACACTGAGCCTGAAACAACCAAAATGGTGACTTGTTAGTTGTTAATGGAATATAAAGCAAATAGTTATTGTAAAAATACAGTTGCTAAGGGCACCAGACATTATGGCCATCACATTCTCTCCATGTAGACATATCCTGTGGAAGCTATTTTATATGCAGAAGGCTGCTGGATAAACAGACGAGTGAGTTATAAAATTCCAAGGTTTACTGACATCTGGTTAAGAGAGTAGCTATATCGATGCATGCCATTTAGAAGCAGAAGCTGGGGTCTATGGACCAGGTCACTCTGGTTTCTAGGTGGTGTTTGGATCCATTATGAGTTGACATAATGGACAACCATATTCTCGAATGCATCCTCTGAGTAATAACAGAATCATTGCTTTATAAACTTATTATTATTAGGTAGATAAAAAATTTTGAAATGTGATTTTTATGAGAGGCAGATATATTTCAGTTATGCAAGTTCTTTTCTTTGCCAAAGGCAACTGGAGTCCTAGAAAAGGAAGATTAAATTACTGGGATATGAAGGATGGAAAAAAAATGCCTTTATTAGTGCAAAACTTAAGAGGCATTTGACGTATTTATCTTGTGGTTTAAAGATTGATTTTCCCCTTGGGCCTAGGAGGGACACACAGTTCATAACTCTCCTAGTCTTTCCGTAAACCCTTGCCATAGGGGAAAATTAAGCTTCCCAAAGATGCCAGCAACCTGAGTACCCAAGGACTTCCTGTGGGCAGGATTCATCTTTCTTCCTGTAGTTTTATACTCAGAGCTCCAGATAAACCTTCCCAGATGTTGTGCACCACCAAATTGTTCTTATTTAGGGATTTCCACATTTACTGTGCCCCTGAGTCTTTCCTGCTACTTCCTCTCTCCTCATCCTACTATGTCAAAGGCCCCAAATGGTAGAATTTAGGCAAACTGATGAAGTAGGCCTAGAGCCAGTGTTCATTAAATGTTATTAAGTGATTGAAAAAAAGTTACCCTTAACATTTTGTATCTCCCTTTCAATGCCATTTTTCTCCTTTTCTGGGGCTCCCCTCTGCACTATCTTGTGTCTTGGGCATTTATCCCTCTTCCGCAAGTCCTCTCCTTACAGTGTTCCACACCTTCTTATTGGGGTGGGGTGGAGCTTTCAACACGTGCTGGACCAGGAGGTGACTGACTTGATAGTCTATAATTAGCATGTGTATGCGAATCTTTTATTGACTTAAAGATTTGCCCTCTAGCTGTTTTTGAAAAAAAAATTTTTTTTGAAGGACTCCTAGAGATGTCTCTGTCTAACCCCCAGAAATGAATCTCTATGGCAGGGATTTCAGGCGCTCTGGGAGATATATTTGAATATTGGTGTAAGGAATATTTTGTCTTTTGCTTACCTAGCATCCAGGACCAGGACTAAGTGAGGTGAATGAGGAGGCTAGGACACCAAATCTGTGGAGGTGCTCACTCAAAACCCAGTCTGCACGAACCTGAAAATAAATGACTTCTTAAATGTTTTTCCTTTGGTGCCTTCCTTGCCTGCTCTAGTCCTGGTCCTGCAGCATCCATTTCTCTTTGCTAATTATATCTTCATTTTCGTTTGATAAACGCCCTTGCACAATCTTGATCCACGTGGTTCAAGTTGAACCAATGGCACTGGGGTTCCAGGATCAGGCACCTGACTTAGACCTGGCCATTCAAAGCACAAAGCCTTGTCCACAGTGATTGGTCCAATGATGGCATGTGACCTGAGTTGGGCCAATAGGAATCTTTCCTGGAACAACCTGGGAAGCAGCACACTCTTTACAGAGGGTTGTCGGACTGCTAAAAAGCAAGCCTGGGTCACTGTGAGGAGAAAGTCAGCCTGAGAAAGAGGCCACTTCAGGGGAAAAGAGAGCAAAGAGATGAGAAGAGACAGATTTCTGCAATTGTTAGAGTGCCATATCTGAAGAAAGCTGTATACTCTGGGCTTTTTAGTGACATGAGTCAGTAATTGAATGTCTGTTATTTGTATAAAATGGGATTGGGTAGGATGAGAAAGGCACCTGCTCAGTCAGACTTCTGTGACTGTAATGCCTACTGAGGTGGCTTCATCACAACATGTGGTCAGAATGAGGAAGGCATGTGTTGTTAAAAAAAGCAAAACAAAGGCCTTTCTGAGTTTTCTTGTAGTAGCTTTGGGACTTGGATAAATAATCAATTTCTGTGACTGAAGTTTTTCAGCTACTTCCTGGTATATTCAGAAATCATTTTCCTGTCTCAGAAAACTTTTTTTCTACTTCTTTCCTATTTTAGTGGGGGTGGACAGATAGAATCCTTCTCCTCCTTTTTCCTGAAACTGCAAAGGGTATAGTGAAGAAGCCAGGCCATTGACCTGGTTTTAACCAATTTCTAGGACTCCTGCCAACACAGACCAGGAAGCAAAACCAAACAACATTTTACTGCCCACCTGCACCCAAAAAAAGTACTGATGGGAAAATACGTCAGACACTGACAGTATTGGAGTCTGGACTAGGGATAATGTCAGGAATGACAATAAAGAACTTAAAAATAAGACCTAAAGAACTTGACTTTAGGTTCAAGAGGAGGTTGAAGAGAAGAGTTGAGTATGTGGGATAAGTGAATAATAATATTTTAAAACATCACTGACAAAGCCTAGAAGTGACAGACAGTTGCAGCTACTTCTGGGAATTGAAAATAGGCAAGGAAACCCTTTCCTCTTTATCTGGGTCTCTGATTCCCTGGGTCACAAGGTCTGTGTTAATTTTGGAAGCTTCTAAGGCACTGGCAGGGCTATGGACTGACTATCACCAATAGGAATCTGGAGGCGGCCCAAGACCACATCTGCTGACCTCAGAAGAGGTCACTTAAATACGATGTTACCAAAGAACAAGATGTGCAAAATAATTTGAAGAGATGGAGAAATATTTGAGTTAATTTTTTGATAAATGCAGCTGGCATTAATAGAGATGTTCTTTCTGTAATTCAAAAACTGAAGATGTGTCATCTGCTTTCACCCCAGCCTGCTGGTACACGCCATGATATATGAAGCTGCTAGCAGAGCTATGAATCAATAGTTGATTGGTAGTTACTGTTAGTACTGGAAGTATTATTGGCAACAGCAATTCCAGTCCAGGCAATTTGTGCCTAGTGCCAGTAAAGGAAGGTTAGTTAGATTTTTCACATGCTAAAGAGGAGACAAAAATAAATTTAAAAATATTAGAGTGAATGAGGTCCTGTTCACTTTCAAATAGAGTTAGCAGGGAAAATAGTATAAAACCAATCACAGGAGGAAAAGCAAAAGAGAAGAATACTGAAAATATGAGGCTATTTTTTTTTCTCCATTTTCTAACTGTAAAGATCAATTACTTGCTAAAAGTTATTTTCTTTTTTGGGGTTTCTTTAAAGATAATTATATATATTATTTTTATACTGGTAGTATTAACTATAGATGATTCTGTAGTACCAAATACAGATGATTTATGTTCACAGAGTGTTTGCTAAACAATTTATTTAGTTACTGTAGATTGTTTTACATTATATAACACTTTAGTTTAAATAATTAACTAAAATATTTAAACAATTAATGCAAAATTCAAGATATAAATGGGGTATGTTGAAAAGCTGTTTTCTGCAGACATTGAGCTCCCTTGTCTGGAGGCAACCACGTTGATGATTTATTGGGCTCCTTTCATAGACAGACTATGCATATAAAAGCATATATATTTGTTCTTAAAAATTACAAATGGTGGCCAGGCAAGGTGGCTCATGTCTGTAATCCTAGCACTCTGGGAGGCCAAGGTGAGCCAATCGCTTTAGCCCAGGAGTTCGAGAAAAGCCTGGGCAACATGGTGAGACCCTGTCTCTACAAAAAACAAAAAAACTAGCCAGGTGTGATGGCACGTGCCTGTAGTCCCAGTTACTCAGGAGGATGAGGTGGGAGAATCACTTGAGTCTGGGAGGTCGAGGCTGCAGTGAGCCATATTCGTGCCACTGCACTCAAGCCTGGGTGACAGAGCAAGACCCTGTCTCAAAAACAACAACAGCAACAAAAATATAAGTGGAAGCCTACTAGTCACATTCTTCTACACCTTCCTTCTTTTCACTTAACACTGTAACTTAGAGATCATTTCCAATAGAGTGGTCAAGGCAGTCCTATATCAAACTGCACGCACCCATGCCCACCTCCTTCACTTGCTCCCCTTTACTCTGCTGTCTGTTATTTCCACGGCACTCATTACTTTCCGACATACTGTCCTTTATTTATTTATTACATTTAGTGTTTTTCTTTCCTCTGGAACTCATGAGCCATGAGCACAAAGATATTTTGGGGTAATTTTCGCCCTACTGTATATGTACCACGTACAATGGTGACCGGCACATAGGGTCTCAATAAATATGTTGAATGAGTGAATGAATGGTTTGAAGGGAAAATGATGGACTGGTAGAAATCTATAAAATAAGTATGCAGATATATAAGATCTTTGAAACCATTCATGTCAAAAATGTATTGGTGAGGTTAAACCAGTGCTTCCCTAGCTAAAGCAGAATGCTCAAGTAACTGCCTCTACTGATTGCCAGTTTGTGCTTAAATTTGCTCAGAAAAGGCCAGATGCCTCCAGCTACTTTATCTCTTGCTATTCCCAGGGTTCTGCTTTTTTTTCAGACTCCTTTTTAATCTATAACGTTTTCATTTAATTACTTCTTTCCCAACTCCATATCTCCTGTGTCTGTAATAGCATTCTGTAGAGTTCCTAAGCCCTTTTTTTTTGGAAAGGATCTCTGTAGTAAGATATTGCTTACTAGGTCCCAGGAGTCAGCTTTTATAAACAGTCTGTGGAAGAATGTGCAGCATTCATTATATAGAAGGAAGTGGAGACTTCCCTCTTCACATAACAGAACTGTACAGCAGCTGCCGAAAGAGTTTTGATGCCTCAGACCTGTCATCTTATTTTGCGTGTGTAATAATTACAGGAACGAGGATGTGGACATGTACTATCAATTAGTGTTAAGTAAAAAAAAAAATTTAACAGTAAAAAAAGGAAGTGAAGAAAAACAAAATAAATGGCTATTCTACCAGTCCTCTTTAGATAACTGCTTTGGTTGGGCTGTTGGCTATTTGGGAATAGTCTTAATTTGTGCTTTCTCGCATTTTGTATAGCAGTGATTATATCATAGATTTTACACATGAGAAAGGCCACACAGGAAAGAATCTTTAGAAGCAGGGGGAGGTAGGTTATAAATTTTTATTCAAATGTGAATTAATTAAAACCCCAAATCAGAACTATTTTAACATTGAAATTAAATCCTGGGCCACTCATAACTTTATGACTATTCCACAAGAAGATTGTTCATAAGCAAGAGAAGTATCTTAATTGAACACTAGAAATTTAAATACAGAAATTTGTCAAATCTTGTCAAAATCCATTGGCTAGAAATAAAGGATTATTATTGTCAGTGGTTGACTTCTGTCAGCCCTGGTACCCCCTTTTCCTCCTCAAAGAGTAAAGCTTCACTTGTCTAGAGGGAAGGAAGCCAAGGAAAGGACACGAGAAATCCAAACAGATTCAGTCAAGTTCATGGACTTCAATCTAGGTATGCCCTCAAGTATCTAACTAAGAAATGCGTTAGTGAATTCTAGGAAATCTAGTTTTCAGCCTCCTGTGCCTGAAAGGAACAGAGGAAAAAGACAGGTAAACTCTAAAAAGCAGACTCAAGGACTCCAAATACAATTGTCTAGGATAACTTACTGTATGAGCAAAACAATCAGGAAATACTGAGGAAATTACCATATATGTCATACCAGAATTAATTTTTATATTGATCACCCTTTATGACCAGAAAAAAACAAAATTGTTTAGTCTACATGAATAATATAAGAAATGGTGTAAAAATAATCTTAATAGCATTTCGATCTCAAATGATTGTAAAGTAATAAAAAATCTTATGTCAGTTTTTGATACTGATCTTTTCTATCCACCTTCCTTCTCACTTAGATGCTACTCATATGGTCACAGCATCCACCTTTTCCTTACTAACAGTCACCACATTTTCATTTCAAACGTCTCATTTTCTGATCATTCTCTCTTATCCATCCAGCTCACTTACGCTGCTTATCCCACTCTTGCAAGTTACCAACCTTATAAAGTCTTCTAATCCCCTGCCTTTGTTATTTATTTTTATATTCATCATATTCATCACATTCTCTATCTTTCACTTCCTTCTTACCAGCTGTGATTTCACATACTGTTATGACGATTTTCTTACAGATGTTTCTTGATTACCTTGGCCATCTCTTTGCCACTTCCTTGCCTGGCAAAATTTCAACACTAGTTATATTGAAGTGACTGCCTACTTTGCATCTTCACCCAAGCAGCTAAATGTTACTGGAGAAAATAAAATAATTGTTGCTAGGTTTAGTTATTTCAAAACCATGACCACAAATGTCAGGGCATATTACACTTAGTGGCATCCTACTATACCTGTGGAGCCATATTCCATTTCTAACTCTCTAGAATGATTTCTTAAACCTCTTCTAGTTCCTTTACTCACTCACTCACTCACTCACTCACTCACTCACTCACTCACTCACTCACAGGTTATGATCCCACCATAATCTAATTTTCCCACCTCTAGTTCTACCAGCTCACTATATTCATGCCCACATACTCTTCCAACTCTCATTGCTGTAAGGCTATTCCCTCCTGATGTGCTTTGGATTCCCACCCCATACCATCATAAAGAATTCACTCCTCCAGGCCAGATGCAGTGGCTCATGCTTGTGATCCTAGCACTTTGGGACACGGAGGTGGGTGGGTCACTTGAGGTTAGGATTTCTAGACCAGCCTGGCCAACATGGTGAAACCTTGTCTCCACTAAAAATACAAAAATTAGCCGGGCGTGGTGGCGTACACCTGTGATCCCAGCTACTTGGGAGGCTGAGGCAGTAGAATTGCTTGAACCTGGGAGGTGGAGGCTGCAGTGACTGGAGATTGTGCCACTGCTCCAGCCTGGGTGACAGAGAGAGACTCTGTCTAAACAACAACAACAACAACAACAATTCACTCCTCCAATTTCCCTCACTTTTTCAGTTGTCAGTTCATTCCTTTCCACTGGGCCATATCCAACATTGTGCCACAGTGACTTAATGCACCAACCTTGAACATTCTATCATAGGATGTTTGCCTGTTGCGGTTGCTATTGCTTCTGCTTGGAAAGCTCTTTGCTCAGATCTACTAGTGACTACCTCATTGTTCTGGTTTCAGCTAAACTTCCCTACTAGTGGCCTTTACTGATCTTCTTAGTTCAAAGTAGCTCTTTTCTCCACCACTTTTCAAGCAGGCCCTATATGTCACATTACACAATTTTATTTTTTTTCATATTATGAAAGATCTTATTTTTTATTGATGTGTTCATGTTTTGTTTTGTTTCATTTTTCACTTGAGTATAAGCTTCTTGATAGTAGGGACTGTCTCTTCTTTATTATTGTAGAACATGCCTGGCATACAATAATAGCTATTTAATAAATATTAATAGACTGATGGATTGACTATTTAAAGGTAGTAATGTCAATGATTTGGAAGATTTAGGCTGGGCATGGTGGCTCACACCTGTAATCCCAGCACTTTGGGAGGCTGAGGTGGGCTGATCACTTGAGGTCAGGAGTTCAAGACCAGCCTGGCCAACATGGTGAAACCCCGTCTCTACTAAAAATACAAAAATTAGCCCAGCATGGTGGTGGGCGCCTATAGTCCCAGCTGCTAGAGAGGCTGAGGCAGGAGAATTGCTTGAACCTGAGAGGCAGAGGTTGCAGTGAGCTGAGATCATGCCACTGCACTCCAGCCTGGGCAACAGAGTGAGACTCTGTCTAAAAAAAATAAAAAATAAAATAAAATAAAATAATTTGGAAGATTTTGTTCCCCAACAATGCTGAATAGAATATGTATTATTGTAATTATTGTATTTACTCCTTCATACAAACCTTTTTCTATAAGGGTAGTGAATAATTATAATACAACACTACTACTAATAAAAGTGCTTATGTAGAACTTCCTGTATGCCAGATGATCTTCTGAACACTTTATAAATATTAATTTATTTAAGCAACAGCCTTGTGAAGCAGGTATGATTATAAATGCAAAAAATATTGAGTCATGTTTATCTTACATGAATTCCTTCAGCAGCCTCTCATGTGTAAGTGGTACTTTCCACAAGAAGGAACAACTATTTATAGGAAGTATTAGGAAATCTGGGCACTACCATTGATTGCGGATTTACCAAGAACTGTGCTAGGCATTGTGGGAGCTACCTAAGAAGAATAAAACAGAATCCTTCCTAGAAAGACATAGTATTCTTCTATGTATAATAGTACATCTCAAAAGGACTATACATCTATAAAGCACTGCATAATATCACTAAATACAATGAACAGATAGATTGATAAAATATTTACACCTTTGCATGCATACTTCTGATTTTTAGATGACAATATGCTTTCTATTTTGAAGACATGGAAATATTTATGAAGTTGGATGTGTGGATAAAGGCCACACTATCATACATTGGCCCCTAGCTTTAAAAATCTTAAGATATGTGAAAAGTGTTGGATCAAAAAATGAATATCCATATTTGGGCATCATGTGGTCTGCCCTTTCTGAAGAATGTGACTGCCAGTATTAGTGGCTATTCCTAGTTCAGATGCCATTTTTTCCTTTGTGTTACATTAAATCTTTTCTCCAATTATTTTAGGTTAATTGTAAACATAAAAACATTCGTTTAGAAGAATTAGCTACATGCCAGTAGATGAACTATAAATTAGTTTAAACACAAAGAGTTAATTTAAGCATAAATATAGACAACATATTTTAAACCCTTCAGTAATATCTCCAGTATGGGTTGGGTGATACTTAGCCTATTTCACTAGAGAATTGGGAACACCCTTAGGCAGTTGTGACTAAGGGGACGTCTGTATTTATCTTGTTTTTATACCCTGTAGTGGCCCACACCCTTCGGTGCTAGTCTAGACCCATCTGATTTCAGAGGTAATTGCTGGGAACTCCTGGTTTGTGTCTATAATTTCTCAGAGTTAAACCCCTAAAATACTTTAACTTTCTGTCTTAGCTACAGATTATACCAACTCCATTTTTATTCTGTAGCTACACATGTTCCCTATGATTTTTGTACAGATCTACAAATGTCAGTGATTATGTGCAGTTTTTAAAAATAGTATTATCTACTAATAGTGTGGTCAATTGAGAAAAATAATGAGACAAGTCTTAATCATTTTAGGAGATTTATTTGCCAAAGTTAAGGACACGCCCGGGAGACAGGTCTATGCCTTTCTCCGAAGATGATTTTGTGGGCTTTAAATTTAAAGAGGTAAGGGAGGGATATTGGGAAGTACACAATTTTCTTTTTTCTTTTCTTTGAGATAGAGTCTTACTCCGTCTTACTCTGACGCCCAGCCTAGAGTGCAGTGGTGTGATCTTGGCTTACTGAAACCTCCACCTCCCAGGTTCAAGTGATTCTCATGCCTCAGCCTGCTAAGTAGCTGGGATGACAGATGTGCACCACCATGCCAGGCTAATTTTTGTATTTTTAGTAGAGTCAGGGTTTTGTCATGTTGGCCAGGCTGGTCTCTAACTCCTGGGCTCATATGATCTGCCCACCTTGGTCTCCTAAAGTACTGAGATTACAGGCATGAGCCACTGTGCCTAGCCAAGAAGTACACATTTTTTCATGTAGGAGATGAGTAGGGGGAAAATAGTCATTCATGGCTTTGTCTGGTTCCGTGAATCTGCATTTTTACATAAGATAACATAGATAGGACAGGGTTCAGGGAATCTGCATTTTTAAGTAAGATAACAAACAAAAATGGGGCAGGGGAACAATCAGATATGCATTTGTGCCAGGTGGGCAGAAGGGTAAATGCATCTGTAAAGATAAGCTATCAGTTTACATTGCCTTGGTGAATTTTAACAGAAATGCTTCAGGGTAAATATCTTGGAGCTCATTAGGAATTTCCTTGTGGGCAAAATATGAGGGAGGTGTGTAGTTTTTCATCTTGTAGCCATCTTATTTGGGAACCAAAAAGGGGAGGCAGTTTTGCATGACCCAGTTCCCAGCTTGACTTTTCCCTTTGGGTTAATGAGTTTGGGGTCCCAAGATTTATTTCCCTTTTACACTGGCTGTAAGAAAAATAAGTGCTTTGTGCTTTGTGTTGGATCATCTTTTAGTAAAGTTTCTGTAGCTAGAATATGTGGGAGTTTAGGAATCTTTGTTACAGTAGGTTAAATTGTGTCCCTCAAAAAGAAATGTCTAAGCACTAACCCCTGGTACCTGTGAATGTAACCTGATTTGGAAACAGGGTCTTTGCAGATGTTACTAGTTAAGGATCTTGAGATGAGATAATTCTGTATGTAAAGTGGCCCTAAATCCAATAAGTGGTGTCCTTATAAGAGAAAGGAGAGGGAAATTTGAGATACAGAGACATAGAGAAAAGGCCATGTAAAGACAGAGTCAGAGGTTAGATTTTTGTAGCCCTAAGGCAAAGAATATCAAGGGTTGCTGGCAGACACTGGAAGGTAGGAGTGGGGCATGGGAGAGATTGCTCCTCCAAGCTTCAGAGGGAACCAACCCTGCAGGCATCTTGATTTTGGACTTCTGGCCTCTAAAACTGTAAGAGAATAAATTTTTGTTGTTTTAAGCCACCAATTTTGTGGTAATTTGTTACAGTAGCTTTAGGAAGTGAATATACCTGGTTATAGGTGAGGAAATAACAAGTTCCGGCTTGAGTAATGCCATGAAGATGCTCTCCTGTTACTGACCATTGCATCCTTTATGGTTATTTTCTGTCATATATCATCAAATGTGTCAGGCCTCTGAGCCCAAGCTAAGCCATCATATCCCCCGTAACCTGCATGTATATATCCAGATGGCCTGAAGCAACTGAAGATCCACAAAAGAAGTGCAAATAGCCTTAACTGATGACATTCCACCATTGTGATTTGTTCCTGCCCCACCCTAACTGATACAATATATTCTGCGCACCCCCACCCTTAAGAAGGTACTTTGTACTATTCTCCCTGCCCTTGAGAATGTACTTTGTACGCCTATCCCAAACCTATAAGAACTAATGATGATCCCACCACCCTTTGCTGACTCCTTTTTCGGACTCAGCCCGCCTGCACCCAGATGAAATAAACAGCCTTGTTGCTCACACAAAGCCTGTTTGGTGGACTCTCTTCACACAGACACGCATGACAAAATGTACACTTTGGCTGTGTTAAGGATTATTTCTCCCACCCTTTATAGTAAAAACAACTCAGTACCAAATAAATAAATAAAGACTAATCTGCACTTCTGTGGTTTAGCTTTTTAAATACTCCATGTGTGCTTTACATATACACTTACTATAAAATTCCTATTGTTATCATATGTTTAGTAATATTTTAATAAACAGTGACCAACTTAGGATTTTGGTAAAACTAAAATCTTTTTTTTTTTTTTTTTGGAAAATCTGGAGCCTTCTAGAGAAGTTTTAATGAAAATAGTGCAGAGAGAAAACATGCTTAGCAACATGATCTTAGAGACCTGAGATTGCCATTTGTACATTATGGGTTTTCAGGACACAGAGAGAAAACCATGTTGTGTTGGGATAACTGAAGGAACTACCCTACACCCGTTCTTCTCCAGGGCCCTTCTGGGAGCCAGTTTTATGGTGAATTTATTGGATGTTACTTCTCAGAGTGTATCAGAGATTCTTCACATTCATGGACTTTAATCTTCCCCTTGTCAGCTGCAGCCACAGTTCTATTTCTTTGCTCTCTGAATTCTCAGTGGTCTTAATAGTTCTAAAAAGTGAAAGCTTGTGTTCATTTAGTCAGTAATCACAGTTGGTGAACAGTAATTATAGCTGTAGTTTTTCTAAAAGGTACAACCAAGAGTTCTTAATCTGGAGTCTGTGTATTCAGATGTGGGGGGAGGGGAATATTTATTAAGCTCAAACTGAAAATGAGAATTTCTTCCAACTATAAAAGTAGGCTCTAAACCACAGAGCCATGGAGTACTACATTGTATTAGTATATACCTGTGACTGTCACACTAGAAACCTCTACTGATTTTTAAAATTTCCTCACATGGTATAGTTGTCTTGAAATATTATACATGCTAATTAGCATACTGAAATTATAGTAGTTATTTAATATATTAACAAATAATTTGCATATTATTATATAAGAAAACTTTCTTTTAAGACTCTGATAGCTGTATTTAAATTGCTTTTCAATTACAATTTAAATTAACTATTTTGTTGCTTTTGTAAACCTATTTTATGCATTTCTAAGCATTATTCCGAGGACTCCATAGGCTTCACCAGACTGCCAAAGAGGTTTATGGCACAGAAAAATTTAAGAACTTTTGCCTTAGTTCTTAGAAAGACAACTAAGATCTGAGGGCAGTAAATCATTTACTCCTTTAGAAGACTGGGTTATTTAGCACATTTCCTTTTAAGGGCATAGGTAAATGACAATAAGTAATGTTTCCATTTTCCAAAATGATCCAAGCTTTTTTTTTTTTTAAATTACTTTACATTTTATTTGTATTATATGTAACAACTCTTTTGCTATCACATTGAACAAAACTTATTAGCTTTTCTGCCAAAGGGTGCACTAGGTTATAATCATCAATCATTGGCAACTCTCAATTTTGGTTTTGCATGTGTGAAAATCTTTACTCTGCCTTTCTCATATATTGACCTACTGTATTTGATTTGTCACTGGAAATGAAAAGAAGCATGCTACCCTCAGAATGTTAGTGCTAGAAGGCACAAAGTCATTTTGTAAGACAAGAGAGGCAATAGAGGAAGGAAGGTCATGTAGAAAGAGTGTCATGGAATTTCCTTTACGGAAATGAAAGTGCTCCGTATTTCTATCGCTGTGCTTTTCATAATGGCAAATGATTCTGCTGATGGAATGGCTTTCTGAGTGTATAGGTGTGGCTGGATTAACTCTGATATGTCATGTAATTGCACTCCTCTGATGTTCAAGGCAAGCAGAGCTGATTATTTTTGCCTCTCTTTAGGGCTAATGGCTGCAGAATGCTCTTTCTTTTCTGAACTGGTTTTTAAAAACTACCAGTAACAAAATCTATGTACATATTTACATATGAATGTTTGAGTAGCAGAATCATGTTCATTCAACAACATTTGTTAAGTGCTGACTATCTGCTAGGGCTGTGCTGTGGACTTGGTTTACAAGCTAACACCATCAGCCTTCTCAATAGACCCCTTTTGTAACTTTACAGAGAGGCTGGAAGACATCGTGCTGTCAACTATGTTCTTCTCCAAATCAGATTTTTCTCTTCAGGATCACTTTCCTCCTCAGATCCCGTTCCAGAATCCTGTTTCTACCAATTTTACTCTCTTTTAAGCATTTTCAAATTTTGGGTTCACTGGTACTTTCTCCTGAAACCCCCTGTTGCCACAATCAGATCTCCAATATCAAAAAAAGGAAGAAGAAAAAAGCAAAAAATCTCATGGTCAGTCCTCTCTTTTCTGCTTTTCTTCTTTTAATTTACCTGAAAGACTTCTCCTTTCTAATCTGATATTCTCTCTCATCAAGCTACTGAAAATGCTCGGTCATTTTTCAATTGTGAATTTTGGTGACTATTCTCAAACTTAATTTTCTGACCTCTCTGAGGTGCTTAAAACAGTGACCACACTCTCCGTATAACTCCTTAACATCACCAGTGTGTACTGTCCTGATCTCCTCTGCTTTTTGTGTGGGTTTTTAGTCGTATTTCCCCCATCTATTTATTCCTAAACGTGGACCCTCCTCAAGGGTTTGTATTTGTCTTTCTTTTCCTCTCTTGGTACAGACTTAAGCTCATGTCAACTGTCAGCCCATTGAACAAATCCCATATCTGTACTTCCAGTGTTCTTTCCTCCTGGGCTGATAGACATTTTCACCAAGGCTAGGCAGATGCCTCCTTATTTATACCAGTCCTCCTCCTAATTTCAGGTTTTAGTTACTGGTCTTATCATGCTTCTAGTCATCAGGCCCCAGACTTGGGATAGTTATCTTTGACTCTTTCTCCCACTATCTCACATAATTGTTCACTGAGTTTATCCAGTCTACCTTCTCAGCATTTTCCATTCTGTTTTCTCTTTCTAATTGTGCAGCCTTTCCTTTGTCAAGCCTCATTCTCATTCCTGATTCCTCTTATCTGTCCTCTCCCTGTTCCCTCCCAATCCCATTCTATCCTGTACACTACTCCCTGGTTTATTTTCCAAACGCACTGTTAAGACTAGTCTGGAAAAACAAACAACAAACAAACAAACAAACAAACAAAACTGCCAACAAATCTACTGTTCCTGTACCAAACACACGCATACCTCATTTGAAACCCAGGCCTTGAAACTACTCTCTTTCCTCCAGTGGAGCAGAATGGGGAGGAGTTTTGAGGGTTTGCAGCTATCGACAACAGCAACAGGTATAGAAAATAACCTCCTCTACCTTCCTCCCTTCCTCTTTCACTTTTTTTCCCCTTTTGGCCACTGTATCCTAGTGAATGGGCTAATATTAACTGGTCCTATACAGATTCTAAAATATTAGTATTTAAGACCCTGGCTTTAACTATGGGAAACCAACTAAAGCTAGATGAAAGGAAATGAGACACAGTGCTAAGAATGTAGTTACATATCAAAGGATGGGAACAGGGACTGCAAAGTCATTGAGTACTCTTCTTGTGTTTGCTCCTTGATTTTCTTGTGTTTCTGCTTCACCCTTCTCTCTGTGGACTCTTTCTCTAACATTTGTTCTTAGGGTGCAATGTAGCCATTCATAGCTCCTAAATTCACAAGCTTTATTTCCTGGCATATGGAGAGACAAACTCTCCATATCTCAGTACCAATTCCCAAAGTCTTCCTTTAGAAAATCTGATTTTTTTCTTTTATCTTGGTTCAGTGTATACTTGAGGCCCAATTACCAGAGGCCTGAGTGGAGATGTTATGTGGTACAACATGGCTGCCCAGGCTGGGCATCCCTGAAAGATGAGGGGGAGGGTGATTTTCAGTGAAAGGAGAGGAGGCTAGTAGTTTGTGAGTTGAGAGGAGTTTCCAAAATAGGTTCATTCAAAACTGGGGCTCTGATATGGTTTAGATCTGTGTCTCCACCCAAATCTCAAGTCGAAATGTAATCTTCAATGTTGGAAATGGGGCCTGGTGGGAGGTGATTGTATTATGGGGATGGTTTCTCATGGTATAACACCATCCCACCTTGGTGCTGTTGTCACATTTGTGAGTTCTCGTGAAATCTGGTTGTTTAAAAGTGTGTGGTACCTCTCCCACTCTCTCTTGCTCCTGCTCTGGCCCTGTAAGATGTATCTGCTTCCCCTTCGCCTTCTGCCATGATTGAAAGTTTCCTGATGCCTCCCCAGAGGTTGAGCAGAAGCCACTACGCATCCTGCACAACCTACAGAACTATGAGTCACTTAAACCTCTTTTCTTTATAAATTACCCAGTTTCAGGTATTTCTTTATAGCAATGTGAGAACAGATGAATACAGGCTTCATGGTGGGGTAACAGAGAAAAACTGACTCCCCTACTTACTAGCTATGTGGCTTGGGGCAAGTCACTAAACTTGACTAATACTTCACGTGATTACTGGAGGAATCAAATGAGATTATATTATGAAAATATACTATGTAAATGGAAGAGAACTATGCAATAGATGTTTATTGTTATTATTGACATACTTGGTCAGTCTGGTAAGATACCTCTAAGAACATGGGAATGAGGAAATTAAGAATTTTCTCTTTATAGATAAATTGTAAAATTAGTCCTTGTGAAGGGCAGGAAGTCTTCTAGGCCAACAAGACTGACCTCCATTATTTTTGAATATTTTAACTTATCTAATAAGTGAATGTACCAATCAGAAAGGGGATGAATCAGACTGAAATCTTGATTGATGATAGATTCAATCAATCATAACTCCAATACTACTTCCTTCAAGAACTCTCTGATTATTTAACCAACAGTAGACTCTGTTTCTGAACTCCTGTGTAATTTGTTAAACTCCATGTCCAACTGTCATACTAAAAAAAATGTCATTAGCAGGCTTGTATTGACAGAAAGACAAGACATAAATACCCTTTGAGTACATAAAATGCATTTTACTCGTAGTAAGAATGCAGTAGAAAACAATGTTTTGATAAATGATAGCAAGATCAGCGGCAGCATCTGAGACAAATATTCAAACTTCCTATGACTTTATCTAGCCAGGAGTTTCACAATTGTGAGCACAGATTACAAGTCCTTCTGAAGGTGTAACTTGTCCCCTTCCATGCCCAATGCTTATGTATAAGGCTAGAGAAGTCTTATACATTGTCTAGTCTGTATATGTGCTTGGTACTTTTTTGCTTGGTCCAGGTATACCTCTTCAACCTCAGCATTATTTGATGAAACAACACAATTGTGGCAGTACGTTCATTCATTACTCTGAGACTCTTGAGACTAATTCAGCTGATCCAACCACATTCTTGAACTCAGGGCTGTAGAAGCAGAATAGGCATCAGTATCCCAGAATTATTTGGATTCACATTAAGAAACTCTTAAACCATCTAAAAGATTTTCCCCTAGAATTCTTAAAGCACTTTAACAAAAACATAGAGCCTTGTAATATTCATTGGTGTGCTATTTCCCTCATAGATTATAAATTTATGGAAAGAAGAGATTATACTTTATTTATTTTTAAATCTTCCATATGCCCAGCGTAAAGCCTTGTGTATAGCTATAAAAACAAAAATTATTAACAAATAAATCTTCATTATTAATATCTAAAACATGGATACCTACGTAATCCTTTTGCCTTTCCTGTTTTCTGAAGACTCCTACTTGTTCTTTAAAAAACTTAGATCATTTATCACCTTGTGTGTGACATCTTCCTGACATTCTGCAAGAAGCTAGTCATCAGTCTCTCCCACCCTATCCTCAATGGCACTTTAGACACAGCTTTACAAGGACTGTTTTAACTGTGTTGGAATAATATGTTCTCCACCAGACTGTGAATGTATCTAAGGCTTGGACCATGATTTATTCATTTTTGTGGTCCTTTCCAGTGGTGACAAGTAGGGCATGGCATTGAGACTGTTCATCATAAGTGCTTATTTAAGGAATGAGTCCCTAGGTGCTCCCTTTCCCATGAGTGCGTGGTATTGTAATGGAACCTACAGCGGTGTGATTAGTATGTCTTCTTATGTAGAAAAGCAACATAACAGTGGGTAAAAATATGGGCTCCAGAACTACATTAGCTGGGTTGAATTCTGGATCTGCTACTTACTAGCTGTGTGACTGGGGTAAGTTACTTAGCTTCTCTGTGCCTCAGTTTCTTTGACAGTAAAATGGAATATTAATATATCACAGAGTTGTACTAAATGAGATAATATTTTTAAGGTTCCCAGTAGATGTTGGCAATTATTATTAGAGAACTTTTCAGTACATGGCTACTGAATTCAGTAAATTGGGGAAAAAGTAAAGAATGGAATCAGGTATTTTGCCTCACTTTAAGAATGACTTTACTTATTTTTTCCTTCCATTAGTTTCCTCACATGTTTTTACCTTTCCCTTCCTCTTCTTACTTTTCTAATCCTGTTCTATTTCTTCCTCTTAAACTGAGTGGGAGGAGGTGGTAGTGATAATCAGTGTCAGAATTGGAAGTTGAAAAAGCAATCGTTCTTGGAAGTCACTAGATTAAGCAGAGTAGACTATAGTAATAATAAGAATTTGATATATAGGAGTCATTTGGAAAGGATTCCTGGATGTGGGCCTAAAAGGTTTCAGGAGGAGTATCCAAAAATTAAAGGAATATGAATTGGCCAAGAGATGAAATACATTTGATATATTTTACCCTTGTTGGCTATTTCATCATTCTTTACTTAAAGCAAATAAAATGCCACTAACATTTTGGATAAGCTATACTTCCTTAGCTAAGGGAAACCAACTAAAGCTAGATGAAAGAATCCAGGGCTCCAAAGCTGAGATTCCCTTATTTATAAAAAGGTTTACACTTCGAGGTGTGCACTCATAAATCTTCTTCATCTTTTGATTTTTATGTTAATCCTAAAATCTCTTTTGGCAAAATTTTAACTTCTTTATGTTGATTGTAATTTGATCATTGGTAGTTACATAAAATATGATGTAGGCAGGGCTGTTTGCATTGCTTTGTCCTTGAAATTCTAGGTATATTTGACTGTCTCTCTTTAACTACTTGTAGTACAGTCATTGTATACTATAGACCAGAACTACAGAATTCTTGATACTTTTTTTTTTTGCCATTTTTCTCTAGAAATTCATTTTTGTACTAGAAGAGGACAGTGCCAAAATATGCCCTCTTTAATGCCTTTAGCTTAACCAGGTTAGTTCATTACAAAAACAGGTATTCACGTAGTTAGCCTAAATTTTAAGTGTGTTTCCTCATCCCTTAAGTAATACTGTGTTTCCTATATAATCAATTATTTGGGAAATCAAGAGGGCTGAGGTAGAATACAAGGGTGGCTATCATGCGATTATGTTTGGATGAGGTAGATTTCAAGTCTGGAATTAAGACTGATATGCTAAATGCATTATTCAAGCACTGGGAAAAAAGCCTAAAGTTAAAAAAAAATTAAAGTAAATCTTATATGAAGTAACTTTGTGCTTAGTAAGTAGAGTGTTTGCTTTGGGGAATAAGATGAACATGAGAGAGAAGCATATATACTATGGTAATTGGAAGCTGCAACAAAACTATCCACACATGACTGGAAATGGATTCTGATGACACATTAGCCTCAAAGGTGAAGCTTGAGTGGCTTCTAAGGCCATCAAAACTCAAGGATACGGGAGCATACTTATTTACAGTGTTCTTTTATTAAAGATGCTGAAGGGATGGCTCACAAGGTCAATGTGAGACACATTTTAAATGAACTGCTCTCCTGGTTTTCTTCAAGGTCCTGCTTACAAAATATGCCTCATTTAACAGAGGCACCCAAATCAAATGTCCTTGTTTTCTTTAGTTTTTTCAGAATATCCAAGCAGAAATTGTTGAGCAAATCTTTCATTTTCATATTTTCTGGAATAGTGTATTTATTTAATTATTTTAAGGGATATATTGTTTCTTTTAACTTTTATTTTAGGTTCAGGGGTACATGTTCAGGTTTGTTATATAGGTAAACTTGTGTCATGGGTGTTTGATGTACAGATTATTTTGCCACCCAGGTATTAATATTAAGCATATTACCCAATAGGTATATTTTTTTCTGATCCTCTACTTCCTTCCACCCTCCACCCTCAAGTAGGCCCCAGTATCTGCTGTTCCCCTAAAATATATTTTAAAATTACTTTTAACTACCCAATTTGAGTATATTGGTAGATTTTTGCCACAAAATTTAATATGTCAACTCTGGAATTAGTAAAAATATCAGTCTGTTTATGGATACATGTTCATTATGGAGAACTTTACCAGTGGTAAGGTGATGGGGCATATGGAAACTTTCATTGAGTAAGAGATTGAGAGGGTATTTCTGTTTTCTCTGGTTATTCCCTGTGACCACAAAAATCAGGAAGTGGTGATGAATAACAGATTCAAAGATCTAAATAACTAACTAAATTTTACTTAACAAACTATAAAATATGGTACTTGCTTATGAACCAAAAGTTCAGATGAAGAATGAGAAGGTATGAATTTAAAAGAACTTCTATTTAATACCTTTTTAAAATTTGTTTTTAAATTGTGGCAAAATACACATAACAAATTTACCATTTTAATTGTTTTTAAGTGTACAGATGAATGGCAGTAAGTTCACGCACATTGTTGTACAACCTTCACCACCATCCATCTCCAGAACTCTTATTTAGTACTGTCTTTTGAGGTGAAAGTCCTACCCACCAATTATGAAAATCAAAGAGTAGAGCTACCTTAAGGAATATAAGAAATGGGAATCATGACTAAAGGTAGAACTTACAGACATACATTTGGCATGAGTAGAAAAAGATGAACAGGCAGGTCCACCATATTTCAAGTGATTTCATGCTATAAGTACTATTTATATACAAATACACTTAATCTGGCCTGGCATCTGATGTCCGTACAAAATGTCAACTCCTAAAACCTTGGAATATGTTTAATTGTCAAGGATTAAATCAGATGCTGTGCTGTGTGCTGCTTTGGCCACAAATTGGATAAAAGGGCAGGGGTTGTTATTTCTGTTCTGGGGCTCGGCTCTTCTTAGCTCCCAGAGGTTTAATGACCCCTTCTTGCTATAACCTCATGTCTCCCATGTCCATAATAGGCAGAAGAACTTTAGGTCATAGAGAGGCCTTTACTTTCCCATGTTTTGCATGGTCAGAGAAGTGCTGAGAATGGTGAATAGTTGACACCAGGATTACAGATCAGGGTAGTCTAATGAAGTTGGAAATATGCAAGAAGGTCTGGAAGAGTCTCTGTTTCCCTTCATACCAAGCCAGAGTTTTGATGGCAGTGGCTGCTGCCGTGATGCCCATGGGCTGCGGCGGGGAATCATGGATGGGGCTGCACACTCCATGGAGCCAGTGAGAGCCCTGCCCCTTCTGAATTGGGATGGGAGCTCCCCATGCTTCTGCAGCCACCCAAACTGCAGCTGCAGACCCAGGCCTCCTGCTCTAGGGAGCAAGCAGTAGCTCCACCCAGGAGGGACTGCAGCTGAGGATCGAGCCTCCCTGTGCTCTTGTGGGAGTTGGGAACAGGCAGGATCTGCCTTCCCTGGTGCAGCTGCAGCTGCCTCACCTGTGGCTGCAGACCTGGGCCTCCCACTCCAGGAAGCAGGCAGGAGTCTGGGACAAGCTCGGGAGCACTGCCCCTTCCAAGTTGGCTGGGCAGGAGCTCCTGGGTGCAGCTACAGCCTGCAGCCTGCACCCTCGGGGACCCCAGGAAGGGCCCTCAACTTCTTGCAAGCTTGAGGGTGTCTGCTCCCACTGCCTGGCCTCTCTCCACTCCCCAGGCACCTGCTCCGATCTTGGAGCGGGAGTCAGGGCCAATATCAGGGGCCATGAATGACAGCAGGAGGCAGGTTGATTCCTGGCTGGAAGGGGGCTGGTCCCTAGTAAGGCCCCACCTTCAGGCTAGGGAGGGCCTGAAGGCTGGGAGCCAGGCTGCCAGTCCTGCAGACTAGAGTGGGGACTCCTGGTGCCTCTTCTGGGCCCACCTGTGGCCACTCATGGACCAATCCGAGCACTTCCTCCCCTCTGAGGCCCATAAAAGCACTGGGCTCAGCCAGAGAAGGGCAGAGGATGGCCAGAGGATGAAGACAGCAGAAAAAGGACAGGACAGGATGACCAGGTGCAGAGAGGAGTGCCTTCTCTGCTGATAGCTAGAGAGGATGGGAGGACTAGCAGAGGCGACCTGCCTGCAGAGAGGAGCTACCCTCCAGGGCCACCTCTCTGCAGAGAGCTGAACACTCTACTGGACAATCTGTCTACAGAGAGGAGCTACCCATTCCTCTGAGCTGTTCCAACACTAAATAAAACTGTCGTTCTTCACCCTTCACTTGTCTGTGTACTTCATTCTTCCTGGACACAGGACAAGAACTTGGGCAAAGGCACCATGGCCACACAGAGGTTTCCAGCTAGAAAAATCAACACTGGACACTCCAGAGATCCAGTAACAGTTTGATGCTAGTACTACAGGGCAGAACTGAGCTTAAGATTGGCTGGAAATGAGAAGAGCAGATCTTTTCCCCCAAGTAATTGTCTCATTGTAAGAATTGGTTATATAGTATTTTCAAAATTGTAGGTCATGATGGTGAAATTAATAATAGATTACTGCAAACATTTTAACAAACTGAAATAGAAGAGAGTAGAAAACATCATGAGTACTGCTTCATGAAACTTTCTTAGTTGTATGTATGTGTGGGTGTGGATATGGGTATTGTAAGTGGGTGTTTGTGTGCAATGGAACATTTATTTTTTACCAAGAGTCACTGAGAAAAAACTTTAAATCCACTGAGGTCAGGAACCACTTGCTTCTAATTTTTACAGAGTCTAATTTCCCCAAGGTATTAACTAACATCTGGATGTAATTAAAGTATATCTGTATACTTTTTTCTCAGCATACTTCTGGTTACAAATAATTCTTGTTAACTCAAGCTAATAATAGAGCATGAGCCAGTATGTGGGAATGGTAATTCACTACTAAAAATAGCTAGTATTTACCATATTGCCCAGTTTTGTTCTAAGAGTATTATATGTATTGATCCTTACTACAATTCTTTGGGAGAGGAAACATTATCATCCCCATTTTACAGATGGAAAAATGGAGGGCTTGAGATCTTAATTATCCAAGTTGACATAACTGGTAAGTGGCCAGATGGGATTCCAACCCAAGCATCTGACTTCAGAGTTCATGACCTTGACCACTACACTATGCCACCTTTCACTATACTAAACAGAAGTATTTTGTAAACAAAAAAATTTTACATTTATAATATCACACTATAGACTTGAGTCTTTGGTAACATCTGGTTCAAGTGATTGAAATAATGTTATCACTGTCCTTTTCTGATAATTCCATTTTAGAAAATATTTGCCTTGTTCCTTAATCATCAGTGTGGTAAAAAGATGCAGTGTGACCACTGTCTAAAGTTAGGCTAGCTTATAGTTCATTTTCCTGTATGTGAAGAGAAACAGTATCCATGAACATTGAATAGTGTTTATTAAACAAGCTAATTTTTAGTTTGAAGTCTCATTTAGATGTTTTCTATTGGCAAGTCTCTGCATAATGGGGTCCAGAGAGTGACTATGCCATTCTTTCAACCACAAAACAGGTAAGGGGTATTGCATGCCACTTTTCTGGCATTTTACTGTCTTAAGACTTAAAAAATCAAACAAAGTAGAGTTAGAATTTAACATGAACTATTTGAAGCGATCTGCCTTAGATGGCTGAATTATTTTGAATAGTAAATGTTGTATCATTTACAAACAAGGCCTCATTATTATCCTCAGGACTTATTATTTCTTGTTGCTCCAGAAGACTTCCAACTGCCAATGTCTGCATCGGTGTGCCTGAGGTCTGTTCCTGAACCACTCTGGCTGCTCCTGTGCAGTTGGCCAGAATTTCTCAGGTGTTAACAATCTTGAAACAGTCCTTCAATCACTAATAAGACTCATATATAAATATCTCAGTTTCCTCATTCCTAGGATTAGATGGATTAATTCTGAAATATAATTTATAATTTCCCTGCCAGATTAAATTCCAATAACCCAGTATGGCAGGTGGTTTTGGTGAATTATAAACTAACCACAAATTCTCCTCTTGCCTGTCATGTGATATTGCAGATGCCCCATCAAAACATAGAGTCCATTTCCTCAACCTTGAATCCAGATGGACTTGCTTTGTTCATTGGGAGATTAGCAAATATGACCCAATCAGAGGCTTGAAAAGTGCTTGCATGTTGGGGCTAGTTTTCTGGAACCTGAGAATGCCCCCTAAAGGAGTCCAAGCTAGCCTGTTGGAGGATGAGAGATGGAGACTGAGAGACCAGCTATTCCAACTAAAGCCACCTAGACCAACCATTAGACATGCACCTGGCCATTGAAGACAAGTAGACCTGGTAGAGTGTCCAGCTGAATGTAGATATCAGCTGAGACAGTCCAGGTAGGAAGAACCATCTGGATGACTCACAAAAGTGAGAGAGACTATACATGTTTGTTTTTAAAGTCAGTAAGTGATGGAGTGGTTTGTTATGCAGCAGAAACTAACCAACACATTTGCTTGCCAGCTTACTCCCCATTGGTTGCCTTCCTTTCCCTGTATCTCTTTCCTACTCTGCTACTGGAGTTTCCTGAACCTCCCAAATAAATGTTCACTTAAATCCTTGCCTCAGGATCTGTTTCTTGGGGGACCCAAGCTAAATAGTCTTTATTTTTTATACTCACTGAAGTCTTTTTCCTTAAGAATTCTCGGTAGAAATTGTGAGCTGTTAAGAGACACTGAACAAGAAATAGAGCAAAAACAGGCTTCCTCTTTGAACAATTCTGCAGTGGTCAGCTTTGACGAGCTCACAGGTTGGAATGTTCTCTCCTAGAATGTCATACTCTCTAATTCCCCTAAATCAGAGTGTAAAGTATGCCTTTTGTTCTTCTCCAGCACAATAGTAAAAATCCTTTATAAGCCATTAGATCTGGGAAAATTTGTCTTCCTAGGCTTAAGTGGAAGTGCAGATTTGATCACATTCCTATTTGCAATGAATGAGGAAAAGGTGGCTATTTCCATGGAGCTTCACTATGATTCCCTTCTTCTCTAACCAATTTATGTTCAGTGTGATTTGAATGAAAAAAGAGAAATTTAGAGAGAAATTTAAAGAGAAGTTTATAAGCTTAGCAGTGGTTTTATGAATCAATGAAACACAATTTCCTTTGGATTTTTTTCTAGGTAGCAAAAACAGAAAACAGAGTTATTGTAACTAGATTGCCAGAGAGCAGAAAATTTACCAGGTAAAGTTGCAAAGAAATACTAGTTGTTTTTGATATCATGGTGTGTGTGCGTGTGTGTGTGTGTGTATTGGGGAGCAGGAAAGCTTGGGATAGTGAGAAATAAAAGAGAGGAAGATACACTTATAGGACAGATATATTCATTAACTTGCAGATATATTGATTTTATAAATCCTTTAATACAAGCAAAATAATTTTAAATGTGGTTATGTGAATCAAATTTTTCCAAATCTTTGTTTTTTTCACAAACTATGTGGTGATTATATGAACCTAATAATGTAACTCTTGAAATATTTATTACCATAAGTAAAAAATTAGTGTAGGGATTAAAATTATCAATGCTTCTAAAACCTGTTCTGTTTATGCCACTTCACAAAGAGCACTATTTACCAGAGGTACAGTCTCCTGTTCTTGATTATTTATTCTACCAGCATCTTTCTCTAGAGAACTTTCGCATTTGCTTGACGTACGACTTTGGGGACTATTAATATTACTTTGGCTTCCCATTGTAGCCCTCTGACACTGCTTCATTGTAAGAGTGGTTGTTATTTATTATCATTTCAAGGTGGCAAGATAGGACAATATCTCTAAGAAGTATCACACAAATTATTCTCTGTCATTGCAATGAATAGTTGCTTTCTTTTCAATCTTCTGGGGCATACAAAGTACATTTTCTTTGGCATATAGTTTCAAAATATATAGTATTTTTATTAAAACGTAATATGCATTCATTATAGCTGATTCTGGAGTAAAGGTATAACAGCAATAAAATAATCAAAACTATATGTATTTCAAATAGTTAAGGGCAACTTAATAACTAAATAATCACTAAATTTCCTTCCAAAATTTTTAAAGTAAAAATGTACATTTATTTTAAACTTAACTGGCATTATACCATATTTAAAAGATAGAATACATTTTAAACTTAAAACTGGACTGTAATTACTTTTCAAACCTCTAAATATTTTAACATCATGTTAATGGTTTCATTGTATCTCCCTGCATGGATGTTCATGACTTGTTTTACTCAGCCCCTATTACTAGACGTATATGTCATTTCCAAATTTTCATGATTATGATTACACACAATGCCGACATCCTTGTAATGAAATCTTTCTAGTCATCTATTATTATTGTCTTAAATTCCCATAAATAAAATTACTACATCAAAAAGTACTACATTTTTGAGACTTTTGATATATTTTTCTCTTGAGGAGATCATACCTATTTGCATTTTCAGGGCAGATGCTTCAATAGAGCTAGCAAGCCTGCCATCTTTCCCTCCTTCCCGAGTCTCGTCTCCCTCCCGCACCCCAGCCTGAGACTGCCCTTGCCAGAACTCATTACTCTGGTTGTAGCCATTAAAACCACCTGACTTTCTATCTTTCAGAGACTCTCCCTGTTCTTAAAGGCTCAAGGTGCTCACTACCTGGTCCTATGGCACATGCGTGCTAAAATGACATCAGAAGGAAGAGCTGCTCCCTTTGTGGGCTTTAGCCTACCACGACTCTTCTCCTGGGGGCTATGCCTGCTGTTATTGTTCAACTTGAGGGACATGAGGGGTGAAAGAAAGTCATCCACAATCCTCAACACACACTCTTGATACTCTCCCTCCAAATGAAATATCTAAGTGCTTAGATTTTAATCATTTGTTTATTCATCTAATTAATAAATATCATTTAAGAACTTTCTATGTGCTAGTCACTTTACAATGAACAAAAATATACCAATTCATGAACATAATGGAGATTACAATCTAGTAGGAATAGATAATTAGCAAATATGCAAGTTTTCTATGTATATTAGGTGTAACATATAACCCATGTTATAATGTGTAACGTTAGGTAGTGACAAGTACTATGAAGAAAAATTAAGAAGAATATGAGAATAAAGAGAGAGAGAGAGAGTGAGAGAGAGAGAGAGAGCAGGGCTAGTTTTCTAGATGACAGGTCAGGGAAGGCCTTTCCGAGAAGATGGCATTTGAGCAGAGAGACCTGAAGGACGAGAGAGAATAAGCCATGCAGGTATCTGTAGGACATATTGATGTCTGGATCAAGAAACGGTAAGTGCAAAGGCCCTGAGGTGGGAGTGTGCTTGAGAAGAATAAAGAGACCAGTGTGTCTGGATGGAGTAAATGAAGAGGAGAGTAGAAGGAGATGAGGTCAGAGATGACCAAGAGTTAGCTAAGGTAAGTAATATAGGGTTCTGCCAATGTAAAGACTAGATTTTATTTAAAATGTGGTTTGAAGCTATTGGAGGCTTTTAAGAAAGAAATGACATGACCTATTAAGAACCTTCTGTTGCTAAAGTAGATTTTTTTCCATTTCTGCCTTTGTCATCCTATCCTGCAGCATCGAGACAGGTGTCGGTTTTTCAAGCTTTCTTTTGCTTTTAGCAACATTAGCATGTGGGAAACAGTTTACATAGGCAGACATTCTCTCTCTGCCAAAGATATAATTAAGATTTCTGGGGCTTTATACAAAACTTCACAGAGAACTTGGAGTAGTTAAGTTTCTTCGGACTTCAAGTAAGAGAATCCCAATTCAGATTGCTTTACCAAACTCCTTGGAAAATAGTATGTCTTTTAGAATCCAAGGAAGAGGTGCTTCTAGGTCTTGGGAGACAGGGTTGCTCTGGGGCTGCAGCAGCAGCCAGTTGTGGTCCCTTTTCTGCAGTTCACATTATTGAGACCAGCAATCTCTAGGTCTTTTGATTTAAAAGTCCAAATTGTTGACAGAAAGAATGTGATTGGCTCAGTTTAACCCAAACATCCTTAAGAAGGTAATGATAGTAGAAACACGACTGCTCTGAGAAGACCTCTGTGGGTGAGGTGTGGTTCCCGACAACAAGACACATCACGTACAGACAACCTTCTAGGGATGGCTCATGACTACTCTGTGGCCAATAACTAATATTCTTTGTGTGTACACTTTGATGGAGTTAAGACCCCTAATGCAGCAGTGTCTATGCAGCTGCCTTGTCTCTCTGCTCTCTTTCTCTATAGAGAGTTGATATCCTAGGCATTTTGAGTGCCCTCTCCTTGATAGCAGGGGGCAGTTTTATCCCATTTTGTATTTTCTCCCACAAAATAAACAGCAGAACATATTATTGGTGTTTAATTTTGCTTTGTACTCTGTGATCCTTCATGATCCTGAAGCTGTCCTGCGATGATCTAAAACGGCAGGTTCTATTTTATATTCTTAAAAGATCGGTTGACAAGTCGGCAGGCAGATATAGTTTTATTACCAAGAAATGTTTCCCTGCTTTCACACGTACTGTTGTGCCAAGAACATGGAATTTAGAGTCAGGAGACTGTCTTAAGTATGGTTCCTGGGCAACCCTGAGATGGAGATTTGTGAGCAGGATGTTTACTGGGGATTGGTCTGGGGATCAGCACCTACAAGAGGTAAGGGAAGCAAGACTGGGCAGAAGGAGAAACTGAACTATGATGGAACTACAACAGATGCTTCAGCTGATCCTATAGGGATCTCTGGAACTAGGAAGGCCTTTCAATATTACCTAGAGTTGAAGCAAGGAGGCAGGCCTCTATATCTTACAGTGACTGACTAGTTGGGGGATAGCACCCAACCCTGGGGAGGATGCACAACTCTGGGGGATGCAGCTCCCTTAGGCCTAAGGCAATGCCCAGAGAGGGATGCATCTGTGAGCTGTCTGTCACCCATCCCACCAGCAGCTGAAAGAATGAGTGCTTTGCTCATGATGGGCAGGGTAGGGATAGGAAGGGTCTGGTTGTTCTCCATATAGCACCTATTCCAAAAACTTAGATTCCATTCTGCTCTACCATACTAGCCTGTGAGACCTTGGGCAAATCCTTTCTGTGAGTCATCATGGCCTCATTCAAAAACTATGAACCAAACCAAACCAACTAACCTCATTTTAAAAATAGGATTACATAAACAGTGTTGTGAGCACTGTTGAGGACACTTTCACTTATGGTATATTGTTTAGTTCTTCCTGTAACTCTGTGGCATGTCTGTTTTAGGCCAACTTTATGGATAAGGAGGCAGATCCTCAAAGAGGTGAAAGCAGTTTGCTTGAATTCATATGGAAAAAATCATATAGAAAGTGCAGTTCCAGATCTTTTGAAATTAAGTCCTTATTTTGGTCAATTTGCTAGAGCCTCCTCTCAGCAACAGAAATAACATTAATAATACTAATATTGGTAATGACAAATAATGTTTAATTTATATGGTTGTTAGGAGGATTGAATGAAAGATATTTGTAAATTATAAGTTGCAGAAAAAAAAGTGAGTCAATATAAGTGTTCTTCAAAATTGCTTTTTTCCGTCAATAAGAAATGAGTATGGTTTAATCAATCTTGTAAAGGTGAGGGAAAGTTTACCCGGGGTCCTGGAAAATCTCTGTCAGCCAACCTCTAAAAGGCACAGGGCATCATTCTGTTTCCAACTGGACCCTTTAATTGACATTTGGACCCTTCCGCTTCACTCTTTGAGAGCTTAAAAAATTCAGCTCACATATTCTGAGCTGCAGTTTATGAGGTCTGTGCTGTAGGGGAAGGACATGAAAGAAATTTTGTCTTTCAGGGATAAAAATAATACCAATTGGTGACAGTGACAGAACTCCACATACTGGAAGGAGAGGGACATTTCAAGAACCTTGCAACACCAGCAGAGCTTGGAGGCTCTGTGAGTCTAGTCCGATGCTTAAATTGTCAGTTGACTTACAGCACAGATGTCCAGTTAGTTTTTGAACTTTATGTGCTTTGATTCTCAGGATCATGTTTTGTTTTTTGAGACAGTCTCACTCAAGCGATTCTCGTGCCTCAGCCTCCTGAGTAGCTGTGACTATAGGCATCTATCACCACGCCTGGCTAGTTTTTGTGTTTTTAGTAGAGATGGGGTTTCACAATGTTGGCCAGGTTGGTCTCGAACTCCTGACCTTTAGTGATCCGCCCACCTCAGCCTCCCAAAGTGCTGGGATTACAGGCCTAAGCCACTGTGCCTGGCCCTCAGGACCAATTTTTAAAAGTTGAAGAAGTAATGGAAAATAATGAGTCTGTGTTGTCTCTACCAATTTGAAAAGACTGTCTGTATATGTAAGGTTTCTTTTTCCAAAGGCATGAAAGTATTTTATATGACACACAAAATCCAAAGGACACAAAGTTGTTTTGAACCCACACATGATCACAGACATATTTTAAGTCACTTTGTAAATGATTCATATTCATGAAACTTAATGCAAACTCAACAGCACATTTAAATTTAAGTTGAAATAGGCTGTCTCCACATTATTGTGAAAGCCTACTTTTACTCATCGTATAGTTACCTTGCTAGAAAATTGCATGTTGAGATGGAATTTTTACTTTCTCTTCTTTCTGGAAAATAATCAAATGCTGTTACTAGAGTGTACTATTTGGTCAAAAGTATTGCTCCATAAACATTAGGTCTGAAGTTCTAGGTTTTCCCATATTTATTTCCCCAGTCTGGATTCATTTAGTAAATTCCAGATTCCCCAGTGTACACTGCAATAGAGGTCAATGGATTCTCATGTCACTGGTTTGTTTACTTTTTATCTCCACTTGACCTAGATTAAAAAGTCAAGGTTTTTTGGTAAGAGAAATTATCTGAAAAGGAGCTGTAACATTTTGGTGATGGTTAAAATGAATCTAAAATTTCTATCTATGTAATTGTGGAGAGATTGGAGTCCAAAAGATTTGGTTAGTTTGTTTAATCACAGTTTCACTGCTTGGCTGCAACCATGGTATGAAAATGTGTCAATTAGGCCTGTGATTCTTATCATTCTGTGAGCCACTGTGGATGTAAATGACTGACTCATTTAATTATGCTTTGGATGTATAGACCTGGCTAACGTTTTGGATGTGATCTGGCATAATACATCAAATTGTAAAGCAATTCTGATATACATGTCACAACTAAAGACAATTCTGATTGTAGTTTGTAGCAGAGAAAAAATTCATAAATCTTAATAATTTTACTAATTAATAATTAGTGAATTTTGAACATGTTTTTATTTTCCCTTTTTGTTCCCAAGACTATTATTATCCTTTGACTCAGAATTGTAAACAAATGAAAGTGCTTTCTAGTGTAAAACGCAAACCACATTATATCAAGCACATTAAAAAAATGCAATCTCATTTTCACTTTCTGAAGTATATAAACAATTGTTAACCTTAGGAATGGACATAATAACAGAAGCATCCTTTATGTGTGTGCTCTAGCCAGAATTCCAAACTTAATCTGAAAAATGTAAATACAATTATCTATCTTATAACACAGGGTCAAGCTTCTCAACCTCGGCATTATTGACATTTTGGGCTGGATAATTCTCTGTTGTGGGTGCTGTCCTGTGCTCTGTGGGATGTTCAGAAGCATCCTTGGCCTCTGTCCACAAGATGCCTATAGCACTACCAACCTCCCTACTTTACCAGCTGTGATAACCGAAAATATCCCCAGACATTGCCAAACATCCAGGTGTGAAGGGAGGGGCAAGATTGTCCTCAGTGGAGAACCAGTGCATGGCTAGCTTTCCTGGGTTTCACAGTTTAATTCATTATTAAATTTTAAAGGCAGAATTCACCTATGGAAAATGTAGGAAAAATCTCTTTGCTGGGAAAATTTCCCCCCAAATAGGACTATATTATATATCTATACATCTCTCTGATAGATAGTGGCCAGAAAAAATGTCTTCTTGTAAACTTTCTAGGCCTATGATTCAGATACATTTAGAGGAACAGGGATTATAAAGCCTTTCTGTTTTCAGGGAGACAGAATTCAATGGCATATCTTTAAAATTATCGTTAAAGTAACGAAAGTATAAACTGAGTAATTCTCATATTGACTTCATCTCAAACAGGAAAATATCATTTAGATTTAGAGAGCAACAGGTTGTCAATAGCTTTGGGAAATCTCTAGGTGTACCTAAATATTTATGCCAAAGAGCTTGGGAGTAAAATTACGCCTCTGCACAATAATGCTGCAGTGGAGAATCATGTATTCATCCTTTTGTCCACATATTTTCTTATTTATAGTATCCAAGTGTAGCATTGAGAGTATCATTATTGTTAATATGCCCCTGTCAACAAATCATCATGTATCCTGTTTTATTTTTCATTTTTTGTTTTTGGTAAGGTTATTTCTATTTCTATTTCTATTTCTCGAGAGTAAAATAAAAGTGAATTCACAATATATTAGCCTTAGGATTTATAACTTTTATGCATATATGAAAGTATGTGTGCATTGGCTCTTGGGAAGACACCCGTTTGCCTTAGTTCTTATGTGTATTTACAAGCACCTCCCCACCATGTCATCTGCCTAGGGCAGGTATGCAGTCCATTAAAAGCAAAAATATTTTCAAGATCTGTTGAGTTTTAATTCAGCCAGAACCAGATTCTATATCAAAATGCATTTTAGAAGTCAGAGGATCCAAAAGTTACAATTTACAGTCATCTTCCTCTCTCCTGTCAATCTCGGGTTCAGCTGTGAATGCAGCAGTCTGACTTGGATAGCTGCTGCCTCTCCTCTTTTTGTGCTGCTCTGGCCTCCAGGATACCCATTCACACTTACAGCCACTTGCCTGCCCAGGACTCTCTGTGGAACTGCCCCATGTTAACTCTGAGCACCCGGGCAAAATCCCTATTAGTATGTTACCACACCCTCCTCCCCCTTTAAAGCTGAAGAGAGTTCAAATTTTTCAAAATTCAGTGGAAATAAAAGCTACATAGTGAAAAATCCTGCATCCCATTCTTGTCCTGCATCTGCCCATTTCTTATCCTCCTCCAGCCACAGTTAACCACTGTTGTCAGTGTTTTATGTGCCCTTCCAGAATTAAAAAAGTGCATATACAAATACTGATATATTGTTTTCTTCTCTTTCCTATACAAAAGGGAATGTGTTGTACATCATGTACAACACCTGGCTTTTTTTCACTTAGCAATTTTTCTTGGGGGATCTTTCCAGAGTAGCCCACAGGAAGCTGGCTTATTCTTTTTTATAGACATTCAATTATATGAATGTACAATAATTTATTTAACCATTCCCCTATAGATGGACACTTGAGTTGTTTCCACTCTTTCATTATCATAAACAATCAGCAATGAGAAACATTTAACTATTATTTTTTACATGAGTGCAAGTATGTATGTAGGATAAACTCACAGAAGTGAAACTGTAGGGTCAAGGGGTAGATGCAGTTGTCATTTTGATAGGTATTGAAAAAATACACTCCATATGTGTAATCTGAGCAGCAACATATAAGAATGTCTATTTCCCCACAGCGTGGACAACAGAGTGTTAACACAATTTTAAATTCTCACAATGTAATGGGGAAAAATGGTATGGTTTTAATTCACATTTCTCTTTTCATGGATGAGGTTGAGATTTATGGTTGAATTTTGAATGGGCCTTTTGAATTCCTGTTAGATGTGCTCCTTGAACATTCATAATTTTAAGCAGTATGAAGTCATATGGGGGCTGTTTAGAAGGTAAGATCCCACATAAGACCCTCTAGCTACTACTGACTCTCTAGATGTCAAGGTTGACACAGCTCAGAGAATGTACTTAACCTATGTTATTATATTTCTCTTAGAATGAGCCTAATATTTATCTATCGCATGACTAAATTTTATAAACTACTAATTTGTATTTTGATAATTTACGTATTCGAAGACTACCTGTCTTATTACATCATTTGTCTTTATTTATGGTGCCAAATGTTTTCTCTTTCCTGCGTTAAGTTCTTTGGAATTATGACTAAAGGATAATGCTTTTCCATATGGCACACCTGAAATTCTCCCTCAATTTCCATCACATGAAAAACAAAAAATGGAAGATATTTATGCCAAAAATTGTCCTCCGAGTATCATTCTCTCCACTGCCTTCTCTTCTACAGTAATGGCTAGAGTAGATGTCAACAAGTGAATGTGTTCATGTAGACATTCAACATTTAAGCAATATTCACTGAGTGTCAACTATGTGCCAGGCACTGCTCTAGGCACCTAACTATTTCTGCTACAGCCAGCAAAGACACATATTTGGATATTCATCAGATTTACCTACATTGTGTGTGAGTAGGAAGAAATATGCACGTATAGCACGTATTGTGCAACTAAAGATCAAGACTGGCAATTGGGACACGTGGTTCTATTCTTGGGTCTGTCATTATCTTGCTGTGAGTATTGAGCAAATCCTTTCATCTCTATGGGCCTCAGCTTTCTCATCTGTGAAAAATATAATGTTGACTAGAATAGATGATATTTACATCCCATCTAGTTTTAACATTCCAAGAACACAATGCCCATATGCTACTTTTACAATTAAAAAAACACCCCAGAATCCACACTTACATGTGGCAGGCAACTGTGCCTTCTCTCTTCTGTGCCGACCCCACCAAGTATTCATAATCATTCCTTTTTCTGTCTTGAGGCAGCAGTATATATATTTTCTACAGGAATATATTATAACTATTTGTAAGCATTTGCATTAAAAATCTTCCAGGACATTAAATATTCAACATTTATGACATATTTCTGTTCAAATATATCTAAGTGAATAAAATGTCACCAAATATAAACCTCAGTAGAAAGCCTGAACAATAGACAGATTCTGGAGAAGCCAAAAATAACTAGAGAATGGATTAGAAGAAGACTTTACAATGTTGGCCTATGTTGTTTAGGACCATTGAGCTCCTCCAAGAAGGGTCATGACCACTGGCATGCAGGTTTAACTCTTTATCTAGAACGAGGTTAGCTGCCTACGAACTTGGAGGTGGTGAATTTTTTTGAAACATGCTTAAGAATCTCCTACAAAATTATGTTATCAAGTCATGCTTACCTCTGCTTTGTCCATATCCTTCTTTTATTAACCTTCTCTATTATCTTCACCCTTGGGTATTCTTCAGGTTGAATAATTTCATCTGTCATAGCAGTAGGTCAAATTGTAAACTCAATTTTAAAATTATCCTCTTTCAATAACTCTCTTTTCTTTTCTTTTCTTTTCTTCTCTTGTTTCTTTTTTTTTTGATGGAGGCTTGCTCTGTTGCCCAGGCTGGAGGGCAGAGGTGCCATCTCGGCTCACTGCAACCTCCACCTTTTGGGGCTTGAGTGATTCTCCTGTCTCAGCCTCCTGAGTAGCTGGAATTACAGATGGGCATCACCATGCCCAGCTAATTCTTTGCCTTTTTATTTTTATTATTATTATTTTTTGAGATGGAGTCTCACTGTATCACCCAGGCTGGAGTGCAGTGGCTCGATCTCGGCTCACTGCAACCTCTGCCTCCCGGCTTCTAGCAATTCTCCTGCCTCAGCTTCCCGAGTAGCTGGGATTACAGGTACACACTGCCACAACCGGCTAATTTTTTGTATTTTTTTAGTAGAGACGGGGTTTCACCGTGTTGCCCAGGTTGGTCTTGAACTTCTGATTTCAGGCAATCCACCCGCCTTGGCATCAAAAAGTGCTGGGATTACAGGCGTGAGACACCATGCCTGGCCAATTCTTCGCATTTTTAATAGAGAGGGGGTTTCACCATATTGGCCAGGCTGGTGTGTAACTCCTGACCTCAAGTAATCCACCTGCCTTGGTCTCTCAAAATGCTGGGATTACATGCATGAGTCACTGCACCCGGCCTCAATGACTTTCAAACAGATTTTAAACGAGTTAAATAATTTCACTGGTTATCTCTAATGCAAAATATTCAGATGAATATTAACTTACTACTTGCCACGTTGGATAAATAAGTAGCTCTTCATTATTTTCAAACTAACATGAAATAGTGAAAAGAGAACGGGTATTTGAAGTTTTTGTTTTAAATGCCAGCTTCATCGGTTACCGCTTACAATTTACCATTTTATCATTTGTCCGAGCCTCAGTTTATTTCTCACATAATGATTTTAATAATTTTCAAATTGTTGTGAGATTAGAAATAATGTATGAATACATAAGATTATAGAAACACAGTAGAAACTCAATAAACGTTAGTTGTCTTATCATTATTATTACAATGAGCAATCAGATAACATGCCACTAGCAATTTTTCCTCTGATTTTTCTTTTATAAGGCAAAGGTTAGGAAATTAGATCTTGCTGTTTCACTTTCTTACTGGTATTTGAGAAATATTTATTTCTTATTGCTGTTTGAGAACATCAAGCAACTTATATGATGAATATTCAAATATTGGACAAATTCAAGGAGAGATGAATCACTGCTCTCATAATCTGGTGATTGATCGCTGTGTGTAGACAGTACGCAGGTATTCCTAAAATGCCAACAATAGAGGTCTTTAATGAGCTGTTTTTTCTCATGATTGCCATTCTCAAACTTATTACCATAAAAATGCCAACATCATATTTTATTTAATACAATTGGTCTTTGATAGCATTGTTTGAAGATTTATGAAGAAAGCAACTTTGTTTTTAAAGGAAGAGAAAAGAAGACTGAAAACCTCAGAACTGGTTAGTGGCTCAGGGATGCATTTCAGAGCTCAGCGCTGAACACTTCGCTTCAGAGCCGCGCCTCTAGATGGCGGAGGAACGCTGCGGGGAGGGGCGCAGACTTCCCAAGGATGCAGTTCAGACCTCTGGTGATTTAATAGCCCTCAGACGGAGTAGTCAGCGTTGCAATACCAATTAACTGAAGTTATTAATAATGCTCTCAACATAAATGCCTAACTCATATTTTTAATCCAGTGTGTACCCTTTAAAAAAACACATAACTGCTTAAATATAAGAGAGCACGTAGTAGTGTGTAATACAGCAAATCAATTTTTAAAAAGAAAAGCATTCTTGTGAGATTGGCCTTTCAGTGTTTTTGAAGCAATGATTTTATTTGGGGGTGGAGAGAGCGTTAGGGAGCAGCCTGAGAGCAGAGTGGTTGCAGTCCAGATGAGAGCTCAGAACGTTCTGGGTTTGAATCCCAGCTCTCTCGCTTACCGTGTGTCCTTGGGCAAGATGCATACACTCTCTGAGTTTAGGTTTGTATGGTCTGGAGATAACGACAGCGACAGCGCCTACTTCATTAAGTGGTTGTAAAGATTAGAAAATCAAGTTTAGGTAAAGCATTTGGCACAGAGCTCCTAAGTACCCCTAAATGGCGGGTTTTGAGCTTGATGAGGAACTAATACAAATTAGGTTGTCTTATTCAGGTGGAACAACATAGGTTGTGGGAATGTGAGACATCACTAGAATCCGGGGGAGTGAGCAGGCATCCTAAGAGCTTTTTATTTTCTCAAGACAAGGTCTCACTCTGTTGCACAGGCTTGGGGTGCAGTGGTTTGATCATAGCTTACTGCAGCCTCCAGTGATTCTCCTGCCTCAACTTCCCAAGTAGCTGAGACCACAGGTGGCACCACAATGCCTGGCTAATTTTTTAAAAAAATTCATTTTGTTTGTTTATTTATTTATTTATTTTAGAGACAATGTCTCCCTATGTTGACCACCCTGGTCTCAAACTCCTGGCCTCAAGTGATCCTCCTGCTTTAGCATCCCAAAGTGCTGGGATTACAGGAGTGAGCCACCGTGCCTGGCCTCCTAAGAGCTTTTTACACCTTGCTGTTTAAATGAGAGACTGTACCTGATTCTCTGTCTCTTTCTGACAAAATGCATGGGAGTGACGGGGCAGGAGGAGGAGATTACTAAGTTCTGACAGGCAGGAAGCTCAGAGGTGTCATTTATGCACACCCTTGTGGCACAGCTCCTCAGCAGATTCTAGTGCTTTTAAAAGCATAAACAATCTTGTCAATAGTTGATTTTCAAAGAGAAGATAAAAGATGTGTTTTTTTCTGATGCCTGGGACAGAGCCTTATGCTACCAGATTCTGGTTAAAATTGGTGACCTAAACATGTACCTACCAAAGGAATCATAGAGATGTCACAGAAAGTGATATTTTGAGTATTTTGTTTGTAACAAATTGAAAGGAAGTGTGTTTTAGTTATGTAAATGCAGGCCTCTTGGGAACAATATGACATGTTAAACCAGTATAATTGCAGTAAGCGTTGAGAAGTGAATTTTTTCTTTTTTGTAAATCCCACCATCCTCATCTTTTTATATTTTGGGCAAATTTTTTCATTCTCAATGAACTTTCACTCATAAACTAACTGGGAGACACATGGATAGTGATGTTAGAAGACAAATAAAGTAGAGCTTTACGTATTTTTCCTAGGTACTCACCTTTTTACCTGATAAAGAATAGAAAAAACGTATACACTTCTGATTCTTACCCAGAAAGGGCAGCAGATCTAAAAATCAATATATAACTTGGACCCTGTTCCCTGTGCCCGGGGGAGTGAAGAAACAAAAACCTGGGCTTTCTTCTCTGCTCAGTCTCCAGGTGACGTAGTTATAGGCACGTCTTGGGGTGGGTGTGGGACTTTCCAGATCAAGAGCCTCTCCTGGGCCGGCTGTACTTGGCGGAATGTCCTGTTGCTCTTTGCACTGTACAACAGTTGTGGATAGTAACTAGCTAGGACCAGTGGTGTGGGCGGTAAAGGAATTTACCAAGACAGTTGTAGGTAAAGAAAGGCAGATTTATTGGAGAAAGTACAAAAATACATTTTAAGGATACAGTCAGCAAGAGAGGAGCTGACTGCAAGGAGACAAAAGCAAGGGGATTTATAGGATGGTGCTGGTGCTGGAGAGGGCTATGTGCGGTACTGATAATGTTAAGGTTGCAGTGAGCTAACTTGCATTTTTCTATCAGCTGAGGGTCTGGTGGTAAGTTGGGCACAGGTAGATTTTGACTTATTTGTGCAGGAGGGCCAGGTGTCCTGAACCATGAAGAAAGGCAGATTTATAGCTTCTCTGCTTTTTCTGTTTGCTTCCCCTTGGTCCTGCCAGCCTGACTCCTTTTCTCTAATTAGCCACACTGCTGACTGGCTTCTGCCCTCCCCCTCTAGCCCTCTCCCCATCTTGGTGAAAGGATCAGTGCCTTGTGGACCTGAACTGGGGACCCCTTCCGGAGAACCAGAAGTTCTGACTCTTGCCCAGCTCAATGAGGCCTTCTCAGTGCACCTGGGCAAGTTACACATAATGGAAACTATATCTGTTTCCTTAGGTTTTGAAGACTTGAGATATTACATAGGTTTCAATAGATATTACTATAAATAGTGATTTAAATTCATTCATTGAAATTGCAGTTATTTTATGCCAATTTGGTGCCAGCTGCCCTGCTGGATACTACAGACATAAAACAAAGAAAGACATGGTTCCTGCTCTCAGGCATTAATGAGAGAGAGATGGGCCAAAAGAAAGAAGTTAATATACTGCCTGCGCACCTGGTATACGATTGGCCTACTGTTTTCCTGGAGCCATTCTCTTTGAGAGCTGTAGTGATTGGTGATAAATTAATTGTGCAGGTGGTGTTCTGGGTTAAGGGAAGAAAAAGGAAGAAATCTCAACCTCATAGTTTACGTCAAGATTATTTTAGCATTACATATAACAGAACAACCACTTCAGCAAAAAAAAGGGGGGGAGTTGGGTCTTGTATATTATAATGTACTTTATTAGTCAATTACTTTCAGGATGTTGGGGGCAATCTGCAGTATCCATGATAACTCAGAATGATTACTTTGTCTTTGTCAATTGCTATATCTCTGTCTGGAACACCCATCACTATAGTTACGATGTGCTTACCGAAATTTGAGACAAGACCCCAAGGAAGGAGACAGTATTTTCATTTCTCTATTTAACTAGAAGGAGGAAGAAGGAAATTGCTTAGGATTTAAGGATTTTAGATTGCCTGGTTTATTGTATAAATACCTGGTATGTATGATTATTGAAAAAGCTTTGGAATAGTTTGAATTTACAGCCTTGAAAACAGCAGATGTACAAATAGGTGTAATTGTCTTTTAATGCTGCTATTCCCAAAGCATCTTAAAATAAAGGTCAATATTGATAAAATGTTTGGAAGTGGGCTTTTAGGATAATGCCATTTTCAAATGTGAGGTTATTGGTTTTCCATCCACCTTCTCATAGGTAGTCAAAATTTTACTGTACACATTAACATTATTGCAATGTGTTATTCATGTTATTCTGAATGAAATATCAAACACTGACAAGACACAAGCTACTATCTAGAATATAAGGAGAAACAGAATCATTAGGTTACCATAGGTATACATGAATAAATGGGGAATATCTATTTTTGTTTGCAGAAATCCAGAAGTTGACTTTTGGATGTTGAAAGCAACACAAATGCATACACACACACACACACACACACACACACACACGTAGGAATACACGTTAGGAATACACACTTTATATGTATGTATGTGCATGTGTGTGTATTCATATGTGCCAAAATGTATTCATATGTGCCAAAATGTATTCATATGTGCCATAATGTATTTCTGCCTTGTTGACCTGAACTGGGGATCCCTTCCTGAGAACCAGAAGTTCTGACTCTTGCCCAGCTCAGTGAGGCCTTCTCAGTGCACCTGGGCAAGTTACACATAATGGAAACTATATCTATTTCTTAAAAGTTAAAAAAATTCTAAAATATGAAGAAATACACATTTACCTGAAGCATGAAGCAAACCTCCAGGAAAACCTTTCAAAACTTCATCTTCATCATAACACCCAGAAATTGTCAGGTCATTCATTATGTATAATTAATACATCCATTTTTTTCTTTCTTCCTCAAGTACAGACATTGCAAAGTGAGGCATGTGGTTTTGTAGTAAATAACACTGTTTTCAACAATTTGTTTCCATGTCTGGACAGATGTATCATTTAATTTGTCAATTCTGGAAATTTATTTATTTGGCTCAGTTTTTGTTCTCAGATGCAAACATACATACCTGCTACTATAAATATGGAATAAAAATCTTCATTTTTTTAAGAGTAAAAAAAATTGTTGATTATAAACCTTTCATTGCAATATGACAACACAATTTATCAAAACTATAACCATAGTTGAGTCAGGTGGGATAGTTTCATGAAATTAAACAAAAGTCTTCTAGTTGAAGAAAGGTAATGGGACTAATATAAGTGTTTAGTGTACTCAATTTTCTATTCGTGCAGAGTAAGTCAATGATTTACTTCTTCCGGAAAGATTTCAAATGGGAAACAAGTTTTAGCATTTAGTGTATTAGACTTTCATGCAGAGTATGTATTCAATCCATACACAGTTAAGTCAATTTTGGATTGTCTTCCCTGAGGAAAAGTAGCATTTGCATGGATAATCCACAGGTATTTTTTCTGGCATCTTAATGTGTGTTTAGAAGTTTGTTAAGTTTATTTGGTTATCAGTGACTTTAACAAAATGTGTGGGAATTCAAAACTTTATACATAGTAATCCGGTCATCCAACTGAAAACCAACTCAGCTATAATGTCTGTTAATTTCAGAAGGATCTCTCTCATTTTCAGAGAAAGATGTAAATTAAATTCAGTACCTTTTTTATCCTGTAGGATAAAACACATGTGTAGGCCATCTAGATGACAAGCATTAAGATACTTCCCAATTCATGCTGGAATTTGATAATGTAATTTCTTAGAGAAATACAAATTTCTAAATTTGTAAGGCAAACTCTACCGATTTCATCAGGTAGGAGTGGGTAATACAATATTTTGGTTTAAAATGATAAACAAAAGAACACAAATACAAATACAGCAGAAGAGTAGTGGGCAAATTATTCTGTTAATTTCTCTATTTAATCCTGGCAGTAAAAGTCTGAAAGTAAAAAAGATTGTCACATTGTTAATACTTTTTCCATGAATAATTAAAAGGTAGCTATATTATTTTTAAAGTTCTTCCCAGCCTTTAGGGCAAATGAGCAATAAAAGATAGTAGGTAACTGAAGCAATTATTTGAATTACTCTATCAAAAATTCCAACCAATTATATATCTATGTGTGCTATGAAATTGAGGCCAAGGCAGATATTTTAACTTAAATAGATAAATAATTCCTTTGGTTTGCTAATGTGATTAACATTTATCTGTATCTGAAAAACTCTACTTTTTTTCAGTAAGCTATATTCTCTGTTAATTTCAGAAGGAGTTCTTGTTTTTAGAGAAATATGTAAATTAAATTCAGTGACTTTTTAATCCTTAAGACACATCTGTAGGCCATCTAGGTGACAAGCATTAGTAACTACACTTTGACGAAAGATGGAATTGAATTTTATAAGCTCCTTGAAAATTATGACACATTGAGTTACTTGCTCTCGTGAATAGCCAGGCTCTCACATTACTGGGTTGAATGGATTCTTGTCTTGTCTGTTTGATAAGTAACTCCTTCACCTTGAAACCCTCCATGGTATCCCACGAACCACATTTTAGCAGAGAGTTCTTCATGTGGGAGGTGGGGAACTATTTGGCATTAAGGACTAAATTAAATTCTTCTGTACATTTCTGTTCCCTAGACCATGCATCATGGGCTTCTGCTCATATTCCCAGTGTTCTACTCAGACAGACACTTGCTGCTGAATGTTTAGTCAAGGATAAAGATAGAAATGCAAAAGTCTCACAATATATGTAGGATTTTTGTTGGTGTGCATTAGTTTTATAGCTCCAGGCAACATAACAACCGAGATAATACACAATTGCTCAAAGGAAGACATTTTTGAAAAATAGTCTTTGTCTCTACCCCTGAATAGTCCTGTCTAGTGCTATGATTCCTGATTAGGAGGCTCTCTCTCATCCTTTCCACATGGCCATGTTTGATTTTTCTCTAAGTGGGAGAATCTCAGTTGTGTTCCCGTTGGAAGTCTGGAGTCTGGGTGTATTTATAAGACTCAGGGTTTCTGGCAGGAGTAAAAGAATGCATACAGTCTTGTTTTCTTCTTTTGAATCATTCCCTTTGGAGGTGCTGTTTAGAAATGGCTCATTATTAATTTCTGCAGTGAAACGTGAGCTCCTGGTCTGTGGCATTCATTAGGGCCGCTTGCCCTTCACTCACAAAGAACCCTAGTTTGGCAATGATTTGAACTCTTCTTTTTCCTTTTCATTTTAAATGTACATATCTCTAAATGTACAAGTGTCTGCTTCCACATTTTCACAACTTCTGAATGGAGGTCATAGAGGATACATGACTGGCATGTCTCTGTGACCCCAATTTATTCCTCATGGTCTGTTCTATAGTCATACTTTACTGATGAAAAAGAAAGCAATGCTGTTACTTGATAGCTTGCTGAATTTAGGAATCTCAGATATATGGATGAACTAAGGTCCTAAGGAAAAGTTGCATAAACTGGAGTCATAAAAAGGGTATACTGCTGAGACTGCGTTTGAAAATGTGTGGCTTAGAATAAGGGGGCTGATTTTGCCATGGTAGTAAAATTGCAGTAGGTCAGCTCCTGCAGCCTTGATTGCTGCTTAGAACTTCGGAATCTAGATGTTATGAAAATGCAGGAGCTATCCATCACATGTGCATTTAAAAGACATACACGTTAAAAGGAAAAAAGGTTCAGATCATTACTGAATATCTACTTGTACAAAATGCAACACTCTCTTATTTATTTATATTTTAAATTGGGCTTTCTGTAACATTGGCAAGCAGGAAATTGAAAGCCATGAAAATTCCATAATTTAATATAAAACTTTTTTAATTGCCAAGAATAGGAACAATTTTTTATCGAAACAAGACAGAAATATTACATTATATAATACCATAACTCATACAGTAAAACAATTTCAACTTAAGAAATTAGTTTTGCATAAGCCTGGCTACTAGTATCAGCTACCAGGGGACTGATGGGTTTCATTATTTTTACCACAGTGGGATATCTGTACATGAGGTCCTGAGAGAGTAGGTAAAATAGTGGAAATCTCAACAAATTTCTCTGAGAGATTTGAGGACTGCAAAATTCAATGCTGACCTCAATGGAATGCTCAGAGAGATTAGCAACAACATTATGGGGAACAGACACAATTCCTTCCACACCAAAGTCTAATGATGGAAAAAATCAGAAACCTTTCCTGCTAAAAAATACATAATGAAGTAAGTAAATAAACCAGTGAAATGTTCTCTTGGAAAATGCTTGCTTTTTAAAATATATTGTGTCCTTAGGAGAGGGGAATTACTCAGCAAAGAAACTGGGTTCTTGACTGGACTCTGCCTGTTTTTTTCACTGTTTCTCTTACAGAAGGCTTTTAATTTGTTGCTGTTTTTTAAATAATACTATCTAATGGTGTTACTATGGTAACCATGTCTTGGAAACCAATTATCAGTGCTGCCCAAATAGTACTCAGAAATTGGAGTGTAGAACAGTAATACAAATAGAGAGAAACTGCCCCATCCTCACCTAGGGAACCTCCAAACAGCTAGATGAAGAATGGAGACATGGAAAAGTTGGAAAGATGGAGGACATAACCTTGGGTGGAGACAAGAGCCAAAGGGATTGAAAAAACAAGGTGTCCACTGAAGGTTCTTTGCCTCAAAGTAATAATGGAATTTTTCAAGTTAAATTGGAAGGAATTGGAAAATCTATGCTTGCTGTGGTGGCATGGGCAATTTAGAAAGCAATTCTAGTAGATCACCTATAGAATGGACTAGATTGGAAGTAGGGGTTGGCGGATGAGAGAGAATGACAAAACCACAGTATGCACAGACTCAATTTTAAGGCCACATTCTAATGATGTGTGTGTATGTGTATGTGTGTATGTGTATGTGTGTGTGTGTATGTGTGCACATGCACATGCATTTGTGTGTAGAGTGGTGCTTCTTTAGTTGAGTATAAACTGGGTTTCACAGTCTGGTTTTGTTTGACAGTGGGTTAGTGTACCCTTTCCTCCCAAGCATATATTTGTGTGTGTGTGTGTGTGTGTGTGTGGGGTTCAGGAGTGATTTAATTAAAAATTTAAGCATATTTAATTTTTTAGTGCAGAGACTCTTGACAGCAGGCTGTAAGGCACATGGTTGTTATTTCTTAAGTAGAGTTCTATAGTAGAATGGATGATCTGTTTATTCTACCTCCAATGTAGCTATTGAATCCATTTTCTTCTGTTTCCACTGGCACTGCTATTTAGTTTTGGTCCTTATCGCCTTTCTCCTTGTGGCAATTGTTTTCAACATTTTCTCTCTAGAATCCATCCTTCTATCACTTGTTGGCAAAGTGATCATTCTATAATGCTGGAGTGATCATTTCAGTGACTTAACAATCTTTTAATGGCTTTTGACCACTTTTAGGAACTAATCCTCACTTTGCCCTTCATGATAAGTCCCTGCCTACTTCTGGTCTTATAATGAACTCTTCGCCATTAATAAATCTCCTTCTAGTTCCCAAATCCACCTGATTTCATGCCTTTCCTTCTCAGTAGTCCTAGAATCCTGCCTGTTCATCTTCTCCCCACCTCCACTGTCTCTCCAACTAGCAAGCAAGAGGAGAACAGTTAAGAAAGGAAAACACTTAGCTGGCTGGCTTATAACTCTGAGTATTTGACATTTATTGAAATGGCAACCTTCAGAAATTCTTTTCTGACTCAATTTCCAGCTCATTTTATACAAAAAAGCATTTTGCTCTTTCTCAATTTTGTTAGGAAAATCAGTTGCCTTTTTCAAGAAATAACAATATTATTTGCATAAAGCAATGTAAAATGTTAGTATTTCTTTTTGAGAAAAATAAATGTATGAGTTTGCAGTATTTAAAAATAATCTGATCAAACCAGGAAACTCAGGTTGAGGTATGGCAGAAGCACTGCCCTTCTGTGGTTCTAGCAGAGGCATCCACAGTGAGTTAGTTGCAGGGAATATACCTGTGGGGGAATGACCAAGTTATCCTAGGGTTATTGGAGAAAATTCACACCATAAGAGCAGGTACTCTGGATAATATCTGGGTATCCCTTCTGTATGAAATTAGAAGGAATTTATAATGTTTTAATATAAAACTAAATGGAATCACTGACCATTTTATTGGTGGGAGGTCAATGCTGTTGTTTCAAAAAGTAGAAAGCAGAGAGTTAGTCTGTAGAAACTGGACATTGAAAGTGGGGAGCACCTGTCTTAAGGTAGCTCTCAACCTAAGAAAAACTTTGGGTAAGTCCCCTTACTTTCAAAATATTCTTCAGTCTAAAGCAGAGGTTCTCAAAATTGAGGATGCATCAGAATCACCTGGAGGACTTGGTGTAGCACATTGCTGGGCTCATCCCCAGAGTTTCTGAATTAGCAGGATGGGATGGGGCCTGAAAATGTGTACTTTAACAAGTTCTTAGGTGGTGCTGATGCTGGCAGTCTGGGGCAAGACTTTAAGAACCACTGGGCTAAAGAATATGTAATGCCTACATCGTATTTTATGAATTAAGCGGGTAATTATAAACATGACAATGCCCTTTGAGTTGGAAAGTCACTTCTGTAATATGTAGGTAGGAAATGGTTACAAAACAATAGTAAAAAGGGAACTAACATTTTTTGTTAGTTACAGGAAAATTACTCAATACCTTTTCTTTAAAAAGAAAAACAATACTCAGAAGGATAAAGGCAAGAGAGAATCCTGTCAAAAATTTCAAAAAGACTTAGGTTTAAGCAGCACATGTGAGGTGGTTTAAAAATACGAACACATACACATACACCACTTTTTAATCTAATGTATTGCTTCTTCTTAATTGGCTGATAAATCACCAATAATACAATTAGACAATATTAGAATTATAGTAGACATTATTGTGTGATTTTCAAAACAGCTGATAATTACAACAATAGTAATAGAAAGTAAAGATTTTTTTTCTGGTTGGGGGAAATAAAAAAAAAACTATCATGGGAATTAAATTATCAAACAAATTCTTTTTGTGCCTCCCAGTTGTTCATCATGCCATAACAGTTGAACAGAATCAAGCCCATTTTCTTTTGAAGTTCACTTTTTGATTAATGAGGCAAGTGATAATAGAATAAATTGACATTAGTATTTTTTAAAGCAATTGTCAGTGAATATCCTGAGATGTGTACACATTCAACTCAATCTTGTGCTATTCTGACACTTCCATTTGCAATATTGTAAAATTATCTTAAATTTCCATGCTATGATCCTTTGTCCCCATATCATGGGGACATCCATCATCCATTCCCACATGGTATATTAGTCACCATTCTCCAGAACCTTCACACACACACACATACACACACACACCACATATAAAGACATTTATTATAGGGTATTGCCTCTTGTGAATTATGGAGGTCAAGTAGTTCCAGATCTGCTGTCTACAAACTGGAGACCCAAGAAAGCCTGTGATGTAATTCAAAGACCTGAGAGCCAGAGAACCAATGGTGTAGATATTATCCCCAGTCTCAAGGTTTGAGAACCAAGAGTGTTGAAGGCAGGAGAAGATTGATGTCCCAGCTCAAAAGCTAGGCAGAGAGAGCAAATCCAACATTTCTCCTCTTTTTTGTTCTACTCAACACCTGGATGGATGGGATGAAGCCCTCCCACGTTAGGGAGGGTCATCTGCTTTACTTAGTCCACCTATCCAAATGCGAATCTTTCTGAAACACCTTCACAGATACATCCAGAGATAATATTTAATCAGATATCTGGCATCCTGTGGCCCAGTCAAGTTGACACATATGTGTAAAATTAACCATCACACACGGACATTTAAGTATTACTTACAAAAACACGAACATGTACAGATACATGTTGCAAATATTTTCACCTATAGAAATGAGATGCTAAGGCTTTCCTAGATAATTGTCAATTATCTAGAATATGGAATTAATCAGAGTACCCCACTCCCTGTGATTTTGCTGTCTGAAAGGTGCATCACATAAGAAGATAAAATTGTTAGTCCCTAATGTCTTTGGGTCTTTTTAAAAATTTGATAATAGATTATGTTGAGGGACCCAAAGCAGCTATGTCCACAGGGCAAAGTGACATGTGGATCAAAGCCATTCTAACCAACTGAGATAATTATATACATCATAAATTCTGAAAAGAGGCATCATCCTTATAGGAAGTGAGTTAAAAATCAAAAGTCACTTCATTATTCCCTTTAGAAACATTTAGAATTTCTATATAATATGGTCATGTAAAAATCAAACCAACAGTACCTCAAAAAAAGAACAGCAATAAAAAGAACATATTCAGGAGTATTGAAATCCTTTTTATCATACTTATATAATGTATAAGACTTATATGATTAATCATTATCACCATAGCTAGTGTGTGATTTAGATCATTTAGGATATTAGAAATAATTCTCATGAGGAGATTTCACTTCAGCTCCTTGCAAACACACACGTACAACATATAGATGCTGAATGAAAGTATTCATTTCAGATGAGAGCATATTAGCTTGTTAGCCTGGAAATTCTGTCGAAACTCCTGACTAATCAAAAATATGTATTTGAACAATTTGCTGTTGTGAATTCAGCCTTTTGGAACCTTCTACCTCTCTTCAATTATAGTGTCAGAGTGTTCTGTTGCTTAATTCCCACAATAATTAAATAATTTATAAATAATGCATACCTCATCTCCTCCCAAGAAAGAATTTAAGGAGGAGGCTGCATTTAACTAGGAAACTACCATAAATATATAATGAGGTGGATTTCAGTACTCTCTCCTCGGTGACTGGAAGGTCACTCCTCCTTGCCAGGGAAACAGAGAAACACACTCTCTGCCAGCCTGTGGACAAAGTGAACAGGACAGGACAACACTGCCTCCTTCTGCTGGGATTGGCTCATGTTGGGGGTGGAAGGCTGATGGGTTAGTCCTTAGGAACATGAACCAGTTCAAATTTTGCCTCTTCCACACACTAGCTTTGTGATCTAGGAAAAGGCACCTGGTCTCTCTGTATTCATTTTCAGTTATTTTATTTCAGAAATAATTACTAAATTAATTATTTTAGTAATAATTATAGTTATCTCATGCAGTTGTTGAGAGGATTAAATGAGTTTTAAAAAATAGAATGTGAGAAAAATGCCTGGTGGTTAGTAAGTACTACTTGAGTGCCAACTAGTTAGACATAGCTTTCTATTCAATTAAGACGACAGTTCTTCAAAGATGCCACACTTAAACCAGTCCCAGTGCTGTGGTATCATAGGCACCTGCACTTTTCTTTATGACACATCTTCATTTGCAATTGATATTTAAGGCTCTGAATCTGTTTCTCCCATGAGGCTGTAAGCTCCAGGAAGGCTGGAATCTTGTCTGTCTGGCTTAACACTCTTATCTCTGGTATATACACAGTGCCCAACATGAAGCAGTTATTCAATAACTAGCTGTTGAATGAATGAATCCAGAAAGACATGCCTATAAACATGCTAATCGAGATGGGATTTCTAGTAATTATTTTGTTAGTTTTGCAAATTTTTATTATCTAAGTTTTGGTACTTACTGTGTTTTCTTTGTGCAATAATGAAAGTAAAGTCCTGTTATATCACCTCTATGTACTATTGTAAATCACTTCAGTAAGGCAGCAATAGAGCTGTCAGATGAAATTCATATTTTATTTTTTGTGGACCTCTGGAATAGGTTAGTAGTTTTCAATTGGGGGTAATTTTGTGATACGTCCTCCCTCCCCACTAGACGTTTGTCAATGTTTGGAGATATTTTTGATTGTCACAATTGCAGAAGTGCTACTGACATCTAGTGTACAGAGGGCAGGGATGCACAGGACAGTCCCTTACCACAGTGAAAACCATCAAGTCTGAAATGTTAATAGTGCAAAGGTTAAGAAACCCTGGCACAGATGGATAGAGCCTAGTAAAAAAAAAAAAAAAAGTTTGTATAACTTCCAAAATTGGTTGAGATGTTAAATAATATGACATCAGAATTTTAAAAGTTAATGAATAACTAAAAGTTAATAATTAAAAGAATTTATTGTAAATTTTTTGGTGGTTTGTATTTGCTTCATGGTGTAATTTGCTGATAGTTTTAGTATTTAATGTAGCATATTCACCAATATTATCTATGTCAGTAGAGAACTTTATAGTCTGCTACGTGTTTTTCTCTTTACAACCAGTGAAAGCGGTTTTAAAAGAAAAGCACCAATTGACTGTTTACATACTGCTGAATAACCACTTTGGCAGATTTATTTTTTTAAAGAACAGTTCATGAATAAATTTAGCCAAAGCTGTTAGGCAGAGAGTACAAATAACCATATTGCCTATAGAATGTTGCTTGTAGCTCTGGACTAATAAAGCACAAATAAGATAGGGATATCTAATGTTTATGTAGCTTGGTCTATTTGAGTTTAACACCTGGGATGGTGTTAGCCAGGATAGGTTAGGTTCTGCTGCAGTAACAACAACTCAGTGGCTTTAACGTAGCGAAAGTTTATTTCTTCTTCAGAGTAACTCTCCCATACAACTGCCTCTGTGTGACAACTCAGCAATCCAGCTGGGGAAGGTGGCATTATCCTGGAACTGCACTTTTTGGAACAGATAGCCTTATTAGTCAGTGTGGTGGGGAAAAGAGAACATGGTAAATTGCATGTTAACTCTAATGCTTTCACATGGAATTGACACAGGTGACTTCCAGTAACATTCTATTCACCTCACAAATAACACACCATGGCCAGATTCAGGGACCCAGGGAAGTTTAATCTACCCAGGTTGCATAGGAGAAACAAATATTTCTGAGCCTGAGTAATAGCTATCATAGCTAGCTTTAGTATTTGTTTACCTTTATATATGGTTGTTCAGTACGGTTATTAAGGAAGTATATTTGCTGAATGCACAGATACTATTTCTCATGCCAAATTAACCTAATTTCATTATGCTTATTTGGGTTCTCTATATCTCACTTAATGAATTTGTAAGGTGCTTCTAAATATTTAGGCTTCTAAATGAAAGTCTTTGCCAGATGCTATGGTCCCTGATTTCTCAAATAGGCTAACATATTCCACAGTACTGAATGCTAAAGGAAAAGATGGTGGTCTTTTCATTTTACATAATGGTAAGTAATCAAACATTATTTTTGTGGTAAATCAAAAATTGAGATACCTCAGAATGAAAATAAAGATGAATTTTTAAGATTAAAAAAAGAGACCTCCATGAAATTTTGTGCTGTGGCAGGCTGCTTTTTGCTATGCTCCAGGGGAAAGTATTTACTTTCCTCTGCTACCAAGACTACTTTACTGGACAGAAGCACTGCTTGTGTATCTAAGTTTTTATTCATCTTTGATATGGTTATTTTCTTGTCTTCATTTTGTTTTTTAATATAGCTCTTCTTCTGGGACCCATTATTATATACATCATAAAAACGGGGGATTTTTGCAAACAAGAATTCACAATTCTATTCTGTATCCTACTAACAGCTTGATAAGAGAAACTAAATAATACAATTGATCATTGCGTTCATTATTCTAGACCACTACATGGAATTGCGAGAAGATGGAGAACTATACCCACTCTTTCCTATTTTACCATGTGATTTGTCCACTTCTGGTTTATATTACCTATAGCTATCTGAGTCTGTATTTACACATTTATTCATTTTTCATCCATCAAACAACTTTTGAGCATCCACCCTATGGCATTATGCTAGGTACTGGGGATTAGGACAAAATGAATAAGACAGTGTCTCCCCTCAAAGACCTCACTTCTAGTAGGTGACGGCTACAGGGGTTATGAAATGTCTCATTCATTTCACTTATATTTATTGAGCACTGATATGTGACAGACACTGAGGAATACTATAGTGAATGAGAGGCAGTAGAGTGTAGTGTTTGAGAGAAGTGTCTCAGCAGTCAGACTGGAATCAAATTGCATTGTAAGGCCTCATGGAGGCTCTTCAGCTACCTTGTGCCTCAGTTTCCTTATGTGTAAAACTTGAATATTGTAGTTGCAATATTGTGATATAAGAAATTTAAATTTGGTCTTTGTCCCCATTTCCTGGCACAGAGTTCATTAAACCCTTGTAATTTCCTAAGAGATAGGAGTGTTAAGAGCATCTTTTGTTCTAATATTTGGTCTTTGACCCCAGTTCCTGATTCAGAATTCCTAAATCCTGTGGAATTTTCTGGGTGATAGAAGTGTCTTTTGTTCTAGTGAGGTGACTCTTGGTGGGTTCCTAGATAGCTTCAGGGTTGGGGTTGGTCACCAGAAAGACCAAGCTATGATTAGAAGCTGGGAACTTTCAGCCCCACTTTCACATTCTCCAGAAAGGAGATGGGGGCTGGAGATTGAGTTAATGATAGATTGTGCCTATGTGTTCAAGCCTCCATAACAAACCCTTAAAGACAAGGTTTGGAGAGCCTCTGGGTTAATTAACACATTCATGTGCTGGGAGGTGGATGCACCCCAACTCCATGGGGACAGAAACCCCTGCAGTAGTAATTCATCCTATGTAACTATTCATGTGGCTGGTTGTACCCTTTATCATATCCTTTATTATATAATAAATGTTGCAGGGCTTTTCCTTAGTTCAGCTAAAGATGGGGGTCGTTATCACACAGCCACGAAAATTTAGGCTCACAGATGATTCGAAGAGTGAGAAAAATGGGATTTATTGGGCAAAAAGGGGAAACAGACTCTTAGCGAAGTGAGAGTGTGCTTCCTGCCTGTGGGCTTCCCGCCTCGCAGGTTGAATCCCAGATTCCACACAGGAAGAGGAGGGGCCGGGCTCCTCCCCTATGAAAAGGGCACTAACTTCCGTGGTTCCAGCCTAGTGTGCAGGCCAGCTGCAGTTTTTCCAGGAAGCCCTTCCCACCTGTCTGTCTCACAAGTAAGCATAAACAAGTGTTTCTCTGAATTCTGTGAGTCCTAACAAATGATGAAACCTGAGGAGGGTGGTCATGGTAACCACTGATTTATAGCCAGTTGGTCAGAAGTGCTAGAGGCCTGAACTTGCATTTGGTATCCGAAGTGGGAGGCAGTCTTGTGGAACTGAGCCTTTAATGTGGGATTTGATGCTAACTCCAAGTAGATAGTGTCAGTACTGAATTGAATTGCAGGACACCCAGCTGACGTTTGGGTAGTTAGAGAATTGCTTGGTGTGGAAAAAAACCCCACATATTTGGTGTCAGAAGTATTGTGAGAGTACAGAGGAAAAAAAATTATTTTTCTTGTACAGTAGTTTATCAGAAAACCGGTTACAAATATTACTTTAAAAAACAGTGAGAAAAATACAGCTCTATCATTTTCTGGTTTTTATGTAACACTTTTTTTTTTTCTCAAATCATGGAAAAAAGCCATTGCAAATCACATTCTTCAAGGGACTTAACCAGGTAAGACGTTTGATCCAAGGGCAAGACAACCCCAATCAGAAGTTTCGTTTTGCAGAAGCCGCTTCCATTTTACCAGGCTCTGAAATTCTAAAACATCTCCTGTCTTCCCCTATTACCAGGGCCTTGTGCTTGCTTTAAGAGTGGGCATTCATCAGGGGTACAGGTAATTGTCAACAACCTAAGGGGCTACCTTGGCACCAGAGCGGCAAGTGCCTGCTACTTAAGAATTTTATATTGCCTTCATGAAAGAGCTTCACCAGTGTGATTTAACTTTGCAAAGGAATAGATATAGAAAGAACTCAGTGGAGACCCATTCTTTGGTAATATTTGCATTTTATAGGAAGCGTACATATAAATTTCCCATTCTATAGTAGTATGGCTTTAATCTTAATGAATGCCATTTTGGTGGTACTCTTCAGAGAGTAGAATTAACATTCACATGTGAACTGGAAATGTTAAAGTGTTACTAGTCTCCTGAAGGTTTTGCTTCTGGCTATGCAGTTTCAGAGATTTCATCATAGTTTAGGTATAGCAAAATACCACCATTTCTGCATACTAGAATGAAACTCTCCAAGGTTTCTTTATACTTTAGGCTAAGGCTTGATTTTTTTAAAACAGAAAAGAAGGTTTTCCTAGACCCTGAATATAACCTGATGTCAAAAATCAATTGAAAAACCAGTAAAAATTTGTCATGAGTTCTGTGAGAAAGCTTTTTTTCATAACAGCTTTCTGGTTATTACTAACAAATTTCTTAATTAAGTTGCCTAAACTATTAATATAGTTTCGTGGAATTTTAGAAATTTTATTTATTTATATAATGTTTACACTTTCCCTGATCCTACAAAGAATTTGAGGTGAGAAGCCCCATTTTATGCTAGTTTTCCACTACTCTTTTTTTTTTAAGACTAAACATGAGAATTTAGATTCAACAGCCATGCAAAGTAACCAGAGGTTTGAAAATACTGTTTGATTGCTTACCTCTGCTGCCTGTCTTTTCTTTCAAATGTGAACCCCTTTTTTTCTCATTTATTCTCCAGGCCTTGTTCATTTTACCTTACATAAAGATTCTTGGTTATTAGATAAAAATGAGGGAAAATATCACAGATTTTGGTTATATAGTAATCAGTACAAAGGGTGTGAAACTTTTAAGTGTAGCTTCACTTACACATGCATACATGTGCACAAACAAAAACATCCACATCAGACTTTAACATTAAAATTCATTTCATATAATCTGGGTTTTCATTTCGCTTATTTTTCTACTTACATCCAAATTATAACATTCCAAATCCAAAGGCAATGTTCTGTTATAACAAAGACAGCCAAAACAAAGAATATTTATGTAGGGCATTATTTGACCACGCTTTTATCATGGTCAAAAACCTTAGGAGGTTTTTAAGTCCTTCCAAGGACTGTGCACGGTAGATACTGTCATTGTCATGCAAATGATGAGGTTGTTCCCGGACCAAACTGAGGGTCGGGCTGCTATTTCTTGTGGCCCAATAACGATATGCAGATGAACTGGGGAGGAAGAGAGTTTTTATTTCTGTAACTTGTTACAGGGAGAAGGCCTGGAAGTTATACCAGATCAACTCAAAATTACAGTTTTTCAGAGCTTATATACCTTCTAAGCTATACGTCTACGTGTAGTTGTGCGTTCATCTAAAGACGTAAGTGATTAACTTCTTTTAATCTAAAACTAAGGTCTGATTTCTGAAGACCTTCCTCTGGAGGCTCAGTAAATTTATTTAATCTAAATGGGTTGAGGTGCTGGGGTGATTACCCTTATCTTGTCTCTTGCTAAATCACGGAGGTTTGAGGAGTTCCTTCAGACCCCCAATAAACCTGTTTGTGGAAGCCTGGGGAGTTTCTTCAGACTCACAGTAAAACTTGTTTCATCCTAAATGGGTCCTGTTAAGAATTCTTTTGTTATTTTGTCATGATATAAGGCCCGGGAAAGGCCTAGGCAAAACTCTTGACAGGCTTTTGTTATATCTCAGCCTTTGTATAAGGTCACTGGCTTTTAATATTTAACTTAAGCACTCAGTCAGTACTGAAACAGTTGTTAGTGAGACCTGGCCTGCCACAAGGTAACTGAAGGTCTGAGATGTTAAGGGACTCGGCCAATGACATACAGCTTTTAAGTAGTAAAGCTGGGATTTGATTTGGTCATATCTAGCTCTGAAGGTGCCACTCCACAGTGCTATCCTGAACTAGCTGCCTCATGTCACCTAAAATGCAGAATCCCAAGCCCCAGTACTATGGGATCCAAATTGAATCTGCATTTTAAGGAGCTCCCCAGGTGACTTATATGCACATTAAAGTTTAAGACTGCAAGTATGGTTCTTAAAAAATAGTTTCAGGCAGTTAAATACAAGGTACTGAAAAAATTCCATTTGAGATGCTTTTTGGTCTCTGGGCCTTTATGATTTTTACTTAATTACAAGCTAGACTGTATTTCATTATCCTTCAGCTGTTCTGCTTTCACATCGGCTTTGAGCTAGTCTAACAAGAGTCATGTCGGATGCTGTCTTCTGTGACATTTCTTAGTGATCTGTTTTGGTGGTATTATTGTCAGTTTAAATAGCCTTGTGGTTATAAAACAAGAAAAATTGATTCTGTCCTAACTGTTTGATCTCTCCGTGTATCTGAGTAATCTTCTTGTCACATTTTCCTCCAAATTTACCTTTGCTTGCTTAATTCTTAAAAAAATTTTTTGACTTTCTCCTTGTCTACCCTTTCAAAACATTAGAAGTGACTTCCAGTGATAAAGCTCACTTAAAACAGACAAGATAAAAAGAAAAATTATAGAAACAAGTTTAAGAAGGTGAAACATACTTACATCATGCATATGAAATGAATTAGTTGCTGCAGTTGAAAACCGAATTTAATTTTCATCTTCTAGGCTGTGAAGTCAAAAGGAAAATGTAAGAGGCTGCCGAGTTCTCAGAGTGGGATGAATAGAATCATTCATGTTCATCTGGAGAGAAACAAGTTTTCCTGTGACTGAATATTAAGAGAAGTATATTAGAAGTCTCTTTTTCTAAAAGTTCATAAGGTAGCATAACACATAATATAGTGCTTTTTTGCAAAGAAAATGAAAAGTGTTACAAAAATATACCTTTCTCATGCCAGTCTTCCATAAATGCTAAGGTCATAACTGAATTTAGATTTTATGTAATGGTTTTGGGGGGAATGAAAATAATTTGATGGAGTATATTATTTTTTGATGCTCAGAAACAAAATACAGTGAAAAGAGTTTGAGAGTCTTGTCTATATGTGTAATTTAATATTTTGCTTAGACTGAGCCTCCCTCTTGCATTAGATATACTTGAAGTGGGCTTTTTTGGCTAGTGCTAGATCTCCGTAAGTTTGAATTTTCAGATGAGTGTTAAAGTAATAAAATGTTCTGCCATTGGTTCAAAGAGGCTTAGAATATTAGGGATGTTGGCAGGAATGTTGACATCCCACTGTGAAAAGCATTTTTCTCTTCTTAGTGGAACTCTCACTGTTGCAAACCTCTTCTGATTAGATAATGGAGGAGACCAGATTTTGAGAGCACATGACTTAGTCTTAAGCCCTCTAAAAAACAACGTAAATCTCAAGTATCTTTCCTAGCATTGCTAACGATGATTAAAGATTATAGCTACAAGGTCATTAGGCATTAAACGATTTTGAGGCCCAGTGTTGTTTGTTTCTTTCCCAGACAGTGGAATAATTACTGATTAAAGCATGGAGTCTCAACTCTCAATGTGTTTGCAGATGGTCAGGGAATAAAACTCTGAACTATTATTTCAGCAGAAATAATGTTTTATATATATTCATTATGAATAAGAACAAAGCCTTAAAAATTTGGTTGATCTTTTGCCCCAAAATCACTTGGCAATGCTTGCTAAAAAACAGAAAATAATTCATGTAAATACTAAAATCTCTATTTTAAACAAAACTTCCAGGTGACTTATATACAGGAGTCTTTGTGGACACTTTGAGAAATAATGGATGAGAATGGTAACCTTATATTTAATGGATCGACTGGTCATTTTGATTGTGTGGACACCCAGTTAAAGTGTAATGACTAAGGTCATCTCTAAAGACTGATTTTAATGATCTCCTTACAATTTTACTTGAAGGGAGTTATTCATGTTATTCTCCAGGCATGAAATGTAATGATCTGTTTTATTATTGTTAATTTATGCTCAAGCTTCCTTTTGCTCTTCTTTTTAACCAACATAACAATTATACAGTCTAACTATTTGCCTCAGGGAGATGCTGTAATAGGACTAATTAAATATTTAATATTTTAAAGGACTTAAACAACCTTGTAAGTAATATGTTAAGAGGAGATAAAATCATGATGATCTCCTTAGTAGGAGGAATGTTAATGAAGCACTGGGGTCAGGCATTCCTTTAATGCCCATGTCTTGTATCTGCCAGAGGCTGAATGGTTTAATGGTTAAATACAAGACTGTTGTAACCTATGGCTGTTCTTCTACTTCCTAGTTGGAAAGCCTAGAACAAATTTTTTAACCTTCCTATGCCAATCTCATATTTCTCACCTTTAGAGTGAGGAGATAAGAATACCACCTACCTTTTTGGATTGTTGTGATGACATATGAGGTATGTGTCTATCGAAAGAAAGTGGTTTTTATTAATATGAATTAATACCATAACTATTGGTATTACAATATCAGTTCAATACAAGTATTGAATTCAAAACTTATAGATTCTTATTTTAAAACTAGCAATAAAATGGATATGTACTTTTAGATCTAATCTCAAATTTAGAAAGAAGGAAGAGAAAAGGGAGGAAGAAAAGGAGTAGGAGAAAATATCTCTAAAATCAACCCCAAACAGGGGCTAAAGATAAAGAGAAAGCGATCATTGTGCAGAAGATGAAGACTCATTGTAGGTATGTATAGTCAATGTAAAACTGACCTCAGTGATCTAGAAAAATAATAGAATCATCAAATGTCAGAGCACACAGATTATAAGGAAAATGCCTTTTTTTAGGTCAAAGGCTAGTGAATAAATCTGAATCAGCAGAAAGTTTTCATTATGACTTTTTAGAAAATGATATCTTGTTTTTTCAAAGCTCATACAGAAAAAGAACTAGACTAACAAAAATTTCAAAAAAGTTGTTCTTTTGAAATGAGGTCAGGATTAATTGAATATGCATTTTAAATACATTAACTGTCACATCTAAATATTTTTGAAAACTTGTTTTTCCTGTTTACTAGATGGCTTTGAAGGTTTTCCCTTTACAACTAAAGATATTTTCTAAACTGCTTTCTAATTGAGTCTAAATGTAAAATTCATCCAGATGATTTTTCTTGATTTTATGAATTCCAAATCTGGCGGGGGTTGCAAATAATGAGATTTTGTTGTACATTCCAAGTTCACCAGCCTTATAATGAACTTCATATTCTACGGGCAAAGGGGCAAGAGGAGCAGTGTTCCCAATTCCATTCATTCAACAAATATTTATGATTGTGATTGTGTACTAGGCCATTCATAAGAAGGAATGAACTTACATTTTCTTAGCTGTGCATTTTGTTGTCATTTTAATGCCCCATCAGCAAGTGTTCTTCATTAATTCTTAAGCATTTATTAACTATATCTTGGTGTTATAAGAAGTTATTAAAAATCAGGATGAGGTTACACTTTCCTTTCTTCTAGGACAGGTACAGCTGACCTTCAATATTCATGGATTCAATTTTGATAATTTTCCTACTTGCTAAAATTTATTTGTAACTCCCCTCCTCCAATCAATACTTGTGGTACTTTTGTAGTCATTCATAGACATGTACAGAATGGTGAAAATTTTGGTTGGCCCATTCACATGTTCCCAGCTGAGGCTTAAGCAAGTGATGTTCTGCCTTCTTGATTCAGCTTTCCTACTATAAACGTGTGTTTTCACTTGGTGTATTTAGTGTCATGTTTTTTGTGGTTTTTCTTTTGCTTTTCTTTGGTGATTTGGAATGATCCCCAAGCATAGACAACTGGAGTGCCGCCTAGTGTTCCTAAGTGCAAGAAGGCTGTGATGTGTCTTACGGAAGAAATATGTGTTAGATAAGCCTTGTTCAGACATGTTGGCCATGATTTCTATGTTAATAAGTCAACAATATGTATTTTAAAAGGTGTCCTTATACTGAAACACACATAAAACAACGTTATGTTTTGATTGGTTGACAAAAATGTTGTGACTAGAGGCTTGCAGGAATTGAACCATCAATTTCTCCTAAGAGTAATGGTTCAGCATTTGTGAATTCAGTGTTTGTAGTGACTTTATAGAACATAATTATCATGAATAACAAGAATCAATTGTATTTGAAATTTGGGGAGATTTTAATAAATACTTATTCACTAAATTGTCCCTTTTAATGTAAACCAAGATGCATGATTTTTTTCTGACCTGTAAGCAACTAGTAAGTAAGTACAGAGGGGTGGAAAAATGAAAATTATATATAGGGCTAAACCATAATTTTTGTTTTTTTCTTTCCAAACTTAAAAAAATAAAACCTCCTGCTAAAAAACAATGTAATAAACCTGGAGGGGTTTGAAGTCTAGAAACAATTTGCAATGTGATGGAATCTTGTTTGTTAGTAGTGATTTGTCTGTCCTGTTTGCTACCTATGCCTAGCATAGTTTCTAACTTATATGGAGTTCTCAAGGTATTTTAAAAAATAAAAGTAAATTGCATTGAATCAGTCATAAGTTGACATTGAAATAGCCTTGAGAGTGAAAAGATTTAGCAATAAAAATAAAAGTTGGAGAAGTATAACGAATATTTTCCAGTTGGAGACTAGAGGTTGGAGACGAGAGGTCAGTCTACCTCACAGGTAGCTGGGAGAATCACCTCTGTCACTGGGCCTGGGCAATGACAACATCCGTATCTGCCAGCTGTACAGTGCTTGGGTTTACCATTAACTCTCTGTGTCACCTGGGTCAGATCATTCTGCTTCTTTGGGTCTTGGCTTCTAATTATTTCCTTGATAACCACCATTATTATAAGGCAACAGAGAAAGCCATTTACGTTAGTCACCAGAGAAACAGAACCAATAGGATACATGTATATATGATATATATATACACACATATATATATCTCATATGTATATCTTATAAATATCTTATAAATATCTTATATATATCTTATATATATCTCTTATATATATCTTATATATATCTCTTATATATATCATATATATATATCTTATTTTTTATTTTCCTCTGCCTTTTTGTTCTGTTCAGGCCCTCAACAGGTGGGATGATGCCCACCTGCATTTATAAAATTTTACAAATTTATGAGACTTGAGAATATATGTAAATATGAATTCTGAGTGCCTAGACTGGGGAGAGGAAGGGGAAACACAATTTAAATAGAGCTGAATTTATTTCTATGAATTACGTGTACTGTCTTAAGCAGCTGGAAGTGGTCTAACCTGTCTGCTGGTTGGCCGATTGAAACCTATGTGGCCTACATTGAATGAAGTTGATGGCCAAAATTTCTTGCCAAAATGTAAAGAAAAGAGTCCAAAGACTTGGGAGAATAGGAATGTTGGAGTGGATTGATCACCGGCAACTGCTTATCTCCCATGCTATGACCGCCAAATAGCCAGTAATTTACCATTAATGTAATAGCAACTTTTGGAATAACAAGGAAAAAAGAAAGAAAAAGAAAGGAAGAAACGCTACAACAATAGACCTATTTTTTTTCCTTCAGTGCATTTCATCCAGAGTTTATATCTAGGTCACACAATCAATAACCTAAAGATTTTTTTGAGGGGGGATTTACTTTTGACCAGTACTGGAGTATTGGGCATGACTACAGCTAGTCAAAAGTAATTCCTCTCCAAAAAGCCACAACTCTGTGATATCAGTTTTTGGGATTATGACTTTTAAAGCACCTCTACTATTGCAATAAGGCATATCAAAAAGCACTTGGGCTTTCTTGGCATTGCCATTTAGTTAACTTGTGGTTTCATTTTTTCCTTAATGGAACTGTGTCTTCTTGGACAGTAAACATCCCTTGAAAGTCAGTTGGAAGCTTTTGCTTAAATAGATGTTCAATGCTTTGTGACAGGCTTTCACCACATATAAAGTAGACATACCAACAACTCCTAGCTTTAGAATAATTTTCACACAATCACTTTCTTCCCTCAAGCTTTATAGTGGTGTAATGTTTTTGAAATCATTTTTAGGAAGTACACAGGATGCAATCTTTGGAAAAAATTCGGTGGTACAACAAATAACCCCAACAAACAAATGAACACCTCAATTGAAGTGACAGTTGGATCAACAGATACTGTAAATGCCTGGCAGTGACAGTTATTCTTCTGCATGGATGCATTCACTTTTTTAAAAGTGTTAAAATAAAAAAAATTATTCCAGATTTCAGAAATCATAAATGTACCTCCTATGATTAAAGAAATAGTTGACATAGAATATATTATCATCTTATTTAACCTTCATAAAAGACCTACGATATGGTATCACTATATCCCCCCTTTTAAAATGAGACTAGGAAGTGAGTCTTAGTCTGAAAGAGATGAAATAACTTTCTCATGGTCAAAAGCTAATATGTGATGGGGCTGAGTTTCTACCTAACGCCCAAGCTTGCAGCCACTCTAGTATACTTAGCTACAAGCTAAAGAAGTGGAATTGGTGATCTTTTCCTGCTCAGAAGTTCTGTTTTTTCATTTTATATATAGCTTTGTTATAGTTTATATATGTACACATATTATAACATTTCTTTATCCACTCTGTAATTCTCTTTTATGTTTTTTTTTAAATTATACTTTAAGTTCTAGGGTACATGTGCATAACGTGCAGATTTGTTACATATGTGCCATGATTTGGTATATATATGCCATGTTGGTTTGCTGCACCCATCAACTCATCATTTACATTATATATTTCTCCTAATGCTATCCCTCCCTCAGCCACTCACCCACCAACAGTGTGTGATGTTCCTCACCTTGTGTCTATGTGTTCTCGTTGTTCAACTCCCACCTATGAGAGAGAACATGCGGTGTTTGGTTTTCTGTCCTTGTGATAGTTTGCTTAGAATGATGGTTTCCAGCTTCATCCATGTCCCTGCAAAGGTCATGAACTCATCCTTTTTTATGGCTGCATAGTATTCCATGGTGTATATGTGCCACATTTTCTTAATCCAGTCTATCATTGATGGACATTTGGGTTCGTTCCAAGTCTTTACTATTGTGAATAGTGCTGCAATAAACATATGTGTGCATGTATCTTTATAGTAGCATGATTTATAAACCTTTGGGTATATACCCAGTAATGGGATCGCTGGGTCAAATGGTATTTCTAGTTCTAGATCCTTGAGGAATGGCCACACTGCCTTCTAAAATGGAACTAATTTACACTCCCACCAACAGTGTAAAAGTGTTCCTATTTCTCCACATCCTCTCCAGCATCTGATGTTTCCTGACTTTTTAGCGATCACCATTCTAACTGGCATGAGATAGTATCTCATTGTGGTTTTGATTTGCATTTCTCTGATGACCAGTGATGATGAGCATTTTTTCATGTCTGTTGGCTGCATAAATGTCTTCTTTTGAGAAGTGTCTGTTCATATCCTTTGCCCACTTTTTGATGGGGTTGTTTTTTTTTTTCTTGTAAATTGGTTTAAGTTCTTTGCAGATTCTGGATATTAGCTCTTTGTCAGATGGGTAAATTGCAAAGATTTTCTCCCTTTCTGAAGGTTGCCTGTTCACTCTAATGATAGTTTCTTTTGCTGTGCAGAAGCTCTTTAGTTTAATTAGATCCCATTTTTGTCAATTTTGGTTTTTGTTGCCATTGCTTTTGGTGTTTTAGTCATGAAGTCTTTGTGCGTGCCTGTGTCCTGAATGGTATTGCCTAGGTTTTCTTCTAGGGTTTTTATGGTGTTAGGTCTTACATTTAAGTCTTTAATCCATCTTGAATTAATTTTTGTATAAGGTATAAGGAAGGGATCCAGTTTCAGCTTTCTACATATGGCTAGCCAGTTTTCCCAGCACCGTTTATTAAATAGGGAATCCTTTCCCCATTGCTTGTTTTTGTCAGGTTTGTCAAATATCAGATGGTTGTAGATGTGTGGCATTATTTCTGAGGCCTCTGTTCTGTTCCATTGGTCTATATCTCTGTTTTGGTACCAGTACCATGCTGTTTGGTTACCGTAGCCTTATAGTACAGAGTGTAGTCAGGTAGCATGATGCCTCCAGCTTTGTTCTTTTTGCTTAGGATTGTTTTGGCTATGCGGGCTCTTTTTTGGTTCCATATGAACATTAAAGTAGTTTTTTCCAATTCTGTGAAGACAGTCATTGGTAGCTTGATGGGGTTGGCATTGAATCTATAAATTACCTTGGACAGTATGGCCATTTTCACGATATTGATTCTTCCTATCCATGAGCATGGAATGTTCTTCCGTTTGTGTTCTCTTTTATTTTGTTGAGCAGTGGTTTGTAGTTCTTCTTGAAGAAATCCTTCACATCCCTTGTAAGTTGGATTCCTAGGTATTTTATTCTCTTTGTAGTAATTGTGAATGGGAGTTCACTCATGATTTGGCTGTCTGTCTATTATTGGTGTATAGGAATGCTTGTGATTTTTACACATTGATTTTGTATCCTGAGACTTTGCTGTAGTTGCTTATATGCTTAAGGAGATTTTGGGCTGAGACCATGGGGTTTTCTTTATTTTATTTTATTTAGTTGTTTTTTTTTTTTTTTTTGAGACAGTCTCACTCTGTCACCCAGGATGGAGTGCAGTGGCTTGATCTCAGCTTACTGCAAGCTCCACCTCCCAGGTTCACGCCATTCTCCTGCCTCAGCCTCCCAAGTAGCTGGGACTACAGGCGCCTGCTGCTACGCCTGGCTAATTTTTTGTATTTTTAGTGGAGACGGGTTTCACCATGTTAACCAGGATGGTCTTGATCTCCTGACCTCGTGATCCACCAGCCTCGGCCTCCCAAAGTGCTGGGATTACAGGCGTGAGCCACCGCACCCGCCCTTCTTTGTGGTTTTATCTACCTTTGGTCTTTGATGTTGGTGACCTACAGATGGGGTTTTGGTGTGGATGTCCTTTTTGTTGACGTTCATGCTATTCCTTTCTGTTTGTTAGTTTTCCTAACAGTCAGACCCCTCAGCTATAGGTCTGTTGGAGTTTGCTGGAGGTCCACTCCAGACCCTGTTTGCCTGGGTATCACCAGTGGAGGCTGCAGAGCAGCAAATATTGCTGCCTGATCCTTCCTCTGGAGGCTTTGTCCCAGAGGAGCACCCACCTGTTTGAGGTGTCTGTCAGCCCCTACTGGGAGGTTTCTCCCAGTCAGGCTACATGGGGGTCAGGGACCCGCTTGAGGAGGCAGTCTGTCCATTCTCGGAGCTCAAACGCCCTGGTGAGAGAACCACTGCTCTCTTCAGAGCTGTTAGACAGGGACGTTTAAGTCTGCTGAAGCTGTCTGTTGCCTTTTGTTCTACTATGCCCTGCCCACAGAGGTGGAATCTATAGAGGCAGTAGGCCTTGCTGAGATATGGTGGGCTCTGTCCAGTTGGTGCTTCCTGGCCTCTTTGTTTACACTGTGAGCTACTCAAGCCTCAGCAATGGTGGATGCCCCTCCCCCTGCCAAACTCCAGGGTCCCAGGTTGATCTCACACTGCTGTGCTAGCAGTGAGCAAGGCTCCATGGGTGTGGGACCCGCCGAGCCAGGCATGGGAGGGTATCTCCTGGTCTGCGAGTTGCGTAGACTGTGGGAAAAGTGCAGTATTTTGTCAGGAGTGTACTGTTTTGCTAGGTACAGTCTGTCATGGCTTCCCTTTGCTAGGAAAGGGAAATCCCCTGACCCCCTGTGCTTCCCGGGTGAGACAACACCCTGCCCTGCTTTGGTTTGCCCTCTGTAGGCTGCAGCCACTGTCCAACCAGTCCCAGTGAGATGAACCAGGTACCTCAGTTGGAAATGCAGAAATCACCTGTCTTCTGTGTTGATCTCGCTGGGAGCTGCAGACTGGAGCTGTCCCTATTCGGCCATCTTGGAAGCAACCCCCCTGTTTTTCTTAATCTTATTAAAAAACAGAAAAAGCCTGTTAGTTGTAGGGAACATAAGACTACAACTAAGTTTGGAGACATATATCTATATCTCTATATATATATATATATATATATATATATAGATATAATATTATGTATATATAATGTAATATATAATATGTTTAGATAGAATTTTTGTTATTTATATATACTATATATACATATATACTTATATATAGACATATGTATATACTAATATATATATACTGGGAAATGTTGAGAGAATATTATTCTCAAATATATCCAACTGATTTTGAGAATAATAGTCTCTTAGCATTCCCTGGTATGATATTTTATTATAAATTTGTTAAACATTGAAGAAAGACTAACTGAATGTTCAAAACTTCAGCATAGTGATGGAACTGCCCACTTGTGGCACAAACGGTGGTTTGACTGCCAGCATCTGTTCCAGTCTCTCTGTAGTGTGCCTTCCTGTACTGCAGAGGCTGGAAGGCTAAATATTTCATTTCCCAGAAAACCTTGCATCTGGAGATTCCCATGTGGTTTAGTTTCTGCCAATCAGGAGCACCTGCAGGAGACTTAAATTTGGAAATATAACATCCACTTGCTAGTATTAGGTGGGGTGGGCTCGGGAGGCTGTGGTCCTGGTGGCAGCTTTCTGTCCCTGGGTTATGGCTATTGTGGTGTGATCCTTGGCACAACTTCTTGGTTACAGCAGTGGTAAGATGTTCCTTAGCAGGGCAATTCTGTGGCTGTGTTTTGGAAGTCATTCCTGCTCCTCAGGCCCTTCCAACAATTTTTTAAGAACCTAACTCCTAGCACTAAATCCATTCCTAGATAAAGTGGTGCTAGAAATGTTTCTGTTATTCACAGTTGAGTACTGACTGATTCAATTCCTCCCACCTCTGACTTTTAGCATGTTTTCTTTAGCCTTATAAATTTTAAGATTTGGGGTGATTTTGGAGTAAATAGTCATTTTTTCTCAAATAGGAGTCATACACTAAAATAACAGAAATTTCTCTTTTTTCTGGATCTACTCAAGATAGGAACAAATTACCTTCCCTCTGAAGCACATAACATGAACAAAATTCCAGAATATTGAAGGCCTTGGAGTTGAATTTTATAAATACCTTTTCTTTTCTTTTTCCTTTACCTTAAACCTGTTATTTGTGTGTTTGTAAGGGACAATTTATCTAAAATGTAAAGGATTAGCACTTGTGGCTGGAAATAAACTAATTTCCTAAGACCTGCTATAGGTTAGTAAAGATAAACGGAAGACTTTCATTCTTCATTAAGGTATCTACATTAACTTACTGAGGAGGTAGAGTAAAATATTTTAACTGCCTTAACGAGCTTAGAAATTGTTGTGTGGCCACTTGAAGTAACTTAGAAAAATATTATTTAGCATATTATTATGGAATTTTGACAGGTTAGTAACTATCAAACATAAAGAAATGTTTACATTGTTAATAATTCTACATGTACAAAACTATTTACATCTATTCTTTTTTAAAAAAATTTTGAATGACTGAACTCAAATATGCAGAATAACCATGAGAGACCTAACTATTATGATGACATTTAGTATTGCATTATTGTTAGACTCAGACATTTTTATTTTCTTAAAGCCAAAAATAAAAAATTCTATCTAAATATTAAGGATTTTAACATCAAATCAATTGAAAATTGGCCTCCAGCTCCATTATTACAATTCAATACAGATTGTTTAAAAAACATTAGCATTCCCTTTAAATATGGCACTGTTTACTTTAAGGAATAAGTATTTGCAGGCTTATTGTGACTTCCCCATAAGTGCTTTCCTTGCAGCACCTAAGACATTGCTTTATACAGACTAAAAACTGAGTTGTCTTAAAAGATATATTAAATAATGAGCTGATTATGGATGACAGCTTATAAGCAGTTCAATTTTAGTTTTTCAGTTGTAAATTTTCTTTTCAAATCTCTAAGATTGCTTTATATACAGAGGTAGGTAATCAAAGGTAAGAAATCTTTATAACCTGCAGGGTAATGTGAGTCATGCAGATGCCTCACTTCTTCCTTCTGTGTTGTCCTCGATGATCAGGAGTTTTCTATTTTGTATATGAATGTTTCTATGAATGTTTCTATGCTGTACTCTTGGGCTGAAGTGATCCTCCCGCCTCAGCATCTCAGCATCCTGAGTAGCTGGGATGAGAGGTGTATGCTAACACGCCCGGTTAAACTTTGTTTGTTTTATTTTTTGCAGGAATGAGGTCTTGCTATGTTGTCCAGGTTAGTGTAGAACTCCTGGCCTCAAGTGATCCTCCTGTCTCAGGCTTCCAAGGTGCTGAGATTACAGGCATGGGCCACTGTGCCCTGCAAGATACTTAATATTAACTCACACACATTATGTTGTTTAAACATGGCTTATATGCTATGCTACATGAAACATTTAATCAAGCTCAAGTATTCCTCTATTATCAAATATGTGAATGGGTCCAATTTTTTTCCTGCTATGAATAGTGGTGAAAAGTCTTAATTTTGGGGTTAATTTTTGTTAATTTTCCTCAAAGTGAAATTAACAAGTCAGTGGGCATGAACCATTTTATTCATTATTCTTTTATCAATTATTATTTATTTCTTAATTTATGTCAGAAATCGTGTTCACTGCTGGGCATATGGTGGTGATTACTGAAAAATAAAAAAAAGGTTTTTGCCCTTAATTTTGTAGGTCTGGTCACACATGCCAGGTTGCTCTCCAGAGAGTGAACAATTTACAAAACACTCAACTATTCTCATTCCCTCCAACTTTACCAGCATTGGTTATAAAATTTTATTTCCTTTTTTCTAGTTTAATAACTATGTCATGGCACCTGAAAATTATTTTGATTAGCAATTGTTTAGTTGCAAGTAAAGTGTGCATTTCTTCAAAAATCATCAATTTATTCATCTTTTCTCTTTTGTTTTAATAGGATAATTGGTAAATTATTTTCCCTTTTATTAAATAGGAATTTCTCTTTTTTTCTCTAGTTTCTTAGAATTCTACTTTGAGTTTTAAATAGACAGTAATCAGACATAGTAGAAGAATAAAGTTTGACAATTCTAATAAATACCCTTCTTGGAATAGGAAATAGAATGAATTTAAAGACGTTAAAGCAATCATAATAAAGTTGGCTTAAATGATTAAAAATCTCCATGAGCACAGATAGCATTTTTGCTTATCCATGAATATATAACACTGATTTTTCAACAAACATAGCTAGAAGAAATAGAGCATAATAAGGTAATTAATGAGTCCTTTAGGAAACAAAGCTACATTAAACACATTTTTATTTACTTAAGAAAAAAAAACAACAAAAAAAAGAAAAAACCTCAAAGCAAAAGTGATCTTTATCAAATCATCATTGAATAGACTTCTTCTTCAGGAGCTTACAGAGATATTTTGAATTTAAAAAACCTCTTGGTCTGACAGTAACTTAAGCAGGTATCCTGATTCATTAACAACAATGTCACAGCTGCAGCACTAACATAGCCACCAAGCAACTTTAGATTGTTGGTTCAGCTGAGACAGCTCAGCTTGTAAATCAGATCTACCCTGGCTGGCTTTGATTGAGTCAGCGCCTCTCCTTCCTAGAGCTTCAAAGGCTTTCCTAGGAGTCTTTCCTATCAGTCATGGGCCCTTTGGCTTCCTCTCTCAGGAACTCTCCTCTGGTAGGTTTTGTTTTGTATTCTAAGGGAAAAGATTGAATATGGAAATTCTTTGGAGGGTGGGGGGTGCAAAACACCACACAAAAATAAGGAACAACAAAACTCACAAAACTTGGCCCGTAACAGAAGTTCTTTTTTTTTTTTAATTTTGGAAACCTGCAAAATGGCATTTGAGTTATTTCTTTTCTCCCTCAAGAGTTTCTTTTTCTGCTAACTTGTAGATTTCCTCACCCAATCTCTCTCTCTCCAGGGCCCAAACACATACACAGACACACAGACACACAGACACACACACACACCCCCACAGTTGATGTGTTGATGTGATGGTACTGAAACTGATACAATCTTTAAAAATAAATTCCTAGAACTTAATGAAATTACTGTTATTTGATCATTGGTTAATCCAAGATAAAGTCAAAAATCTATCTTCCTTCAATAGGAAACTTCATAAATGTATAAATTCTGTAAACCGGAAAGTGACTGAGGCAGGTCTTAATTGATTAGACGTTTCTTTAGCCAAGGTTGAGAGGACGTGCTTGGGAAAAAACACAAATCACAGGAGCACCTGTGACCTATGCTTTTTCCAAAGGGGATTTTGGGAACTGCAATATGTAAAGGGAAAGGAGCAAGCAGGAGGGGAAAAAAAGAAGGGAATTTAGGCAGTGAGGTTCTCATTAGCTTCAGTAAATCTACATTTTACATGTGAAAAGAGAGTAGAGGAAAAGTTAATTATGCGTTGTCATGCTCAGTAAATCTATATTTAACTTTTTAAAAATTTAAATAGGTTTATGGGGGACAGGTGGTGTTTGGTTACATGAATAAGTTCTTTTTTTTTTTTTTTTTTTTAAGCAGAGTCTCACTCTGTAGCCCCTGCTGGAGTGCAGTGGAGCGATGTTGGTGATCTGCCTCCCAGGTAAAGCAATTCTCGTGCCTCAGACTCCTGAATAGCTGGGACTACAGGCCTGTACCACCACACCCAGCTAGGTTTTGTATTTTTAGTAGAGATGGGGTGTTGCCATGGTGGCCAGGCTGGTCTCAAACTCCTGACCTCAAGTGATCCACCCGCCTTGGCCTCCCAAAGTGCTGGGATTACAGGCATGAATCACTGTGCCTGGCCCATGAATAAGTTCCTTAGTAGTGATTTCTGAGATTTTGGTGGACCCACCACCTGAGCAGTGCACACTGTACCTAATGTGTAGTCTTTTATCCCTCACCCCCTCATACCCTTTCTCCCGAGTCCCCAAAGTCCAGTGTATCATTCTTATGCCTTTACATCCTCATATCTTAGCTCCAGCTTAAGAGTGAGAACATAACGATGTTTGGTTTTTCACTCCTGAGTTACTTCACTTAGAATAATGGTCTCCAATTCCATCCTGGTTGCTGCAAATGCTATTATTTCATTCCTTTTTATGGCTGAGTAATATTACATAATATATATATATACCACATTTTCTTTGTCCAGTCATTGATGATTGATGGGCATTTGGGCTGGTTCTGTATTCTTGCAATTGTGAATTGTGCTGCTATAAACGTGTGTGTAAGTATCTTTATCCTATAATGACTTCTCTTCCTCTGGGTGGATACCCAGTAGTGGGATTGCTGGATCAAATGGTAGATCTACTTTTAGTTCTTTAAGGAATATCCACACTGTTTTCCATAGTGGTTGTACTAGTTTACGTTCCCACCAACAGTATGAAAGTGTTCCCATTTCACCACATCCATGCCAACATCTATTATTTTTTGATTATGGCCATTCTTGCAGGAGTAAAGTGGTATTTATTGCACTGTGGTTTTGCTTTGCATTTCCCTGATAATTACTGATGTTGAGCATTTTTTCATGTTTGTTGGCCATTTGTATATCTTCTTTTGAGAATTGTCTATTCATGTCCTTAGCCCACTTTCTGATGAAATTTTTTTTTTTTCTTGCTGATTTGAGTTCTTTGTAGATTCTGGATATTAGTCTATTCTTGGAAGTATAGCTTGAGACAGTTTTCTCCCAATCTATGGATTGTCTGTTTGCTCTGCTGATTTATTTCTTTTGCTGTGCAGAAACTTTTTAGTTTAAGTAAGTCCCATCTATTTATCTTTGTTTTTGTTGCATTTGCTTTTGGGTTCTTGGTCATGAAGTCTTTGCCTAAGCCAATATCTAGAAGAGTTTTTCTGATGTCATCTTCTAGAATTTTTATGGTTTCAGGTCTTAGATTTAAGTCTTTGATCAATCTTGAGTTGATTTTTGTATAAGGTGATAGATGAAGATCCAGTTTCATTCTTCTACATGTGGCTTGCCAATTATCCCAGAACCGTTTGTTGAAGAGGGTGTCATTTCCCCACTTTATATTTTTGTTTGCTTTGTTGAAAATCAGTTGGCTGTAAGTATTTGGCTTTATTTCTGGGTTTTCTATTTTGTTCCATTGGTCTATATGCCTATTTTTATACCAGTATCATGCCGTTTTGACGATTATGGCCTTATAGTATAGTTTGAAGTCGGGTAATGTGGTGCCTCCAGATTTGTTCTTCTTGCTTAGTCTTGCTTTGGCTATGTGGGTTCCTTTTTCATTCCATATGCATTTTAGGATTGTTTTTTCTAGGTCTTTGAATAATGATGATGACATTTTGATGGGAATTGCATTTAATTTGTAAATTGCTTTTGACAGTATGGTCGTTTGCACAATATTGCTTCTACGCATCCATGATCATGGGATGTGTTTCCATTTGTTTGTGTTGTCTGTGATTCCTTTCAGCAGTGTTTTGTAGTTTTCTTTCTAGAGCTGTTTCACCTCCTTAGTTAGGTGTATTCCTAACTATTTTATTCTTTTGCAGCAATTGTAAAAGGAGTTGAGTTCTTGATTTGATTTTCAGCTTGGTCACTGAGTTGGATCAGGCTGATTTTATTGATTTGGGCCCACCAAGTAGGGACTTTGCATTTAATGTTGCAGTTCAGAGAGTTAAAAAAGGTTCTAATAATTTATTTGCTTGGTTAGCTGAAATATAGATTAAAAGAAGGCTCTCTATGAGGGAGCTGGAAATGCCTGATCTCTCTTGGTTTAATGTAGAGGAAAGGATCCAAAGGCTTAGGGAGATTGGGATGGTGGAGTGGGTTATTCACTTTATACCTACTCATCCCAGCCGAGAGGGTCCAGAATATATATCCCTGGCCAATGGCTTGCAAAATAGATTCATGAGGATAGCATCTGCATCTTTGAAGAGCCCTGTAATTGCTCTTCTCTGTATGTCAGATCTAACAGTGGGAACTGCAGTCACTCAACTACAAAATTTACATACAATGGGAATCATTAGATCCTGAGGTGGCAGGGGCCAAGTGGCAGCACTCAACTGTCAAAGGCAAGGTGGGCGTAGCTACCATAATGGACAGCAGAGGTAAAGCAGCAATCAGAATAGTCTGACTCATGTAGAGCTCTGGCATTGGGTAATTAATCATGGTGTTCCTAGAAGTGAAATTGATAGGAAGCCTACTGCATTTCTACTTAAATTATACAAACAGAAAACTTCTAGGTCGAATGGACAAAAGACTAATTTGAGTTATAAAAACAGAGGATCATGGCCCCTCAATCAACTTCCAGACTTGAGCCAGTTTACAGACCAAGAACCCCTTGAATAAAGGGGAGGGTGGGTCCCTTTGAGGAAGGACCCCACTACATTACTGACAATTTATACAGTGAATCTTTCTCCCATACTTCCTCAAGGGGACCTCCAGCCTTTTACCATGGTAACTGTGCATTGGGGAAAGGGAAATGATCAGATATTTTGGAGACTACTGGACACAGGCTCTGCTGACATTGATTCCAGGGGATCCAAAACATCCTCGTGGTCCTCCAGTTAAAGTAGGGGTTTATGGAGGTCAGGTAATTAATAGAGTTTGAGCTCAGATCTGACTTACAGGGGGTCCAGTGGATCATTTACCCAGTGCCAGAATGCATAATTGGCATAGACATACTTAGCAGCTGGCAGAACCCCCGCTTTGGCTCCTTGACTAGTATGGTGAGGGCTATTATGGTGGGAAAGGCCAAATGGAAGCCTTTAGAGCTACCTCTACCTAGACAAATAGTAAATCAAAAACAATATCACATCCCTGGAGAGATTGCGGAGATTAGTACCACCATCAAGGACTTGAAAGATGCAGGGTGGTGAAACCCATCACATCCCTATTCAACTATCCCATTTGGCCTATGCAGAAGACAAATAGATCTTGGAGAATGACAGTGGATTATTATAAGCTTAACCAAGTAGTGACTCCAATTGGAGCTGCTGTACCAGATGTGGTTTCACTGCTTGAGCAAATTAACACATCTCCTGGTACCTGGTATGCAGCCACTGACTTGGCATATGCCTTTTTCTCCATTCCTTTCCATAAGGCCCACCAGAAACAATTTGTCTTCAGCTGGAAAGGCCAGCAATAAACCTTTACTCTCCTACCTCAGGGGTATATTAACTCTCTGGCTTTGTGTCACAATTTTATTTGGAGAGAACTTAATCGCTTTTCACTTCTGCAAGATGTCCCACTGGTCCGTTACATTGACAACATTATGCTGATTGGATCCAGTGAGTAAGAAGTAGCAAACACAATGGACTTATTGGTGAGATATTTGTGTGCCAGAGGATGGGAAATAAATCTGACTAAAATTCGGGGAATTTCTACCTCAGTAAAATTTCTAGGGGTCCAGTGGTGTGGGGCCTGTCGAGATATTCCTTCTAAGGTAAAGGATAAGTTATTGCATTTGGCCCTTCCTACAACCGAGAAAGAGACACAATGCCTAGTGGGCCTATTTGGATTTTGGAGGCAACACATTCATCATTTGGGTGTGTTACACTGGCCTATTTATTGAGTGACCTGAAAGGCTGCCAGTTTTGAGTGGGGTCCAGAACAGGAGAAGGCTCTGCAACAGGTCCAGGCTGCTGTGCCACTTGGGCTGTAGGACCCAGCAGATCCAATGGTGCTCGAGGTGTCAGTGGCAGATAGGGATGCTGTTTGGAGCATTTGGCAGGCTCTTATAGATGAATCACAGCAGAGGCCTCTAGGATTTTGGAGCAAGTCTCTACCATCTTCTGCAGATAACTACTCTCCTTTTGAGAGACAGCTCTTGGCCTATTACTGGGCTTTGGTGGAAACTGAACGTTCAACTATGGGTCATCAAGTCACCATGCTACCTGAACTGCCTGTCATGAACTGGGTGCTTTCTGACCCATCTAGCCATAAAGTGAGTCATGCAGAGCAGCATTCCATCATCAAGTGGAAGTGGTAGATGTGTGATCTGGCTCGAGCAGGTCCAGAAGGCACAAGTAAGTTACATGAGGAAGTGGCTCAAATGGCCATGGCCTCCACTCCTGCCACCCTGCATTCTCTCCCCCAGCCTTCACCAATGGCCTTATGGGGAGTTCCCTATGATCAGTTGACAGAGGAAGAGAAGAGTAGGGCCTGGTTCGCAAATGGTTCTGCATGATATGCAGGCACCACCCAAAAGTGGAGAGCTGCAGCACCGCAGCCCCTTTCTAGGACATCCCTGAAGGACAGCAATGAAGGGAAATCTTCCCAGTGGGCAGAACTTCGAGCAGTGCACCTGGTTGTGCACTTTGCATGGAAGGAGAAATGGCCAGATGTGTGATTATATACTGATTCATGGACTGTAGCCAATGGTTTGGCTGGATGGTCAGGGACTGGGAAGAAGCATGATTGGAAAATTGGTGACAAAGAAATTTGGAGAAGAGGTATGTGGATGGACCTCTCTGAGTGGTCAAAAACTGAAGATATTTGTGTCCCATGTGAGTGCTCACCAACGAGTGACCTCAGCAGAGGAGGAGTTTAATAATCAAGTGGATAGGATGACCCGTTCTATGGACACCACTCAGCCTCTTTACCCAACCACCCCTGTCATCGCCCAATGGGCTCATGAATAAAGTGGCCATGGTGGCAGGGAGGGAGGTTACTCATGGGCTCAGCAACATAGACTTCCACTCACCAAGGCTGACCTGGCTATAGCCACTGCTGAGTGCCCAATTTGCCAGTAGTAGAGACCAACACTGCCCTTGATATAGCACCATTTCTTGGGGTGATCAGCCAGCTACCTGGTGGCAAGTTGATTATATTGGACCTCTTCCATTATGGAAAGGGCAGAGACTTCTCCTCACTGGAATAGACACTTACTCTGGATATGGGTTTGCCTATCCTGCACGCAGTGTTTCTGCCAAGACTACCATCCTGGACTCATGGAATGCCTTATCCACCATCATAGTATTCCACACAGCATTGCCACTGACCAAGGCACTCACTTTACAGCTAAAGGCCGTGCGTGGTGGCTCACACCTGTAATCCCAGCACTTTGTGAGGCCGAGGTGGGCAGATCACGAGGTCAGGAGATCGAGACCATCCTGGCCAACATGGTGAAACCCCATCTCTACTAAAAATATAAAGATTAGCTGGGTGTGGTGACGCATGCCTGTAATCCCAGCAACTTGAGAGGCTGAGGCAGGAGAATCACTTGACCAAGGGAGTTGGAGGTTGCAGTTAGCTGAGATTGCGCCACAGCACTCCAGTCTGGCGGCAGAGTGAGACTCTGTCTCAAAAAAAAAAAAAGAAAAAAGAAAAAAAAGAAAAGTGCAGCAGTGGGTTCTTGCTCATGGTATTCACTGGTCTTACCATGTTCCCCATCATCCTGAAGCAGCTGGATTGATAGAATGGTGGAATGGCCTTTTGAAGTCACAATTACAACCCCAACTGGGTGACAATACTTTGCAGGGCTGGGGCAAAGTTCTCCAGAAGGCCATGTATGTTCTGAATCAGCGTCCAATATACGGTACTCTTTCTCCCATAGTCAGGATTCACCGATCCGTGAATCAAGGGTGGAAATGGAAGTGGCACCATTCACTATCACCCCTAGTGATCCACTAGTAAAATTTTTGCTTCCTGTTCCCATGACATTATGTTCTGCTGGCCTAGAGGTCTTACTTCCAGAGGGAGGAACACTGCCACCAGGAGACACAACCATGATTCATTAAACTGGAGATTAAGATTGCCACCTGGACACTTTGGGCTCCTTCTACCTTTAAGTCAACAGGCTAAGGAGGGATTTACAATGTTGGCTGGGGTGATTGACCCAGGCTATGAAGACAAAATCAGTCTAGTACTCCACAATGGTGGTAAGGAAGAGTACACATGAAATACGGGAGATCCATTAGGGCATCTCTTAGTATTACCATGCCCTATGATTAAGGTTAATGGAAAACTACAACAGCTCAATCCAGGCAGGACTATGAATGGTTCAGACCCTTCAGGAATGAAGTTTTGGGTCACTCCACCAAGCAAAAAAAAAAAAAACCATGACCTGCTGAGGTGCTTGCTGGAGGCAAAGGGAATACAGAATGGGTAATAGAAGAAGGTAGTCATCAATACCAGATATGACCAGGTGACCAGCTGCAGAAACGAGGACTATAACTGTCATGAGTATTTCCTCCCTCTTTTGTTAAAAACATTTGTGCATGTATACACTTGTACTAAGAAAATATCTTCATTTTATTTCCTTTTCCTTTATCATGTGACATAAGATTTATTGACTTCATATCAGCATTTAAGTATTGTTAACTTTTTAAAATAGTATTTGGGTTGGGGATTGATGCATTTCCAGTTTTATGAAGGATAGTTGTATTATGTTAGGTGTAATTACGACCTCATTATTGTCTTTATTTGAAGATTATGTATGATCTCAGGAGATGCGTATGGGTTCAAGCTGACAAGGGGTGGACTTGTGATGGTTAATAACTGAGTGTCAACTTGATTGGATTGAAGGATACAAAGTATTAATCCTGGGCATGTCTGTGAGGGTGTTGCCAAAAGAGGTTAACATTTGAGTCAGTGGGCTGAAGAAGGCAGATCTGCCCTTAATCTGGTGGGCACAATCTAATCAGCTTCAAGCAAATGTAAAGTAGGTAGAAAATTGTGAAAAAGGCAAGATGTGCTTAGCCTCCCGGCCTACATCTTCCATGCTGGATGCTTCTTGCCCTTGAACATCAGACTTCAAATTCTCCAGTTTTGGGACTCAGACTGGCTCTCCTTGCTGCTCAGCTTGATATATATATAGAGAGAGAGCCAATGATTTGCTCGCAGGTATATATATATATATATATATATATATATATATAAAACATATGTTATATATATATATAAAATATGTTATATATATATAACATATGTTATATATATATAAAATATGTTATATATATATATAAAATATGTTATATATATCATAGATATATATTATATATTATATATAATAGTTATATATAATATATATCATAGATATATATAATATATATATCTCCTATTAGTTTTGTCCCTCTAAGAGAATCCTGACTAATACAATGTTACTAGAACAACGGGGGTTATAAAGTAATGAATCGGTTTCTTTGCTCTGTTTACTCATTCAATGTTTCAGATGCATTTATTTAGTGATTTACTGCTAGGATTTGTGAGAAAGACAAAATATTTGATATCTCTCTCTCTGTTACAGTCAAGTTGAGGAACACAAGACAGAAATCCATGGAATAACTTCAGAAAGATTCCAAGTCAAATACCTGATAGTCAAGAATGGGAAGAATTCTTAAGTGTGGTAGGAATTCAAAGTAAGAGAAAGGTGAAGAGGAGCATAGGTTATCTGGGCCTGGCAAGACTTCTTCAGGGAGACTTCCAGGGAATAAAGAACTCTAAGCAGCGAAGCTGTGTCAGGCATTGTACTCACTGTTAAACACATATTAGGAACTGGATTAGAAAAGATAATAAATGTGTAGGCTTGTCCAAAGGTCTCGTATGACCTTTAGTTAGTTCACTGATGTTTCCATTTGCTGTACTGTACTCTAGAGACTTTAACTGATTCCATGATGCTTCCCTAGGTGGCAAATGTATGACCTTATGAGTGTTTAGGTATCTTGAGATACTGCCTCACTGAATTCTTCTTGATTATGTAATTAATCTCCTTATACTTGTCAGTAACTTTTTTGGGTGGAGATAAAAGAAAGGCAAAAAATGTTTATTGTATCAGGGCTTGTGCTAGAATTTCCAGAATGTGTAGAAAATAATACTGTAATCTAACCAAGAAACCACAACGGTCCTCTTGACACACCCAATATTCATGATTCTCACTGAAAAGAGATTGTTTTTTCTAGTCCTAGCTATCAAGGAGAGAAATTATATGGCCTAGTCATTTAACTATTGCATAAAGGACCAACTCACAGAACGTAATAAAACAATGTAATAAATCAAGGAGAGTTTTAGGGCTGTGTTTTGCATTGAAAAATGAATATGAATAAGTTTAAGCAAGGTTCTTCTCCACTAGACTTTTAAAAAACGAATAATAGAACTTCCTTGTAGTTTGTCATGAATACAAGTTATATACAAATGTCAGAAGAGGAGAAAAGCAAGTATGTAATTCAAGTTTTAGTATTACTTTTTAAAGTATATGACTTGTCAGGATAGGACAGACCAAAATATTGAGTTACCAGTTCCATAAAATGAGAATACTATAGTTTTCTGATGTGCAAAATACCAGTAGATACTTAAAGAAAGAGGAAAAAGATAATGATACCGCTAGGTCTTTAAAAGTAAAATGGACTCATTTCCTAAGATTAGGAGGAGTCACATAAGAAGGCAAAGTTCATTGCGTGCTGTAAGCTTTCCATATTTCAACCCTAAGATATTTTATTCTTAGCCCATATGCAAAAATGCGCTGTCATTTATGATCTTCAACAGTATAGGAATGGAATGGAAACAATGTAATTGGGATCTCTCTGTTACTTGTAAATTACTGGTATGCCAGCCAATGATTTGCTCTCAGCTGGGAATAAAATTCTTGGAACTGAAATCCGTACATCACTCCTCCTCTATTTCCACTTTCAGGGTTGTGTCATTCTCAATTCTTCCTATCTTTGTCAGAGAACACTCTAAACCCTGAAGCATCTGATAGTTTAGTGAGGCTTATTAAAATGTCTAGACCCACCTAAAAAAGCCAAAGTATTGCATAAGTTGGCAGTTTATATGCTTTCTTCTACCCTTCTCAGTTTTTCATGCATATAAATATACCCTTCCAGATTGCAAGTCTTCTGGGGGCAGAGACTATATTTCTTTTTACTTACTTCCCTCCTTCTTGCCATCAGTGTGGCACTTGCTCTTTTATCCTTCTCCACAATGTCCTCCCTAATTCAGAAGATACAGATTATTCTTAATATTCACTGCAAAACTCTTGAGGAATTAAATTGACAATTTCTCTAACTATAGAAAGGAAAAATCTGTACCAACAAATTTGCTGGTACATCTGCACTCTTTGGTTCATTCGTTGTGCATTTGCATTTTGTGAACTTTTTTTCCTCACGGAGGAAGACAAACTACAAATGAAAGGGTAAAGCTGAGGAATATTAGGGCTCATAGCTGTAGGCTACCCCTAAACCTTTGTGGGAAGGATTTTGCAGGCAAGTCAGGTAGAATCCTGAGGGAGCAATTTCAGGGCAGAGAAAGGCAAAATGAATCCCATTCAGGTGAACAGAGAAATGTTTATTCATTAACATGTAAGTTAGGGGGAAGAGGAAGTAGAAGAGGCTAGAGACCTCTGAAGAAAGGAAATAGTTATAGATTCCTAGAAAGATATATTGTAGGAGAATCTGAAGTTGAAAGTACAAGCCGAGGGCATTGTATTGCTTCCTCTTGAGGAAAAGAGGCCTAAGGTTCAATTCATTTGTTTTGGACTAATAACAAAAAGGCTCCCAGAGCAACCCTGTGATTTTAAATATAAAGAAAACAAGTCCATGGAAGGAAAATCGAGCTACAGTATGTGACCACTGGTGTCCTAAGTAACATTAAATTACAAATCAATGAGTGACTTGAAAGGAGATTAAAATTTGTGTTTGTTGGTCTATTTTTAAGCCTTTCTTTTATAAGGCTAGGAAATAAGGTTATACAAAGTTTAGCTCGCTTTTTGTAAGATAATCTAAAAGCACCTTTTCCACCTTCTGTTCTCAGAATTGGCAGTGAAAAATTGTTCTGATCACAGTTTCTTGAAGTATAATTACTTTGTCAAAAGAAAATAAAATTAGAACTATTTTAAAAAGTGCTTTAATTGTATTTAAAGATTTGATAATTTGTTCATGTATAAAACGTTCTGTTAATTTAGCAACAAGCAGCAGTAGTGAAGTCAGGAAATGATCTGACAGTTTTTCTCTTTCCTGTTTTAAAAATACCATCTATTCTACCCTTTTGTCTATTCAAAGCGACATAGTCAATTTCAGCAGTGGATTGAATTAAATGCTTGACACAGCTTTATGAGCATCAGGTCCATTTATTTCCTCTGTCCCACTGCATTTTTTTCACACATCTCATACCATAACTGAGGCAGAATAACAACAATATGTCCAATACACCCCTTCAGATCTCTTCATTCATAAACTCAATTAGCATAAATCTGTTTCTTCTTTCTCATCCTTGCCCTGAAAACTCTGGAAATTCCCTCCTTTCTTCTACTATTCTTATTTATCACTTAAAAAATCTCTTCTATTTGGCAGCAGTTTGATAGTTTGAATTCCCCCATGAAAGGTAAGTTCGTGTCATATTGCCAACATGCAGATTTGGATCAATAAATCAAAGCTTTTTGGAATAAAATATTTCTTAGAAGTGAAAGGGGCTCCTTATTCACAATCCATAAAACTACATAAAATACTGGGTTTCAAAAAAACTCAGAGACACCAAGTTTTAGAATTGGGTAGAAAACAAATGTAAAGAGTTAATTATTCTTGGTTCATATCATCTAAGATTAGAATTGTTAGCACCAAAAGAAATAGACGACTTTCTCCTCTTTTTCTATTGAGTGTGCTCTTCCTAGTCCCCACCTTTGTCCTCTCTGGGACTTGGGCAATAGATGAGGGCTGGATCTAAGAACGTGTGCTCTTTGGGAGGGACTTACAGGACTGGTAAGAAGTGGAGGCACTGAAGTAAGATGCCTGGACCTTGAATCTCAGTTCACTTACAGTTTATTTAGCCTCACCAAACTTCACTTTCTCTAACATATAACGTAAGAGTAATGATAGTACCTATCTTTTTTGGTTGTTGTGAAGCATTTTGTAGTAGTCCGTTCTCACACCGCTAATAAAGACATACCTGAAACTGGGTAATTTATAAAGGAAAAAGGTTTAATTGACTCACAGTTCAGCATGGCTGGAGAGGTCTTAGGAAACTTGCAATCATGGTGAAAGGGGAAGCAAACATGTCCTTCTTCATTTAGTGGCAGGAAAAAAAGTGTCAAGCAAAAAAGGAAAAAGCCCCTTATAAAACCATCAGATCTAATGAGAACTCGTTGTCACAAGAACAGCGTGAGGCCCTGCTGGGTCCCCACTACACATGAGAATTATGGGAACTACAATTCAAGATGAGATTTAGGCAGGGACACAGCCAAACCATATCACATTTAGAGTTTCTAGTTATTACTGTTACCATGAGCGATTAAATACTGCCTAGCCAAATGTTTCAAACATATGAGGAACTAAGATGGATCCTCTGGGACTGGAATATTTTCTCCTAGAATTCAACTTCTGATTAATTGATAGTGACGCTTAGTTAAAATCACATAAATTTCTAGTTAATTTTATTCTCCTCTCTCCCTTCAACCACTTTCTAATTGAAATAAATTCTGCAATGGTCATTTTCTAATTTCACACTTGAAGTGAAAATATGTATATGAATTATTTGGATAAAATACAATTTTCTTATTACTGAATTTTGTTGTGTGATCTGAATTACTAGTTGAGGTCAGAGTATCTGGAAGACCACAAAAATATATGTGAAGAATATAAATTTCAATCTCTCATTCTAAGTCTTTTTATCACCATGGTCTGATATTGATTTGCAGAAGTGGAATGGATGGAAAAAAGAATGACAGTCCATTTAGATAATTAAAATAATTGAGCAGAAGAAAGAAATTCAATGTTGGCTTCAGTTGCAATGCAGTAATGAATTCTCATTGTTTAGCATGAAATTGACAAAGAATAGGATGTTCTTCCTATAGTGTTTTATTTCATCTTAAACATTGGCATTTAAGTCATTTATTGACCATACTTCTCATATTCTTCAGGTTTAAAAAATTTAAATTGCAAAATAGATTCAGTTTTGTACCAAATTATAATGACACCAAGTACATTTATGAATAACTAAAAGTATTTGTTTTATCTTATTGAATAATGGTAGATCTTTGAAAGTCTGTTTGAATTATTTTCATCTGATTTCTAAATATGAATATTCTAACCAGGTAACATTGTAGAAACTGCACTTTAGTTTCTTAAGGGGACATGATACCCTCACCTGGCATTGAAAGCAGACTCCTTAGAAATAAATGAAAATGCTTTCCTATGTAACTATGTAAGCTTCCAAATGATGCAGACCAGTGAATTGATTATGGGGATGACCTTGAATAGGAAAAACTAAAAATGAATGCTTAGATATAATCCTTTTTGGAATAAAGAATATTCATAGAAGTAGGTTTGACTCAACACCTTCAGCTTTGGCTAAAGTGACAGTGTTTGGCCAAAGTGACAGAAAGTATGCAAACTGGAATTATAAATGGTTTTTAAAAAGCCACAAAAGCATAGGATAACTTCATGTTTGACCATTCTGACTGTTGACAGAGCTCTCATGATTGACTGGGATTGTCAGTTTTATGGGACTAGCTAAATACTCATTGTTGACTGAAGGGAAGCAGTACATTGGTAAACATTCCAGGACCAAAAAGTTAATAATTTTGACTTGGTTTGAATTCCCAGAGGGAACATGGAACTGTTTTTCTTTATTTGAATCTGCAGCCTTAAGCTGAAGAAATGGAGCCTGCTGCAGTATATGTGTTATTAAATGCTATATCTTGCCTCAGACCACAATGTGACTATCATTTAAAGCTAACTATATGCTACATCTCATTGGGAAAATAACTTGTATAAGTCCTTAAGCAATCTCTAAAGGCAGTGGTTGTGTATAGACCATATGTCTTGCTAGTTGGGTTGAACAGAAGCAATATTTGCTATAATATCTTTTTTTTCTTTTTCTTTTTTGGTCAAAACCTAAGGGCAGACAATTTTTAAAAATGTTTTTCTTCTCTGACAGCAACTGCTCAATGAACTGAAAAATCATTTTCATAGTAGTTCAGAATTATAGTATTTATTTCAAATTTAGCAAACATTTATTGGGGTCCTACACTATACCAAGCACATTGTTAAATACTTGGGGCTATAAAAGTGAATATGGCTCAGTCCAGTCTTAAAGGAGTTAAGAATATATGGGTGATATGGACTTCTAAAAACAAAACAAAAACAAACATGCTAAGCATAAGGTGGTTTGCTAGACTAAAGTAAACATTAAAGATGGAGGCTTGACTTAGTTGAGATAGATTTTTCTGCAGGCAGAGAAAGAGGAAAGGGGATTCCTATTCTTGAGGTATACAACGTGCCAAGGTATAGAGGTGTGACAGTTCATACCGCCAATAGGAAACAACGTGTAGTCCAACATGTAGCAAATTATAACGTAGCCTGTTCACCACTTTTGATACAATCCAAGGGCTTGGTCATCTTCACTGACTGCTTCCTACCTTTTCTTTTATGAGTCCTATAGTGTGTCGCCTGTATAACCCCCTATATATTTAGAGGATGTAGAACTATAATCACTGAATGCTGGATTAGAAATTGATCTATGGTGTCACTCAGTTTTTTTGCTGGGATGCACCATTTGAGTTTATAAATGTTACAGCATTCATTAAAAACCTTGGAATTGAAGCTGCTGTTAATTTTTTCTAGTCAAAAAACTTCACTGGAGGATTGATTATGAAGTTGGGCTAAAGATTAAATCAGAGCCTTACTTTGGAGCACTGACTGAAAAGTAGTGTAAGATTTCTGGCAGATAGCTTCAGCATGGAGGTTGAGCTTTTTTTTATCTGTGTACCTTCCAAATATTGTGGTTCTTAGATCACAAACATAACCCATATTGTACCTATCAGAGAGCACGTGTTCAACAAATATTTGAGAAAAGTATGAAGGGATATAGGAGAACACAGCATCTCCACTGGATCAGATAAAGCCACAAATCTCTGCTGAGACTGTTTACATTTTACAATGGAGATAAATGTCATGATCCTGAGTCCCTGTTCCGGAATAATAAAATATCCTCCCAGGCAGAATTTGAAATCCAACACTAAATTCTGGTCTAGGGTGTGGAGTAGAGAGAGCTAACAATTCTGGTCTAGGGTGTGGAGTAGAGAGAGAGTAGAGAAAAGTTTTTAAGGAGTTGTTAGAAGTAGCTTGTGGTATAGTCCAATAATTGTTGATTATGAAAGTCACCAGCTTTTAGTTCCTGCTTGTGATTTTAATTAGTTTTAATGAATGTAAATCATGTGGTCCTCTACTTACCTGCTCAAGTTCATTACTCACTAGGTTATCTGCAGCTGGTTGTTTCAGGATTAACTGTCATGCTTAGAAAGAAGAGCTCTTGTTATTCCCAAAGCCTTAAGCAAGGGTGATTTGGGGAATGAAAGTTAGTCCACTCAGAGCCATGTGGCTTCAGTGCTTTGCTTGTATGTGGGGACCCCATAGGTGATGTGAGAGAAGACACATAGATGCTAAGTAGGCATAGACCCTGGATTTCATATGCAAAATAAACCCCAGAAATGCTTTACTAATATTTGATTTATTAGTATGTCAATGAGTACTTATTGGTTATAATTATTATTAAATTGGACTTTATTTTAAAAATTTAGGGGAGAGATGTAGGGTTTGAATTCAGTGTAACATATTGTGAGATTAGGTCCTGTTGTACTTTTGAATCACCTGGAGAGCTTTGAAAAATCCTAAATCCAGACCTCAACCTGGATCAGATTATAACTTCTAGGATTTCTGGTTTAGCAAGTCTGGTCTAGCAAGGCTGGGTCTCACTCATAATTTTTTGTTTAAAATTATATATGTCTTAAAGAAAAGTTGTAAGAACTTAAGTATAACTGCTACCTACTTTCATCCATTTTTAAGGTTTTGTCACATTTGCTTTATCATTTTCTCTTTTTATGTATCTTGATTTTTTTTTTCTGAAATGTATGAAAGTAGACTGCATACAATATGCCTCTTTACCTAATGATTATTCAGTGTATATTTCCTAAGAATTAGAATGTTCTTTTACATAGCCAAATTACAATGATCAAATTCAGGAAAATTAATGAACATAGTTTTTAAATTAGTAGACTTTATTCTTTCTTATTATGGCAAAAAGTATTGTATCAATATACAATACCTTAATCTGCAAACCAAATTCTAATTTTGTCAACTGACCCAATAAGTGTCTGTGATGTTTAATTTATGTGTCAGCTTGACTGGGCCAGGGGGTGCCCAGATACTTGTTCAGACATTCTGAGTATTTCTATTAGAGTGTTTTGGGATGAGATTAACATTTAAATCAGGAGACCTAGTACAGCAGATTGCCTTCCATAATGTGGGTGACACCATCCAGTCAGTTGAAGGCCTGAATAGATCAAAAAGGCTGTTAACCCTCCCTCCCAGGTAAGAGATAATTCATCGTGTCTGATGGTCTCTGAAATGGAATATTGACTTTTTCCTGCCATTAGATTAGAACTGAAACATTGGCTCTTCCTGGATCTTGAGTCTGCTGGCCTTCAGACTAGAGCTACACTGTTGGCTCTCCTAGTTCTGCAGCTCGGTGACTACTTGTACTCTGCAGATCTTGGGACTTGCCAGCCTCCATTATTTCTATACAGGAACAGATTTATTATAAAGGATTGCCTACTGGTTCTTCTCTGGAGAACACTGACTGTACATATTCCTCCACAGGTGGTTGTTGTTGTTGTTGTTGTTTTTTCCCCCCAGCACAGGATCCAGTCCAGGATTGTAGGCTGCGTTTAGATCCATATGTCTTTAGTCTTCTTTAAACTGGAACAGTTCCTCAGCCTTTCTTTGTCTTTCACATCACTGACAATTTTTTTGAAGAACACAGGACAGTTATTTTACAGAATGTCTTTCTACTTGGGTATCTCTGATATTTCTTTATGATTACATTCAGGTTATGTATTTTTGGTGGAATACGTCATATGAGCTGTAATTTTTTCTCCTATCCAGAAGCACATTTTATTGGTGACATTAATTTTGATCTCTTGGTTAAGTTGTTGCCAGTCTTCCCACTGTACTGTTATTCCCATAATTTTGTTTTGGAGCTAAGAAGTAATTTGTGGGAAGATACCTTAAAATTTTTGTTCTTTTTAAAGTTTTCACCACTAGAATTAGCACCCACTGATGATTCTTGCCTAAGTCAATTTTTACAAGGTTGGTTGTAAAATAGTGATTTTTCTAACTCGAAAGCTTTCCTTTCTTTATTAATTGACATTCTACTATAAGAAAGTTTCTTACTTTCCCATTTATTTGGCTATTTATTATCAATAAAGATCCAGGGATTCTTATTCAACTCAATGAGTTATAATGTATCACTCTTCATATTTATTTTGATAATAAAATTATTCTAGATTTGACCAGTGAGAGTCCCTTCAAGTTGGCTTCTATATCTTCTTGTTATTCTCTTATACTTTTTAGCACTTATTTTTATTCTGGAACATGAAGATGTTTCTGATTCATTTCATACCTTCCATGTCCCAGCCCTAGGATTTAACCATTTCTCCAAGGACCCCTGGTTCCTTTTAGTGGGGAAAGATATTTGGAAACCAAGGTCTGGGTGATATTGTATTTTATTAATAAAGTCAATCATTAGAGTGAGCATAGTAATGTATGATTATGGGAGCAGATATTGTGAAAACTAGAAATTTGGAATAAAGTTGCTCATCAATTACTTAAACCAAAAAGGATGAACGCATTTAATTAAGAAAATACATAGTTAAATTTATGATAGTTGATTTTCAGTTTTTTTAAAAAGCATTATTAGAGTCAAGAAAAAGGAAACAATATTTTATAATCTATTATTTTTTTTTTTAACCAGTAAGCAGTGTTGTTTTTGTTACAAAAAACTGCCACAGCCTCATGCTTCTGCAAAATGAATGACACTGTTTAGGTCTAAATCAGTTGCGAAATGACCAAATTGTGGCAGTGACAAAATAGACTTGACATATAGCTACGTTGCAGATATGTATTTGAGAAATAGGGTATTGATGCAATCGATGAGTTTAAGAAACAACAGCTGATTCAGAAAGGAAGACATGGGCGATGGACAGGTCAGATCTGTGCTGTGGCTGAATCCTGAGGAAGTAGCAAAATATTACACTCCAAAGCAGGAAGAAAGTTAACAGAGATAACCACTGAAAAGTGAAATGTGGAAATCAAAAGCTCTGTCTAGAAAAATTTAAAAAATGGTGAATTAAAACATATAAAAAACAAAAGTAAGTTGCTCGACTAAGTCTGAAAACAATGTGTTGTTGTGAGAACACATACCTAAGTAGCCTCACAATACTAGGAATGAAGTTATTAATAAGTCTAACACATTTTCTTTGAGATACAGAAAACTTATTTATAAAACTTATATTAACACATATAGTAATGAAATTTATTAAGCCATATTGCCCCTAATGGCAGGATGTGGGATGGTGGTGGGTGTTACAGGCAGAGGGTTGGCTAATGATGTCACTTGCAAATATTCAGGGGCTTTACCATGTGGAAGAAGGTATTTTCAGTTTTGATGCTAAACAGGAAGTAACATTTCTGGCAAAAAGAGTAAAAATACTATGATATTGTCAAAATATGAAGAATACTGATGTTTATCATAGCAGAGAGAACAAAGACCCAACGTATGAGGTTACTTGGAGAAAGGAAGGTCACTGACTCATTCAGACTTTTCCTTTAGCAAGTAGAGGACGAAGTCAGTGTCTCACAGAACATGATGGAGGAAAACAAAGTAAGAATCAGTGGTTAATACCTAGTGCTTAATGATTTTACTGTAAGCAGTGCATGAGTGACAATGAAACATTTTGTGCAATATGCTAGAAATATCAAAATAGGACTTACATAGGGTACACATGATCACCAGACTTGAAAGAAGAGGACTATAGAACTGAGCAGAGAATACAATATTTTTGTGATGACTGTGACTGAGAGGCCTCCTCAATTCCTTAGTGAACAGAAATTGGAAGTTGCCATCAGAACTTTGTATGTCCTGTTTGCACTTATAGATAATAAAATGTGTTTAATTATTAATATACAAGGGGGTTGAAGAGTTTGGTTGATGGATTTCACCCTAGAAACCACAACTGTCACCTATGGGAAGCTGTTTGGTACAGGCAGACTTTCACTCAGTAATAACTTTGTTCAGGTGACTAATTACAGGATTTTCCTAACATTATAAAAGCCTAGAGATGGGCTTTTTGCATGACAAGAATAATCAGACCTGGAGATGAACTCATATTATGTGTGCAATGCTGATTAGAGCATAGACACTTGTTTAACAGTTTGTGCTGAATGACTATTATGATCACATGGGAGTTTTCACATTTCTCCCTGCTGTGGACTCAATTGTGTCCCCATCACCACACCCCCATCCAATTAATGTATTGAAGCCCTGACCCTCAGTGTGATGATATGTGGAGATGGGAACTTTGGGAGGTAATTAGGGTTAGATGAGGCCTTGGAGGGTAGGGCCTTTATGATGGCATTAGTGGCTTTATGAGAAGAGGAAGAAAGAGAGCTCTCTGTCTGCCATGTGAGGATAGAGTGAGAAGGTGGCCATTTGCAAGTGAACAAGAGGGCCTCACCAGGAAGCTCATAGGTTGGCACCTTGATTTTGGATTTTCCAATCCCTGGAACTATACATGTCTGTTGTTTAAGCCACCCAATCTATGACATTTTGTCGTAGCAGCCCTAGCAAATTAATTCGTGCTCTCCAGGGCGCATGCCACTTTAAAAGGCAGCATTGTGTAAGGCTTAAGGGCACAGACTCTGCCACCTACCATCTGTATAATCATAAGCAAGTTCCCCATTTTCCTCATCTGTAAAATGGGGGTAAAAATAATTTCTACTTCTACCATGTAGGATTATTGTGAGGCTAAAATATGTTAATGCATATAAATTGCTTAGAAAATGTCTGGTATGTGGAAAGGACACATTATACGTTAACCCTTGTTGTTTGTTGAGGAAGTTACCAAGGTATGGTCTTCGGCTTTGAACTAGGTGGACACAGAGTATCACAGTAATAGATGGAAACTAATCAAACGTGTGAAAAGATGTATAATCCTTATGAGTAATTTATTAGTACCCAAGGGGTGATAACTTTTTCCAATGATGGAATGCTGGTGCCCTTATCCAGAGCATTGATTTTTCTGGTATTGAGGGACCTACCAATTTCAACTTTATCAAAAAATGCTTGGGATCATGAATTCAGAGAGGAAGAGAGTATTTCAGGCCATTCAAAAGTGAGGCTTGATGAGTTCATTTCCACTACCCACGTAACTATATATGCTCCTTTGGGTCACATGCAGAGTAAGCCTCACCTGGAAAGTGCTGGGTAAACAGTACCACCTTAAGGTCTCAGGAATTACTCAGGTTTCATTTTTTCCTTTCATGTTTATGTTGACTCTGCCTTCTATTTATAGTCTTTCTCCTGAGATGTTAGAATGCAATCAGTTAATTTCAGTTTAGTAGACTTCAATTACATAGTCTTTTCCTTTGGAGGATAATTATTTCTCTGTGTTTGAGTCTGGGGTACTTTAAGACTCTTCAGTTACATGTTTGTGGATATTCTCCTCAGAATTTTTCTAACCACTAGCAAAGGACAGCCAGAGTCTTTTGTGGAAGGGATCCTGGGCCTGAGCAAATATTCTATAAAAAAGCATGGTTGTTCTTCTTAATCCCAGAAGTCTGTTTCCTGTCCAACATTTTCCAGGAATTTTAAAGGATGACATGAAGAAAGCAGAAGCAGTTGGAGAGAAAGAAGATAAATGATAAATAGATGGCTGTAGAGAACAGATCATGGCTGTGAGTGAGGTACAGCTCCTAAAGGAATTGCAAGGAGAGAAAAAAAGATACTCTCTTCCAACTCTATTATTTTTCAACGTGGGGTAACTTTCCACATAGTTCCATTTACAAGAAAATAAATTCCTTTATTCTTCTGGGAAAACAGGGAAGTATATATCCTTTGTCCCCAAATAATTTCAGATGCTACTTTGTGGAAAGCAAACAAACAAAAACCCAAACAAAATTATTGTGTGAATTTTACTGGCTAGCTCTTGACTGCAACCTTATTTCCAAGTTTTCAGGAGCTGCTTCACTGTTTTCTTATGAATGGGTTACAAGGACTGTGGGATAAAAGTGATAAAGAGACTCGTGGGGACCAGGAGCCGGGGATTCCTGTTCGAGCGGCTACCCGAAGTGCGTTTGGAAGGTCATCAAGACCCGAGAACCTTTATGGTTCTTTTTTTTTTTTTTCTTTTGGTCGACAAAGAAGGCTTCCCCTGGGAGAGGGGGAGTGATAAGCTGCTTACGGTGTGACCTGTGAGGTGCTAATGAGGTCAGATAGTATCTTCCTCATTGGCTTGCCATGGAGCTGGCAGTCTTCACCATTAGAATGCCTCTAAGGATGGTCACCAGAAAAACCTCTATTCAGAAGAAATGTTACCTTGGAGGCAGTGGCATATTAGCCCAGACACTAGCTTGAAAATAGTATGTGCAGGGAGAGAGCTGTGGGTTTGAGGGGCTGAGGGTGTGAACAAGGCTAGCACATTTTGTAGAAGGGTTTGGGAGATAGAGTATGGTGAGCAAAGTGCAGAGGGGCTTTGCAATTGCCCTCTCCTTAGCAGAGGACCTCAGACTCCAAGTGGCAGATAAAGGCACAGAAGTGGGAGAGCAGTGACTAGAAGACCAGCTGGTTTGTCCTGGGTGGGGTAACTCTTTAAGCATTCATATTGCTTGTATTAAAATGGTATTGTAAACTAGCTAGTGTCAAACCCCAGATATCTGTGCGGAGCGAACCACTGCTGAACTTCAAGGGAGAAAAAAGCTTTTTTTTTTTTTTTTTTCTTTTTGGTTTTCTGAATCCTACTTGGCAGTTGTTTTCATCTCCTGGTAAGAAAGCATGATCTATAGCGTGGCTCTATTGAACTAACCACACTGAGGCATTGTTCCAGTCCATTTGGATGCTTCATTTCAATAAGGCCTTTCTCCAGTTCATCCAGTTCAGGGGAGTTATCACCCAGCCAGGTTTGCATATTTTTCTGATTCATGGCTTCACATATCCTGAGTATTTCTCATTAGTTTCGGAAAAGAAAGGAAAGGGCCTCATGAAGTCCTCACAACAATCTTGAGCTGTCTTCTGGTTTGCAATCTGTTTAATTGGAATGGAGCCTACCGATTTCAAAATGAGTCATCTGTTTTTCTCTTGGAAGAGATGTCTTTCTTTTTCTTAAAATTGATAATTTTATGAACATAGGCATTTTGTAAGTATCTATAAATCTGTAGGAGTTTTTTTTTTTTTTCCAAACTGCACAAAACCTAGCCATTACCCAGTGAACTGCTAGTACTGTCACTTTCTATGCCAGGATTTAGTTCGTGCGGAATTGTTAATATTGCTTGTACAGTGTTATACTATATATTAATATGAAAAAGTAATATATCACCACATGACTTAAGGGACTTGATAGTTGACATGAAATTATGATCATGTACAACTCTAAAGCTATGTACAAAAAGATGAAACTGAATCATTTCATTGACTACAGTACATTTTCTCCCCAAATAAATTGATTTTAGATGAATTCCCTTCATCTCTTTCACCCTGCTGGGCCCGGGTGCTTGCTGTGAGACACAGCTAAGTAGGAAAGAGGCTGTTGTTATTTGATAGCAAATTAATTCAACAATTTCAACAAACATTTATCGAATGCCTACTATACACCAAATATAATGCTACGTGCTAGGCATACAAAGAGGAATCAGGTATCGTTCTTGTTTTCAAGAGGTTCACTATTGAGTGAGGCCAGAGAATTGTTTATGATTAGCCAGAATTCATGTGGTAAGTGGTCTCTTAGTGCCAATGCAAAGAGAATGTGAGGAAAAAAATGATTTCTATTCTTGGGTGACAGCCGAACTGGACTTTGAATCTTAGCAGGTGAAAACCTGGAAAGGCTGTTTCAGCAGAAGTCAAAAAATAAAAACAACATTCCATAAACTTTAGATTACCTGCTAGGTATCTGGCTACAATGCACTAAGACTTAATCTGGCATCAGAGATGAGGATTAAATCTCTCCCATCAATCTGTAAACTAACATTTATATATTGTTTTATAATAGAAAAGTGCTTTCCTGTGAATTATAGCATTTACCCCTCACAGAAACTCTGTGAAGTAAGAATTACAGACATTCCTTTGCTTCAGTATATTCAGATTACAAATGTTTCCTAATCCATACAGTTCCTCTGCAGAATAAAAATCTATCAATTCTGTTTGCTACCAACAGATGGCGATAGTGGTTGCATATGGTTGGTAGCCGCTCTGGGCCTCTGTAGTTTGCTCATAATCAATTGTATACATAACATTTGTGTTAGTTTTAAGTATTTCACAAGTACAGTCATGCTTCACTTAATAATGGTTATACATTCTGAGAAATACCTCGTTAGTCCATTTCATCAAATTGCGAACATCATGGAGGGTACTTACACAAACCTAGATGGTACAGCTTACCACACACCTAGGCTAGAGGGTATAGTCTATTGCTCCTAGGCTACAAACTTGTTACTGTACTGAATAGTGCAGGCAGTTGTAATACAATGGTAAGTATTTGTGCATCTAAACATAGAAAAGGTACAGTCAAAATATGGTATAGAAAATAAAAGCTAGTATGCCTGTGTGGAGCACTTACCATGAATGGAGCTTGCAGTACTTGAAGTTTCTCTGAGTGAGTCAGTGACTGAGTGGTGAGTGAAGGCCTAGGACATTACTGTACACTACTGTAGATTTTATAAATGCTGTACACTCAAGCTACACTACATTTATAAAAATATTATCTTTAATTAATAATAAATTAACCTTAACTTACTGTAACTTTTCTAGTTTATACACTTTTAATTTTCAACTTTTTGACCGTTTTGTAATAATATAACTTAAAACACAAACACATTGTACAGCTGTACAAAAATATTATCTTTTAAAATATATTTATGCTATAAGCCTTTTTCCTAAAATTTTCTTTAATTACTTTTGTTAAAAATTAAGACACAAACATATACATTAACCTACGTCTACCCAGGGTCAGGATCATTGATAACACTGTCTTCTACCTCTATGTCTTGTCCCACTGGAGGATCTTCAGGGACAACAACAGGCATGGAGCTGTCATCTCTTATGATAATAACGTCTTTTTCTGGAATACCTCCTGAAGGACCTGACTGAGGCTGTTCTACAGTTAACTTTTTAAAAATATAAGTAGGCTAGGCGCAGAGGCTCATGCCTGTAATCTCAGCACTTTGGGAGGCCAAGGGTGGCAGATCACCTGAGGTCAGGAGTTCGAGACCAGCCTGGCTAACTTGGTGAAACCCCATCTCTACTAAAAATGCAAATTAGCTGGGTGTGGTGGTGGGCACCTATAATCCCAGCTACTTGGGAGGCTGAGGTAGGAGAATTGCTTGAACTCAGGAGACAGAGGTTGTAGTGAGCCGAGATCATACCACTGCACTCCAGCCTGGGTGACAGAGCGAGATTTTGTCTCAAATATATATACACACACACACACACACATATACACACACACATACACACACACGTATGTGTATATATACATATATGTATATATATATGCATGTATATATGTGCATATATACACATATGTATATATGCACGTATATACATATATACATGCGTATATACATACATGTATGTAGGTATACATGTGTATGTATATCTACATGTGTATGTATATATACATGCGTATGTATATGTAGATACACATGCACATGCATATCTACACACATGTATGCAGATACACATGTGTATGCATATCCACATGCATGTATATACATGTGTATGTAGCTATGCATATATGTATACATACATGTGCATGTAGATATACACGTGTATATCTACATGCATGCATGTATGTATATACACATGTATATATGTATATATGCACGTATATACATGCATATACATGTATATATACACATATACATACATATATATGTATGTATATATGTAAAAGGAGTATACTTTCTAATAATAAGTATAGTAAGTACATAAACCAGTAACACAGTTGTTTATTATTATCAAGTATTATGTACTATATGTAATTGTATGTAGTATACTTTTATATGACTGGCAACACAATGGGCTTCTTTACACCAGTGTCACCAAGAATGCTGTAATGTTATAATGGATACAATGTCACTAGGTGATAGGAATTTTTCAGCCCCATTATAATCTTGTGAGACCACCATATATGCTGTTCATTGTTGACTGAAAGGTCCTTTATGCAGCGCATGACTGTTTTATTAACTGTGTTATGTACAGTAAGTGCAAAGACAGAGAGAATGTGGCAAATGTTGGTAAGGTGTTTATAGCATGATGGTGCCCCCATCACGTCCCCCTGGCCTGCTTTTGATGTTAGCTGCAGCCATAGTGTACAGTTCTGTGCAGGCACAGACATCTATCACATACCAGTGTCACCCCTCAAGAGTGCATTGTATTCTGCTTCAGGGCCTTCTCTGGAGTTATAGAAGCTCACTCAGACCACATCCAAATGCAGCCCTCTTGGGTACTGGGAAGTTAATGTATTGAAGGCAACCCTCAACCGATGTTGGGAGGAGCCTATGGATAAATCTTCTTGTCCTTTCAGTAGACAATTATTATTATTATTATTATTATTATTATTATTTTTTTTTTTTTCCTAGATGGAGTCTTGTTTTGTCACCCAGGCTGGAGTGCAGTGGCGTGATCTTGGCTCACTGCAACCTCTGCCTCCTGGGTTCAAGCAATTCTGCTGCCTCAGCCTCCCGAACAGCTGGGATTACAGGCTCCTGCCACCACACCCAGCTAATTTTTGTATTTTTAGTAGAGACAGGGTTTCACCATGTTGGCCAGGCTGGTCTTGAACTCCCGATGTCGTGATCCGCCCACCTCGGCTTCCCAAAGTGCTGGGATTACAGACATGAGCCACCACACCCGGCCTAGTAGACAATTCTTAAATCATTCCTGTGAGTCCTGGTCAAATCGAGCCCCTGGTGCTACAGCACTTAGTTCAGTAATAAACCCTTTTATTGGCTTTTCTTCCTTCCCTATCCTTCTCTACTGCCTGATAGCACATTTACTTAGAGATTGTCTTCTTCTTCAGAATATTAGCTCCATAAGGACAGGGGCTTTGTTTAGTATCTCAAAGTGTTCCAGGGAAAGACTGGTGAATAAATATTTATTGAATAAATTAATAAAGACATATGACAGCAAAGAAGAAAATAGCTGAATTTAAAACTTTAAAGGAATAAACTCATACTCTCATGTTGTAGAAATGCATTGATGCCTGCAAGATTAATCCTTTCTCTGTCATTTTGGACTACAAACAGGTAAACTTGAAATCTAACTGGTTGATGGATAAAGAACTATATGATACTGTCATATTTTGTATATGAGAACATTGAGCCTCAGGTAGACCAAGGACTTGGGCAAGACAGAAGAGAATGGATGAGGCTGTGGCAGGTTGAATAATGCTCATCCAAAGTTATCAAGTCCTGATCCCTGGAACTTTGGATATTATTTTGTTTGGAAAAAGGGTCTTTGTAGATGTCATTAAGTTAAAAATCTTGAGATGAGGAGACAACTCTGCATTATGTGGGTGGGCCCTAAATGCCACCATATATGTCCTTAGAGGAGCAAAGGGAGATGACACAGACACATAGAGGAGGAGACACATAGAGGAGAAGATAAGGTGAATTTGGAGCAGAGGGGGCTGCAGCCACAGCTAAGGACAGCTGCCACAGGTTAAAGGAGGCAAGGAATGGAACTCCCTCTAGAGAGTGCATCCCTGCCAACACCTTGATTTTAGACTTCTGTCCTATAGAACTAATGCATAAATACTATCTAATATAGAAAACAAATACTATCTATTGTTTTAAGCCACCCAGTTTGTGGTAATTTGTTATGGCAGCTCTAGGAAACTAGTACAGAGGCCCAATAAATTTGTGAACTCTCACTTTGAAGAGTCTCAGAAAAAAACAAAATTTCACCAGAGTCAGCAGTCCACCTTGTTAGCATCTTCAGGTCCTTGGCGAGATTCCTTTATGGAAAACTATCCTTTTTTCCCTTTCAAATAGTCTTCATGAAAGACCAGTTAGAGGCAGGGAAGAAGCTCTAGTGGTCTTTGACTCACTAGTCATGCCCTCCAGTGACCATCTTAGAAGGGAGTCAGGGGTGATCATCCAGGCACCACCATGTTAGAGCTTGGTGCATATTAAGTCTTCTTTCACTCTCCCTCCAGCATATATACAACCAAACACACCACATTTTACACACCCCCCAACTCTCCCCAAACACACCACATTACAGTACAACATGCACACATGTATGTGCACACACAGCTGTGCTAATAGCAATAACAATGTGCCACTAAGAAATATCTTGTAACAACCCAAATGCCTATCGATAGATGAATGGATAAACAAATTGTGGTGTATCATATAATAGAAGGCCACTCACCAATGGAAAGGAATAAACCACCATTACGTACAATAGCATGGATGAATCTTAACAATATTATGTTGAGTAGAAGTAACCAGACATACAATGTACATGCTGTCTGACTCTATTTATATGAAATTGTAGAATAGATAAAACTAATCTATAACAAGAGTGGATTAGTGGTAGCCTGGGGCTGGGGAATGGGAGATTGATTGCAAGAGAGTATGAATGAGCTTTTGGTGGGATGGAAATGCTCTATATCTAGGTTGCAGGGTTGATTAGTTGGTTACATGGTTGTACACGTTTATCAAAACTCATAGAACTTGTACATATAATGTAGTTGCATTTTATTGTATGTAAATTATACCTTGATAAAACTAACCTAAGAAAGAAAAGTAAAAGATACTTTGTGCCACTTTTGGCATGGATGATCTAGCTAAATTATGTTGTGTGAAAGTCCAAATATTTTATGTCAGGAAATACTATTTCCTCATATATTATAAGTTATTGGTATAAAAACACAAAACATTAGGTGATTAGAAATATCCATTCCTCTTCTTTCACTCTCCCTCCAGCTTATACATGACTAAAGACAGTAACAATACGTTTAAAAAATGCTCCTAAATTAGGAAACTTTCTACATGTAAATTCAAGTTTGGATTGTTGATAAAGTTTGAATAGAGGGCTGTTTTTTAAGCGTCCAAATAAAGTTTATCATAGGCTTGAAAACATCCATGATTTTTGGAAATGTAAATTGTGGCCCACTCATGACATTTTAAAGGTACTTTTAGTCATTTTGCCTGCAGGAAAGATGGGTATATATAACACATTTCCAAATGTTTTTTCGTATGTCTCAACTTTTAATGTTTATTATAAGAGAAGAAATTGTGACTCTCAAGCTATTCATTTCTGTCAGTACCAATATGCTTTTAATAGCACGTTAATATACACCATTCCAAAACAAAAGAGGTCCATAGGATGTATCTCCTGTTATATATAAAACTGTCAGCTCAATTCAAGCAATCACAAGGCATAAAATGTGACCCACCAAGAAAAACTACCAAAATCCAGTCACTCGGTAGACATTTTTGTTTCAAGTAGAAACTCCAGGATCTTGAAATAAATGTAATTAGTTCAAGCCTTTTCTCAACTAAGTCCAAGAAAAAGGTGATTAGAGAAATGTATCATATTCCCTTCTGCGTAGGGAACGGAATACAGTTGCTTGGAAAGTTACCAAAGAAGTTGAAGACACAGTTCATTTTTGGGCCACAGTTTAAAGGTAAAATAGAAAACAGGAGATACCTATTTTATGTTTTCCTTTAATAGGAAGTCCAGTGCTCCATAATTCTAAATGGCTGTGGGTAAGGATGCTGCTAAGGGCCATTTCTCGTGGACACTAGAGATCTGTCCTGGAAACTCAATGGATAAAAAGGATGGAGCCAGCCAACAGCAGTGATGATTCTTTCATACAACTACTCTCTGATTTCTTCTCAGCACTGTAGATTGGGGGCTGAGGCTCATGCTCCATTAATCACTTCTCCCGTTCCCCCCTCCCTCTCTCAGCCCTGCTGCCATGATATCTGGCAGAATGGTGGCATTTTTGAGTGCATTAGAGCAAGTCATAAGTTTCTTGTTCCTTCCTCCAAGCTTTATTGAGGTATAATTGACAAAAATGGTATATATTCAAGGTGTACCATGTTTTGATATACATACTCTTGATATAGACATACATTATGTAATAATTACTGCAATAAAATTAAACAACATATCCATCACCATACATGTGTGTATGTGTGTGTGTGTGGTGAGTGAGGACATTTAAGATCTACTTTTAGTAAATTTCAAGTAAACAATATGGAATTATTATTAAGTATAGTTACCATGCTGTTTATCAGATTCCCAAAATTTATTAATTTTATAACAGAAAGTTTGTATCCTTTGATCAACACTTCCCCATTTTCTCCATGCCTCAGCATCTGGCAACCACTACTCTATCCTCTGCTTCTATGAGTTCAACTTTCTTGGATTCCTCATATAAGTGAGATTATGCATTTTTCTTTCTGTGTCTGGCTTATTTCACTTAGCATAATGTCCTCCTAGTTTATCCATGTTGTCACAAGTGACAGAATTTCCTTCTTTTTCATGGTTGAATAATATTCCATTGTGTATATGCCACATTTTTTTAAATCCATTCATCTATCCATGGACACTTAGGTTGTTTCCATATGTTGGCAATTGTGAATAAAGCTGCAGTAAACGTTAAGAGTGCAGATATCTCTTCAACATACTGATTTCATTTGCTTTGGATATATACCCAGAAGTGGGATTGCTAGATCATATGGTAGTTCTATTTTTATTTTTTGAGGAAACTCCATACTTCTTTCCATAATGGCTGTACTAATTTACATTCCTACCAACAGTGTACAATGGTTCCCCTTTCTCCACATCTTCACCAACACTTGTTATAGCTTGTCTTTTTTATTCTTGTTTACATGTGTGTTCTCGTTGATGAAAAAAGGTGCAACTCATGAAATACATATATGTTGAGTGAATGAACAAATGGTGAGAACTACAAATGAACAAATGCTTCTGCATAAACATAAAATAAACCATCAGTGTAATTCATATTATGGGAAACAATAAAGTCATGTATGAGGGTGGGCAGTGGTGGAGGTTAGGGCAATGTGGAGAGGTTAGGGGCGCCTACATTATGTGTAAGACTAGACTAGATAAGAGGAGAAAGCAAGAATAAAGAGGCTAATATTACATTTTAGATTCCCGAACTTCTGTCATAGAGGTATGCTACCATGACAGTAGGTTATTTTTTATCTGAATGAACTAGTTGCCTGGGAGAATAAATGACAATTAGATGAGTCTGTTCCCTCACCATATTCATACTCTACTTACATAAGAGTTTTTCCTAGTTTTTCAAGGAAGCTGAAGATTGGAGGTTTCAAAAAGTAGCCGATCAAAGCTATTCTGATGTTCATTGCCATGAAGTATGTAAAGTCTGACTACTTACTTCATGATTTATCACTAAAGTTTGTCAGTAAGTACAAGTCTATGTTTAAATGATGTTAGTTATATTGACAACCTAATGGTGGAAAGCAGTAGTAACTGCAATTCTTTAATTACCTTCAACTATATCCATGTATTTAATAGTAAGGTCACCATTGAATTCACAATATATAAGTAGAAAATTGATGAATTATATTCTGTTGGTTCTGTGAATTTTTGTTCTGATAGTGAGTCCATGTAGCAGCCTCTGGTCAGTGACCTTTCTGGAAAGTGTTGGTTCTATGTGTACACATAATAGTGTGAGTATAGGGCCCAGTTGTTTCATGCTTAATCAGTTCCTTGTTCAATTTAAACTGACCAGACATTGTGGAGTTTCAGATCCATAGATTTATTATACCAATTTTGTATATATACATTTTCCCTTTTAATAGAGAAGTAGACATTAGGTGTATTTCCACTAGTGTTATGCCTAGTAGGTACCCAGCAACTTATTTTGAAATTTTGTGATAAGAACCACACATACATGGAAATACAGCTATTTTTTTTCTTTTTCTTTCTTTTTTTTTTTTTGATGGAGTCTCGCTCTATCACTCAGGCTGGAGTGCAGTGGTGTGATCTCGGCTCACTGCAACCTCCGCCTCCGGGGGTCAAGCAATTCTCCTGCCTCAGCAACCCAAGGAGCTGGGATTACAGGTGCCCGCCACCACGCCTGGCTAATTTTTTGTAGTTTTAGTAGAGACGGGGTTTCACCATGTTGGCCAGGCTGTTCTTGAACTCCTGACCTCAGGTAATCCACTCACCTTGGCTTCCGAAAGTGCTAGGATTACAAGCATGAGCCACTGCATCCGGCAAGCTATGTTTTTAAATAGAGCAATTAGGTAACATAAATTGCAGATAGTGTATAAGAAATAACTCACTGTAATTGAATGTCATATGTATATTTATATGGCACATTATGTACCTATCAGTCGACAATACGGCCAACTAGTACATCACATGGGTCACAAATATTGCATTTAGAACAGACAATAATGGAGTAGGAGCCTTGTAAAACATGGTATGCTTTCATTAATGCTTAAAATGAAACAACTTTCCAATATGTGATCAGTCACTGAAATCAATACTAAAAAGAGTTTCTCACTTTTTGTCTAGCTAGTATGTTTAGGGATATTTTATATTTAACATTTTAATTTTTAAATAAATATATGACTATATAATAACCAGTGAGATGGATTTGATGAGAAACCACATCCATTAAACAAATTAGATAACTGGAAAAATGTTTTATTTCTTTCTGAAATGCTCTTTTAGTCCAGAAGTGTTACCTTTTCTTCCCAATAGTTTCTGTTACAAATCCCATTTGCTCAGCTGACATTGACACAGTCTTATTCTGGTAAAATGACCAGCTTCTCTTTATGGCAAGATATAGCAGGTTCAACTTGCTAACTTCCTGACCTTTGAATTCTCTAATTTTCTTCACCTTCTCCTTCATTATTTACTAACTGCCTTTAGCAATCTATATTCTCTGTACAGAATTTCTCCAAAAATAGGAATCCTTTCAGAATGAAAATTTTGCACTTGCAACTCTAAAATATTCCTTTAGAGTATGTTTAATTAATACCCCCCTCAACACACACCCCGTATTTTCTTGCTCAAAATCCCAGTGGGGGCCGGGCGCGGTGGCTCACGCCTGTAATCCCAGCACTTTGGGAGGCCGAGGCGGGCGGATCACGAGGTCAGGAGATCGAGACCATCCCGGCTAAAACGGTGAAACCCCGTCTCTACTAAAAATACAAAAAATTAGCCGGGCGTAGTGGCGGGCGCCTGTAGTCCCAGCTACTTGGGAGGCTGAGGCAGGAGAATGGCGTGAACCCGGGAGGCGGAGCTTGCAGTGAGCCAAGATCCCGCCACTGCACTCCAGCCTGGGCGACAGAGCGAGACTTCGTCTCAAAAAAAAAAAAAAAAAAAAAAAAAAAAAAAAAAAATCCCAGTGGGATAACAGTTAGAAATTGATTAAATGAGTGTGAACTGTTAGCAAACTCCAAGAGAATGCAGTGGTAGAGATTATAATGTGTAGAAAGAGAGCAAATTAAGAACTTCTGGGCTCAAAATAAACTTGGGATCTATTCTTAACTCACCTAAGTACTTCAACCCATTAAAGGAAGCCCATTGGAGTGCAGGTAGCACAGGAAAGAGGAACATCATGTATTTGATAAACCTGGCTACCTCATTTCTGGTGAGAGTCAGGCCTTTTGGAGCTTGGATAAATCAGAATCTGCAAAGAACGGAGGCAATAGTATTTTACAGGTGGTGGGATCAAAAGCTTTCTCCTCTAGGGAAAAATTGCTCTATTATTTTCCATTTCTAGCCTCAGGGTTAGAATTCAGATTGATGCTCCCATGAGTGTAGTCCAGCCAGAGCCTTCTGTAAAAAGGATTTTACTTAGTTCATTCCTTTATGTAATTTTGGGCCTCCAGTGGTGGCTTCAAATTTTTGGATCTCAATAGAGCAACTGCAGAAACATCCCTGGGATGTACAATTGTCTCTTAGAGTATTTTAACTTTCAACCCCCTGGTACATATAGACTTATGGGCTATTACAGAAAATCCTTGAAATGTGTTTGTGTGTGTGCGTGTGTGTGTGTGTGTGTGTGTGTGTGAGAGAGAGAGAGCCAGAGACGAGTAAATAAACCTCCACTTTGTTAAGATATGAAACTACAAGCATTTAAATTATTTCTACATGTGTCTGTATCTCCATTTACATTGAGTAAATTATGAAAATTATGACTGAATTAATTTGCTCTAAACTCCAAATTTGTATTCAGTAGAGATGATGTGCACTTGCAATCTGTGTCATACCTTTGTATATGTGACTTTAAATATATCCTCCTAAAATTAACAAAATATGAACATAGTAATTGCCTCCTGGATAAGCTCACACATTACAATATTAGGCTTCTATATAAAAACTTCTGAAGGATTTTTCCTCCCTTTCTTAATGATAAAAAATCAGACTACTGGAGAAGACTATCAAGAAAGGAGTCTTCATTCTATCCACCAGATGTACACGTTAGGGGATGCCTGCTGCCAAGCACAAAGTATGCCTTATATCCAAGTGTCCAGACAAGGGTCCTGTCATTAACAAGATTTGGGCCCAGCACTAATCATTTATTTATAATTGATGAGAAAGTTAAAACAATCGTTACTCATTTCAAGGCCCCAAAGTGGCAGACCTGTTGTGTAGCTCAAAAATGGAGGGCTTGACCAGGTAACGTGTTCTAATTATGCCTGCTCAAGATGAGGTCAAAATATATCTGGTAAGTGTGTAAGAAGGTGTCATTTATTCAGTGTTTTCCAAGTGCCAGGCACCGTGCTATATCCTGTCAAGTATAAATTGTTACTTACTTTTTATAGTGAAGAAAATAGTCCTAGAGTGCTTGAGTGATTTGTCCAATAACCGATTACTTATAAGTGACAGAGAAGTAGGGTTCAGTCTTGGACTGCATGATTCCAAACTTGTGCTCATAATTGCTTCACTCCAACAGCCCATTGAAGTTATAAAATTTGTTAGGAAGTTGATGAAGCAGAAATACCCTCACCTCTCTGAAAAAATGACTATGCTCTCTTATTATGAAAGCAAGAACAAGTGGTCATGAATAAAATCTACATGGTTGTTTTCATAGGCTTTACAGTAATTTTAGATTGACTATATTCTAGTTGATTTAATTAATATACTCCTCTGAGCAAAGTTGAAATTAACCTCCCAACTAGGTTTCTTAGAAAGTTATGAAATTTAAAAACGTAAGGAAAAATGTTAAAGATCACGTGGCTGGATCCTCTTGCTTTATAGAGTAAATGTTTTAGGAGTTTCTGTTTGGTTATAACCCATGTGAGATCACCTAAGAGTCTGCTGCTGTGTGTTTCTATTTCTATGCTGTCGGTGAGGAGATTGTCACCTTTATTGGGAGTCAATATATAATTGTGATGCATCTGAGAGACTCATCGAAAGGAAGTGAAAATCTATAGTTAGTGGGAGGAATTAACATGAATCTGCTTTTTTATTTATATTGAGTCCATCAAAATCATGACTGAATTAATTTTCTGTATACTCCACATGCCTACCACAGTGAAGCCAGTATATTTACAGCCCATATCATACTTTTTTTGTATGTGAATTTAATTTCATCACCTTTTTCTAGCTCACTAATTTTCCAACTTCTTCAAGTATAAGAATCTTTCTAAAAAAATCAAAGCATTACTGGAATTTCTACATGATAATAGTAATATTTTTAGCATTCACTAACTCAGTAAATACACAATTTCAATAACTTTTAAATAAATTTGTATTTCATGAATGTCAGAAGCATCTCCACACATTTGAGAAGCGGTAGTACACACATGTAAAGGAACTATTTGTTCAGTATGTAGACAATACCTGATGTGATTATGGATTCTTTTCAATTGCTGTAATTCCACTTCATTCATTCATTCACAACATTAACTTTTCATTTAACATATGTTGACAGCACATGCCAGATACCATGTTAGGCAGTGGACATGCAGCAGAGGCTAGATAGGCAGGTTCCTGAATTCTTGAAGCTCAGAACATAACATGTGTGATGGAGAAAATTTAAAGGATACTAAGAGGGCATTAGTACTGGTACTTGGCCTAGTTTAGAGGTCAAGCAATGCTTCTTGAGTTGATGACTCATCTGAGACTGGAAGGATGAGCAAGTTTTAGGAAGGTTATAGGAGAATGGGCATTGTGCTAAGACAGCCAGTGCCCATAGACCTAACTCCAGTTCAGACCCACTTCCTATGGAGTAGGAGAAGAAGAAAATTTTATATATATATATAAAATTTTATATTTTATATGTAATATAATACATAATATTATATTATATTATATATAATGCTGTCTTTATTCTCCATTAAATGAATGAAGTGTAATACTAGAGACCAGGAGAAAACATTCAGCAAGGCCATCCATGGTGAAGGTGTGGAGTTATCAAAAAGGACGTACATTACAGAAATTCTTATAGCAATAGGACTTGCAGTATGGATGCACTCAGAGTCCATGAGCTCCAGGCCCATCACACGTGCTTCCTCCTGGGGTAAAGGCCTGCTTTCCGAGTCCCACCAGGGCCTTGCTGAATCTCTCTCAGAGGAGGAGTCTGGCCTTTCCTTCAAACACCTGGGAGAGCTCTCATGCAGACATTCATTTGTTCACAAATGTTTACAAAGTTCCTACTACGTGCTAGGCACTCTTCTAGACAATGGGGATATATCAAAAATCTTACTTTTAAAGTTTAAATTCTAGTAGGTAGGCAGACATAAATAAATATAAGACATTTCAGATGGTGATAAGTGCTATGAAGATAAAACAGTAAGCAGGATCAAGAGATGGGTGGGTGATGCTATTCTGTATAAAGTGTGCAGGTTAGGTGTCTCTTTCCAAATGACATTTCTGCTGAGACCCAGAGAAAGTAAGAGAGTCCCATCATTACATGTCCATATTTTTCCACACCCTATCAAGTCAGAAAGAGTAATGTGACACCTTCTGTTTCTATTGTAAGGCCTAACCTCTAAGGTCACATTTTCTGCCCATGATTTGCTGCTTTGTAGGGTGACTGATGATGTTAATATTTATTCAATTCAAGAGAAATCTTAAAGCAGAAACTATTTTGTGAGGGCCTTTTGGCCCTATACAGCCTCTAACAAATCTCTCAGCTTGGTACAGTAGTTTCAAAAGTTTGATGGCATCTATAATAAGTTATGATAACCTTTGCTACTTTAAGGACAATTTTTTGATCTCATAGTATAGTTTTATTTATTTTTCCAGTGTTATGGTCTCCCAAGAAGAATGTGGAACAAATATCTTGGAACATACATGTTAGTCATTAGGGATGCTCAAAAATGAAATTTCTCTCACTCCAGCTTTATTGGTAAAATTGTTTTTCCCCGCCTATTTGAACTCAGCCTTGGCCATGAGATTTCTTTTGGACAATAAAATGTGAGCTGAGATGATTGATGTATGCCGCTTCCAGGAAGAAGCTTTAAGAGCCATTTCATATTTCACCATGTTTTCCCCATGCCTCTGAGATTATGGAGAGTATGTGTTGAGAAAGAGTCTTCTGTTAGCTGGGTTCCTAAGTGGTAATATTGAGTTGGGGTCCCTGGCTTGCCTATAATAGTGTGAACAAGAAATAAACTTTGTTGTTTAAACTCACTAAGATTTGGGTGTTTGTTGAGGCAGTTACATTTACTGGCTGATTCAACAGAGTAGAGCGTGTTCTCGTTCCATGCACAAGGGTAGGAGTGGCCACTTTGCCATTTACCTGTAAAAGGTTTCCACTGAGCCAGGAGCAATATCATCCATGAAAAGATGAGATGGCGGTGTAGCTAGGCAAGAACTGGAGAAGACCAGGAGAAACTGGGTCTTACATCAAGCTGAAGACATTGAAATGATATCAATGGTCTTTAACCACCAAGATGGGAAAACAAATGGGGTGACTATTAGGATGTCAGTAAGGTCAGACATGTAAGAAACCCTAGGCATGTGGCAGAATATTTCTTTTATATAGTATCTGATAATCTTTGCTACAGGATTAGAGTGGCAAGTAAAAGCACTGGTGAGGGATGGACAAATAACATTCTTCTCTAATGCAACCCATGCCCCAGTATGTGATACTTGGTTGACTACTTTACATTTGCTCCTCCTGAAGCACTCTACATCCTTTTTAATGCTATTCTTTGCACTGGGACTCTGAGCTATATGAGTTTCCTTGTCCCCTGGCTGCTAATTAAGTTTGGGCAATGGGAGAGTCCATCAGAAGATCAAGAATAAAAGGACAGTGAAGCAGAAATATGTAGTGTACTGGCTGTATTGCTGCTAAGTTGCTGTGGGTTGGTTACATCCCTCTACCCAAAGCCACAGCTTGTCACATGGACTCTCTCTAGACAGCCATTTTCCCAGGGGAGAAGTAATTGGTCCCTCTTATTGTCCCTTCTGGCTGAAATACAGTAGAAGCACTCTGCTCTTTCTGGCTGTGAATACTGCACCTTCCCTTGTTAGTTCCCCTGAGCCTGCTCACACTTTTGTAAATGGTTCCTTTAATAAATTACCCTTAATTACTCCATCAGACAGTGCCATTTTGTTTCCTACTAGGGGTCTGACTACTAGAGGTACCTATTTTCTTATCTCTTCAACTTTTCTTTCTTCATCTATTTTTTTCCAGTGCAATCACTGGGGGCAGTCTTTATCTTCATTCTCAAAAGACTCATAGTTCTCAAAGTGAAATTCATCCTTTATTCTGAGGACTTTCATGGTTTTCATGCATATAAGGACTCTCTGTGTTGTGCCTGAGTATCACAAAAGTTTTGAAGTGGGAATTAGGCCCTTACTGAGACCCTTCATGTATTCTTTTAATTTCCATTTAGAGTTTTAAATGCCTAAGTAAAAAGTAGTTGTAGAAAAATTAGAAATTACAGATAATTATTATAACTAATCATTGTCAACATTTATAGGCAGGGCATACTCTACATTGACTACTCTTGGTGTTTTATTAATACATGTATCAATTAGAAAAAATCTAAATACTGTATATAGAGAGACAAAGAATTTTGTTGTATATCTTTTGATTTTTCTTATGCAATAAGGCACAGTTATTTTTTTAACAAAAATAAGAACTTGTTAGGTGTATTATTCTGTAATCTAATTTTTTTCACCTCAAATACATGTTATCATTTCTCCAGGCCTATGTGATCTGCAACATGATCTACATCATCACTTTTAACAAAAGCAAAATATTGCATTTTATATTGTATATGTGCATTCTGCTATTGTTGGATATAACAGTTGTTTTTAGTTTTTCGCTGTCGTGAACAAACTGATGAAAAACATCCTTGTATATAAATCTTTGGCACATTTCTAATTACTTCTTTAGAATAAATTCTAGTGCCTGGAATTACAAGGTCAAAGGATGTAAACATTTTAAGACCTTTGAAATTACTCTAAAGAACATTACTGAGAGTTGTATCAATTTCTACTTACGTCAGTAGCGTAATAGTGTTTCTATATACCTTACCCAAACAGGTTATCGTTGTTAGTATTAGTCTTTCCTAATAATAATAATAGTAGTTGAAAAATATCTTGTAGCATTTCTTTAGTTGCTATTGTGACTGAGAACATTTAATGTGTTTATTATCATTTATGTGTTGAAATGTCTCAATGCGTTTTGCCTATTTTTTCATTAGAATGTTTGTATTATTGAATATCTGTTTATTTTTAACTCAAGTTACACTACACATAATTTAGGGAGTCACTAGCTGTAAAGTTTGTTAATGAAGACAGTAGTGCCCATTCCTCCTGACCTCCATTTCCTTTTCCCTAGAGGCAACCACTTTTAATACTTTGAGTTGATTTTTCTTGTACTTATCTCTACATTTCTAAAACATGTGATTCAATTGATTTTCCACTATGGAATATGAAGATTCAGCTCTTTTTCTCATTATTCTCTCCCCTCCAGCAGGTGAATTCTCATTTTTCCATTCTCATAATATAGCTACAGCTTTATTTTGGTTAAATTAAGATTCAATTGTTTCTTACAGATACACATTTTTGGAGAAGAACCATGTTAAACTATGATTTCTTTCCATTTTTGCACAACTATTTTGTTTCCCTTGGATTAAACATCTTTTTTTTTAAATAGCCTTTTTCGCTTGTTTATTTGCTTGGTTTGTAATATTATGAGCTATGAACGATTTGCGAATCAGGCAGCCCCCAGAATCACGGCCGATTCTCAGAGACTCCTGGGGTGCCTCGTGGTCAGAAGAAATTTGTAGACAAAAAGGCAAAGTGATGTACAGAAATCAGAAGTGAGGTACAGAAACAGCAAGATTGGTTACAGCTCAGCGTTTGCCTTATTTGAACAGAGTTTGAACATTCAGAAGTCTGAGTGGTTGAAGTATGGCCACTGGGTTTGGCCAACACTCAGCTATTGTTACTGGTGCATACTATTAAGTTAGGTTTTCAATTTTGTCTATTAAGCTAGGTTACAGTTCATCCACGAGGACTCAAATATAGAACTACTAAGTCCTTCTCAGACCATATTTAATTTGCTTTAATAGTTATTAATTAATAACAACCCCAAATTATATTTCCAAGTTTTTATTCTCATTTATATTAGATATTCTATCAAATTAATCTTCCTGAAAAAGTCTTTCCTGGAACGTTATAACCTACACCAATATGGACTGGTAGCACAGATGGTGTCTCAGCATCTCCTTATAGTCTCATCCATATGATTTCTTTCATTTTTCTTTTGTGTTGCATTTCTTATTTCCTATACCTCAAATCTCTCATTATTTGTTTACTCCCTCATTTCTGATGCAGTGCATCCTTTGTATTTTCCAGAGTGAGGGGGCATGAGGTTAAAATTTTAGATTTTACTGGTCTGATAATGTCTTTATTTCCACCTTCCCACTTGGCTGGATCATTGGCGGGATAGAGAATTCTGGGCCAGAAATAACTTCACAAGAATTTTGAAGAATTGCTTCCAGTTTCTAATCTGAAGCTATTCTTTCTCCTAATCATTTGACTATGATCTGCTTTTTTTTTCCTCTGGACACTTATGGGATCTCTTTGTTTCCACTATTTTGAAATTTTGCAATAATATGTCTTGTTGGAGATTCACTTATAAAATCTAGTGTTGAGAACTTGATGGGTCAGTTAATTTGGACACATACAACTTTTTAAAATAATTTCTTTCCTACTCTTCTCCCGCCTCAGTGCTTTCTCTTTGATTTTCCTATTATTTGGCTGTTGGATTCTCTGGGCTTTCTCATTTTATCTTTTTCCCAGTTTGTTTATTTCTCCATGTCGTTTTTCATGTTTATTTTCCTTCTTTTTTATTTTTAATCTCTTTTGGTTGATTTCCTCAAATTTATCTTCCAATTGTGATCTTCTAATGAATTAAAAATATGTTGTTAGATTTTTAATTTTTATTTTTTTATTTTTTGAGACGGAATCGCGCTCTGTCGCCCAGGCCGGAGTGCAGTGGTGCGACCTCGGCTCACTGCAAGCTCCGCCTCCTGGGTTCACGCCATTCTCCTGCCCCAGCCTCCCGAGTAGCTGGGACTACAGGTACCCGCCACCACACCCGGCTAATTTTTTGTATTTTTTTTTTTTTTTTTTAGTAGAGACAGGGTTTCACCGTGGTCTCAATCTCCTGACCTCGTGATCCGCCCGCCTTGGCCTCCTAAAGTCCTGGGATTACAGGCATGAGCCACCGCGCCGGCCTAGATTTTTAATTTAAATATCTCTTTTTTTTTTTTCGGTTCTCTGAGTGTTTCTCTGTTTATAGCATGCGGCTCTCACTGTGGCTCTAATGATTGATTGTCTTAGGATTAGTTACCGCCCATTGCCAGTCAGGCTTGGGTTTGGGTTTGGGTTTGGGTTTGGGTTTGGATTTGGGTTTTGTTTTTGTTTTTGTTTTTTGCACTTTGGTTCCCTCAGAAACTTAGCAGGTTTATAGTCTAGTTGTGTCCAATAGATTTAAGTGCAAGGAGCTACAACAAATTTGCCTAAGTTTGAAGCCTGAGAATTGTTGGTGTTTGGCTTTTGTTTTGAACATTTTCATTAGCTTAAAGGCTGCTGCTTTGCAGGAATTTGAAATATCCTCTTGGGTGGTGCGACCATCCTTACTGTAGGCCAAGTTCTTCTTCTGCCAGACAACTTTTAATGGAAAGTGCTTAAGTAAGTCCAGGGTCACCAACCTCATTTTCTGTCAAGGCTGCCACTTCACAACTTGTAAGAGTTTCAATATGGCATACAGAAGCAATTGGCTTTTTCACCCTGCAAGCATTGGGAACTCGCAGTCAATCTAGATTGCTTGCTGAAAGTGGAGTGTATCTCAGTAATGCTGTATTACTTTCTGTGTCTGCAAGCAGACTGGCTCACTCTAGTCTGAATTTATCCTTTTTTGGTTGTTGAACTTGGTTGAAAATTACAATAATTAACCATCATATTCCCACATTCTGAAAGGTCTCAAGAATTTAAAAACTACATCCTATATTGAACTCCCAGTCTGTGATCTGGAATGGTCAAGCCACACTTTGATCAAGTGTTCTGCTGCCACATAGCAAAGGCTTCCATATTGCAGCATGGAATGTCTGAGTCTCCAACAGTTGGTTGTAGCTTCTCCTTTCAGGCAACTTCATGTTTTAGGTTCTGTTACTTGCAGTATCCTGCTTTCGGGAACCAAATTCTATCCTAATCAGTTATTGATTCATTCAGCTCTTAGTAACGGAAAACCAAAGCAGCAGTAGTTTAAACAGGTGAGGGTTTCTTTCTTTCTTTCTTTCTTTCTTTCTTTCTTTCTTTCTTTCTTTCTTTCTTTCTTTCTCTTTCTTTCTTTCTTTTCTTTCTTTATCTTTCTTTTCTTTCTTTCTTTCTTTCTTTCTTTCTTTCTTTCTTTCTCTTTCTTTCTTCTCTTTCTTTTCTTTTCTTTCTTTCTTTCTTTCTTTCTTTCTTTCTTTCTTTCTTTCTTTCTCTTTCTTTCTTTCTTTTTCTTTCTTTCTTTCTTTTTTTCACTTAGCATGTCTGGAAGTTCATAGTCCAGGGCTAGTGCGGCTGCTCAAAGTTATCCTCAGTGGCCCAGGCTCCTTTTGTGTTCTCCATTTGCCATCTTTAAAGTGTACTTTTCAGTCTTGTGATTGTAAAATGACTGCTGTAGCTTTTTCTTTCTAGGGAGAAGGGGAAAGGCAAAGGGATGTCACCTGCTTCTCTCCCTTTGAGAAAGCTTTCCCAAAAGTCCCACCTGCAACTTCTGCTTATATGTGAGTAACTTGTCACTGGTCATGTGGTCACCATTAGCCCATTCTGTGGATGGGATAAGTGTGCTCTGGATAGAAGTTGTGTTAGTCAGTCAGTAGTGTCTACATGGCCACTGTGCCTGAGCCTGTCTGTGCTGACCTTTTATTTGAGCTCTCTTGGAAGTGCCTTCTCTCCTGACCAAGATCCAGCCTGATTGTATACAGATTAGTGGGTTCTTCCAACCTTTGGTTTAGTGGTGTAGAGCTCCCTGGCTCAGTCCCTGCAGTAAGCCTGCTGCTGCTCTCCTTCACTCTGAATCAGCATCATTTTCTCTACCCATTTTCTCCTGCTTCTGCTTTGTTCAGTCAGATCCTATTTATAGGAAGTTCCTTATCCAATGCCTTAAACTACAGTATATTTACTCAAATGAACTCCGAAGATTTTACAGTGTGGTGAATCTCTCTAACCTCAAGCAAAATATTCCATGTAAATTTGAAAGGCATTTAAAAATGTATCAAGGCATATAAATGGATCTATATTCAAATTTCAATTCTAGTAGAGGAAATATGGAGGGTAAGAAAATCTCTTATCAGTTTTATCTAATCATATATAAATTCAGCATTGCCGAGAATGCCCTGATCTTTTTTTTTTTGCCCATTATTATTGTCATTCTGATGCTTGCACTTCCTTGTCCTTTAATTCCTGGGGCCGTGAATCTGTTCTATTAAAGCCCAAAGTCAACTGAAGGTGGAATTCAGAATTCAGAATTCAAGTTTCTCACCAAGAAGCAGTGGCAAGAAATGCATGAATGAACACAATAGGTTTTATTGAAGGAAAGAAGAGGAAGGGGTGTATTTATATCTTACGCCCTGCAGAAAACAGTTTAAAAATCGATTTTAAATAAAAATCTCAGTAGTTCTGCCATGTAATCTTTCATTTTCCTATTAATAATCTGCTTTCATGCCCCCTCTTCTTCCTTTCTGTATTCTGCTCCCTGCCCTCCTTCAACTCATACCTTTTGCCTTCTATTATACGGATCAATTCAGTTCTGATCTGACTGCCACCTGTAACATTGTGTACACAAACTCAGAAAGGCGCTCATCAAAGCAAAGCTCTGTACTTTCCTTAGAAGGCAGATAAGGTTGTTTATGGGGGAAAAAAGTTGTCTGTTACCATAAAATTCCATAGTTCTTAAAGTACCTTGTAATCAGAACTATGAATGTATTTTGTGGAATTTGATCATTTCTAAATATATTGTTATATTATGAGTTTGAGAAGCATGCTAGTCTATGGACCATTTTGGCTAGATCGTCATTGCAGACCAAGTTTTTTTTTTTTTTTTTTTTAAGATGGACCATAGTGGTAGATTAAGAGGTTAATGCTGCTTTGTTCCTTTGTATATATATATTTATACATCTTTATGCATTGTGGCTGAGATCCTTTGCTGTCCTCTTTCCTAATAGGACTCTGACTATTCTTCACGGTTAGGTGTGGACTTTCCAGTAATTTCTCACCAGTGGAATGTTATCGAAGTGTTGTACAAAATTCATGACCAGTGTCTCTTTATCGCAGAATGGAATACAGACGTGATGTCTGGGGCTCCAGGATCCATCTTGGACCATGACTAGGGAGCATGTGCAGCAGCAATGGTAGAGGAGCAAGACAGAAGGACCCTGACAGCATAGGATGCCAAGGGAGCTCTTGGTTACTTATATTCAAACTTCATTTATGTGAAAAGGAAATAAGCTTCTATCTTCCTTAACTGACTCTATTTTAGGCTTTTTGTAACATGCAGCAAAATCCATTTTTAACGACACGTGTACTTTTATTCCAAGGATTTGATATAATCAAAGAGCTGTTTACTAGACTGACCTCTAAAGTAGTATTCTCCAAAATGAGGTCAGTATATACTACAGTGTGTACAAGATGATCCAAGGGGAAATAGGAGGAAATATTAGAACATTTCCTTTTTAAAAAGTCTAATAATAATCTAATAAGAAAAAAATTAAGATTTATTCACATTAACAGATTGACTGTGGCACCTTGACTCTGTATGTGGAACAATTGTATATCCTAAGGGAAGGTCTAAAAATGGAGGATTCAGTGGTCACAGACTAGATTCTCAGTCTATTTTTAGCATATTGCAATATTTAGCATGTTACTTGTGCTGGTTAAGAAGAGTTACAGATCACATTTTCTAAATTTAACTAAACTGACCTTTACAATGTGGCTAAATGACTATAAAATATTCTAGGAAAGAAACTGTAGATTGAAGATTATCCTAACACAAATGAACAGCAAGAAAGTGGCAGAGTAGACACTATTCTAAGTACAAGTTTTCTTTTTTGCTGTTATGAGGTGATTACACTGCCCCGGTTTTACCTCACAAAACATTATTATTTTCAGTGTAAGAAAAACAGTTCTGCTTAAAATGTTGCTTATTCCATCTTAATCTTTTCATTTATAATTTCTATTTCTGTGTCTGCTTATAGTGTGTATAATATGAGCACAATAATAAATATATGTAATATATTAGTGGGGCAAGGTTTCTTTTTCTGATGGGGTGAATTAATTTTTTTTTAATTTGAAGAAGGTGAAAAGCTAAATCTCTATTTCTAAGCCCACCTTGTCTGAAAATTGAAAGGTGGAAGTGAGGGATAGGTCTCTTCCCTGTAGTTAAAGTCAGGCTGTTTCTGAACTGAAACTGCAAAAACTCCATGCACAGCTTGAAAAGAGATTATGATAAGCATGTTTTGTTTCTCTACTCTTCCAGTTTCCCAGCAGGTCTGGCCTAAGGTCCAGGAGGGAAGAAAATACAGAAACTAGGAATAATAAATAGTAGCAATAACTGGTACCATCCAATGAAACTTATCTTAATTCTTGAACCATCTCTCTTGGATCAGGCTTCCATTACTCACAGTACTGACATTAGGCAATTAAGTCAGCTTATTTCAACTCATTGGCTATATGGGATTCATCGTTTGTCTGGACAATATTTTCTAAAGTTAAAATTGAGAAATTTAGGTCTAATGCCATTCTTAAACTCTTTCTGAAAAATACAGCTACTCTTTTAACCAAGAGCTAAGATTGTAGGCAATACATCTTCTACTTCTGTTACCATGGGAATAACTTCTTGGTATAAATTTCTTACAGTATAAGGCTAAGAATACTCATCAATGGAACTTCAGAAGTTTTGGACTGGACTAGCACAAATGTCAGAAATGGCTATAGTTATGCTGAAACACAGTAAAATAACCTTTTCCAGAAAGGCATGAACACTCATTCTTTCTTTTTCCCTGAGAATGAGACGTAAAGTAGAATCCAAGGTATAGGATATTCAGAGTGATTCACAGTGAAACCAATATGGATGAATTTTTCATCATCCTTTCCATACTTCCTATGTTGTTTTTGATGTTGACTAAATGGAGATGCCCATCTTGCTTCATGTTTCATGATTCAAAGTTTGTGTGTGGGGCTACCTTACCACTCACTTCCAAAGTTTCAGTCCTCAATCACGGTAACCTCAAAGTATTCTAAGCCTGAATTTAATCACATGGTTGTTGTGTAAGAGTGATGATGTGAAGATGAATTTAATCATGGCCATGTGGGAGGGAAGGATGGTCACTGTGGAAGTGGGCATGGCAGGGATCTGGGTGATAAAATGTGACTGCCTTTAGTATATTTATTATAAATGACCATTACAATCATGGTGAGTTTGTGGTCAAACTACCGATGCCCTATATAATAGATGACAGAACTGCCATAACATTTTGAGAAAGCCAGAAAGGTAGAGCTGAACAATGTGGCAGAAATGTTCTTTGGTCTGGACACTGCTCTTTGAACCAGTTGAAAATTTCCCTGCAATTGAAGAAATGGGCAAATGGAGAATCCAGTGGTGTTTTGTAATAAGGAGCAGCAACCACAATTTACAGGCTGTTATATGCTAAAAAATATGATTATTTCTATTTTAATAGGTTTATTGATGTATAATTTACATAACCATATAATTCACCCATTTAAAGTATACAGTTGAATGGCTTTTAGTATATTGATGGAGTTGTGCATTCAATACCACAAATCGAATTTACAATACTTTTATTATCCCCAAAAGAAACCCCGTGTCCCTTAGCTGAACCTCCCAATCCCTCATCCCCACAAGAGCTAGGCAACCACTAATTTTTCTGTCTATATATTTGCTTATTCTGGACATTTCATATAAGTGAAGCAAACAATATATGGTCCCTTGTGGCTGGTTTCTTGGACTTAGCATAATGTTTCAAGGATCATCCATGTTGTAGCATGTGTCAGTATTTCTTATTTATTATTATTTTTTTGCTGAAAAATGTTCCATTGTATGTATATACCACATTTTATTTATTCATCGGTTGATGGACATTTGGGTTGTTTCCACTTTTTGACTATTATGAATAATAATAGTTGTTATGAACACTTCTCTACAAGTTTTTGTGTGGACATATGTTTTTGTTTCTCTTGAGTATACACCTAGGAATAGAATTGTTGGATCACATGGTAACTGCATTTTTAAATTTTGAGGAACTGCCAGAGTGTCTTCCAAAGTGGATGTGCTATTTTACATTCCCATGAACAGTATATGAAGGTTCCAATTTTTCCATATCCTTGTCGACACTTGTTGTTATTTGATTTTTTTGTTATAACCATTCTCGTGGCTGAGAATGGTTTTTTTAGTGTAACCATCTCATTGTGGTTTTGATTTACACTTCCATAATGACTAATGATGTTGAACAGCTTTTCTTGTGCTTATTGGCCATTTGTATGTCTTATAAATCTTTTATCAGGTATATTATTTGCAAGAATTTTCACTCATTCTGTGGATTATCTTTTCAGTTTTTGATTGGTCCTGTAAAGGATGATTTCTATCTAAGAGCATATTTTGGGTAATATCTGTACCTGAACTTCCCCAAAAGCAAAGCTGGAGACAAGGTTTATACACAAGGGGTTTTCTTGAAGTGATTTTAGAGAGCTAGAGTGAGGTACAGGGGGATTGAACCAGGGAAGACGGGAAAGACAAAAGGATAATGTGTAACTGAGGTGGCCACTGGCATGGGTGACTGGCATGTGATTATTGTTGGGACTTTCTGAGTAGTTTTATAAAACCTGTTTCAGAACTGTCCATCCGCAGCACAAAGGTGGGGGGAATATTTAACCATCAATCCTCATTCACTAACTTGTCAAGGATGGTTCCAAGGGCATTAAACTTCTGGGATGTGCATGATGAGTGCCAAACTGGTTTCTGATGGCGTCTTATGTGCATGTCAGAGGATCCCTGGGACAGGGAGCAAGAGGTGTGTTCTGTAGACCCCCAGGCAAAGTCTGTCCAGTGGCACCTACATTATGCAGGTTAAACCTCCATTGAGCTTGTCATTCAGTGGTGGCTGGAGTAACAGGTGGGACCAAGAGAATTTGAGGTGTAATACAAGAGATGTCCATTCTAATAGGCAACAGAAATCCTAGAAGTTTATGAAAAGGCCAGAAGTAACATGGTGAGGAAAATATTATTGAGTCCATTATAATTAAGATGAAGTAAATAGTATTGTGGATAATTTCTGGTAATAATATGGTTCATTGGAATAGTAATTAGCAGTCAAGTGCTTTTGAAGACATCTCATTTAATCCTCACAATAACTCCAAGATGAGGAAATGGAGTCTGAACAATGATGAGATCTCTTGCTTAAGGCCACACAGTGAATTTTGCTGCTGTTCAATACTGAGTCAAAGCTTGGTGAGAGAAATATTGATGCTGTACTGTGTTTAGTAAACATACTCTACCCATTCTTCCAGGTCAAGAGTTTCAAACTCATGTGAGTACAGGGACCAAACAGGCAGAGTTAATGACTGTAGTGGGAAGACAGGGGACAATAGCCGGTCTTTAGTTCCCAATCATTGCTTCATGTGGGGCTAGAGCTACTAAATAAAAACAAACCCCGGTATTGAATCTTATTTGAAATTTCCCAGTTTAAATGTGGGGAAAACCCCCCAAAGCTCATGAACCAATGAAAGTACATCTATGGATCTATTTGCTGCCCATTTGTGACTTCCACTCTGGATACTTTAAGCCTCCATCAAAGGACTGTGTACCTAAGGCATCACTTAATCTGTTCTGTAGAACTGGTTTTATGGCATTGTGCTTTTGGAACATTGTACTTTGACTTACACTGAGGTGTGTGAAGTACATGATAATAAACAAATTCTTACTTTTATTCTAAGGCTATTTAGAGAATATTGTTCACCACATTAATCCTCATTATAAAAACTTGATAGAAAAAATTTCTGCCTAAACTCAACACCAGTAATAGTTGCACTTCTCATGAAAAACTTTGTTTTAGTCTTATGGACCGTGTCAATCATGTGATGGACCATGGTTTTTCATGTGCCTTCTAGAAAGCTCAGAGCCGCATTTGTGGCCTATAATAAAGTATTAAGATGATTGCTTATTATTTGGGTACTGATCTTATAGTGGTTTTATTTTATTTCCTGCTCGTATATTATCTTTACTCCACTTACTTTTTCTTGAAAATACACACACACACACGATATAAATGATACATCTAGGAAGTGTTAGAAGGTTAGAATCTGAGTTTAAACCCGGAACTTCAATTCTAAGTCCAGTCTTCTCTCCTTTTATGACACAATTTACTCTTGTCTGCAGTCTCTGAAACTATGAGTAGTTAGATTGGAAGGTATGTGTAGTTGTTTCAGTTCAGTGCAATTTATTTTCTTTTTATTATTATTATTTATTTATTTTTCTTTTTTCTTTTTATTTTTTGTTATTATACTTTAAGTTCTAGGGTACATGTGCACAATGTGCAAGTTTGTTACATATGTATACATGTGCCATGCATTCTGAGCAAACTATCGCAAGGACAGAAAACCAAACACTGCATGTTCTCACTCACAGGTGGGAATTGAACAATGAGAACACTTGGACACAGGGTGGGGAACATCACACACCGGGGCCTATCATGGGGTGGGGGGAGGGTGGAGGGATAGCATTAGGAGATATGCCTAATGTAAATTTATTTTCTTTTTCAAAAAACAGACTTCTTGGTGTGAGTGTATGTGTATACCCCGCACCCATGGGTTGCTGTGGAGTTTCAAAAGGGGCTGAGGGGTTGCTTAAAATTGATAACCTTGTTAACATAGCCAGAGTAGGGCTGCAAAAAAATGGGCTCTGAGCTTAAAAAAATTAACATCTTTCTTCTTTCAATTTCAGGCCATTTTTATTTGGCTAGAAATTGTATTTATGAGAAAGTGCTGAAGCATGTGTGTATGTACTAGATTCAGATGTATATTCTCTGTTTACTTGGAACCAGAGGTAATGCTTAGGGGAAGGCAAGCTAAAAATGGCCAGGGCAACTTGTGCAGCTGAAATAAAGCAAAGCACATGTTCTGCTCACCTATTATTCAGTGAGGTCATTAAAGAAGTTTGGGACACCATAATTCTTACTCTCACATACTTCTTCAGTCCTAAAGTTTTTGAAATCTCATTGCACAGCTTCAAAGGCGCACCAAAATTGTCCCTGCCTAGCCCATTATTGTATTATTAACTCATCATCCAAAACCCATTCAATTTCTTATTCTCTTTTACCTTCGGGCATTTAATTATATCTAAAACTATAAGGCTATGAAAGCTTTTCAGGGGTCATTAGTTTAGCCTTCTGCTACCAGGCAAAAGTATATTTTTTAGCATTTCCAGAACAGTAGATTTTATAACCTCCTTTGGAAACACCTTTTGGCATTTAATTGGTTCTTGCCTTCTACTTAGCTTGCATCCCTCCAGCCGTATCTTGAGCACAGTTTTTTCTATGTGAGCAAGAAAAAAAAAATCAATGATCTACATCAGTGCTTCTAAAGTCTTGCATTAGAATAACCTGAGGTTCTTGTTAGGATGCAGATTCCTAGGGCACCAGCTGCAGAATTGTAGATTAGAAAGATCTTGGGTAGGACCAAGGAATCTGTAATGTTCTCAAGCACTGGAGGAGGTGGCTTTTCCATACTTGCAGAAGCACTGCTCTATACCTTAGACCAGTGAGCTCCAGAATTTAGAACAGGATTTGCTAAGTTTAATATACTTGCCTAGCCTTCCTTCTGAATAATCACACTTCACAGATCTGAAATTGGACCTTGGAATTCATAGAAACATTCCTGGTAATAATGTTTACCAATGTCTGAGATCAATAGCATGAAGTCATCTCTAATCTTCTCCATAAATTTCAAGTTATTTAATTCCTCTTTGCTTGAAGTCAACACTTTAATGTCTTAATTGTTGTATCTAGTATGTAAAAGGTATTCACACAATATTAAACAATGTATAAAACATGTATATAATATAATTCTTTCCATGCTGGAGCAAATTTTCTTATATATACTAAAAAAAGCTATGTTGTTCACTTACGTGGGTAATTTTGTGCAATAAATTAAAAATGAAATGGAAACATACAGCAAACTAGGGAAAATAACATAACAAATACTCGGATACCTACCACCTGTATTTAAGCGTTGCCTTGTTGCTATATTTATATCACATTTCTTTTATTTTTAAGAATACATTATAGATAAAATTGAAGTGTCATTTGGACCCCCACCTCTCCAATTTCTATTCCCCCCTTACATTCTTGTAGTTCTTAATTAATATGCATATTTTTTCCTTAGAATACATTTCCAGAATTCTAATTGATGAGTTGGAGGATGTAAGCTTTCAAAGTCTTGCCAAAATTGCTTCAGAGAAAGAGGGTATCAATTTATACCATTGCCAGCTGTATATCAGCGTGCACTTTTCTGCCAGACCATTGCCAAATTGGAAATTTGTCATGAACAATAATTCCTAATTTGATAGGTGTAGGTGGTACTGTTTGAATTTTAAACTTAATTATTATAATTGAATTTGAACATTTTAAATATATTTTTAAATCTAATTTTTTGAATACAGTAATACATTCATAATGTTAAAAAATCAGGAAGTATATAGTGAAAATTCACTCTTCTATCTTTGACATCTCCTCTCAGAGTTAACTACTGCTTTTTAATTATTTTGCCTATTTCTAGAGTTTGTTTATGCATGTGCAGGCAAACATCATTATTTCAGTAGATTTTTATCTTCTCTTACCCTTGATACTCCAAAGGTGGCATATTTATTCACTGTCTGTACCTCGATTTTTTTCACATTACCATATAGCTTGGGGATGTATCTGTAATAGTACATGGAAATTTCCTTTGCTTATTTTTTTATGGTGCACAGTATTCTGCTGCACACATGTGTTGTAATTTACTTAAATAGCCCCTATTGGTGGATATTTGTATTGTTTTCTTGCTCTTGCTATTAAACATGACTTTTCCATGAGTCATTTCAAATGAGTGACAGTGAATTTGCTGAGTCAAATAGTGTATTCACTAAAATTTTGATAGATATTGTCATATTGTCCTCCTTCGATGTTGCACCAATTTACTCAAGAATGCATGAAGTATATGTAAATGTAAAATACAACAAAAGAGAATGCATGGACTGTCTGTTTTCCTAGCCAATTAAGCATGGTGTGATCAAACTTTTGAAATCTGGTCAGTCCAATAGATGGAAAAAGTTTTCTCAGGGTATTTCTGTCTTAATTTTCTTTTACTTTAAGTGAACTGAGCATCTTTTCATATGTTCGAGAGCTATTGTATTAATGTGAACTCTGTTCATATCTATTGACCATTATATTGAGTTGTTATTTTCCTTATCATAAAAGCTTTGTAAGTATTAAATAGATTATCTTTGTCTCTGATATCAGTTGAAAATTATTGTTTTAAAAATTTATTCTTAATTTTATACACTTAATGGTATATATATTTATAGGTTACATGAGATGTTCTGATACAGGCATGCAATGAGTAATAATCAAATGGCCATTACATTGTCCCAACATGACTTCACTTCTTGATTAGTCTACTTCCCCCGCTGGTGTGAAACTCCGTTTTTATTATCTCATATTGTGAATTATCAGGATCTGGGTCAATTTCTGGATTTTCTTTTCTACATCACTGGTCTGTTTATGTCCCATTACAACACTGATATGATTATTAATATATAATAAATTGTTTTAATATCTGGTAGTAGTAATCCCCCTTTTGATTTTTTGTTCAGTGTTTTCCTGACTATTCTATTTAATTTTAAAATTTTTGTGGATTTAGAGGGTACCAGTGCAGTTTTATAAAATGGATATATTGCATAGTGATTAAGTTTGGGCTTTAGTGAGACTCTATTCACTATTACCTGAATAGTGAACATTGTACCCAGTAGATAATGTTTCAGCCCTCATCTCCTTCTCACCCTCCCTACTTATGCAGTCCCGAGTGTCTAATACTTTCCTCTGTACGTTCACATGTACCCATTGTTTAGCTCCCACTTATAAATGAGAACATGTGGTATTTGATTTTCTGCTTCTGTGTTAGTTCACTTAGGACAGTGGCCACCAGCTCCATTCATGTTTCTGCAAAAGACACAATTTCATTCTTTTAATGCCTGCGTGCTGATGATTCTATGTGATTTTTATATGAACTTTATGATCAACTCATCTAGTTAAAAAGGTTGATATTTTAGGTTGTGCAAATTTATGAATCAGCTCAAGAAGAATTAAGATAATGGTATTGAGTCTTTCTCCTCAAGAACATGGCATGTCTTTCCATTTGTTCGTATCTTCTTTTGTGTCTTTTAGTAGTTAGTGCTTAGAAGTTTTTTTCATAATGATCTTGTGTATTTCTTATACTGTTATCTTAGTTGTTTTGTCTTTTTCAATGCTATTACATATTAGATTTTCCTTTATCTCCTCTCCTCTCCTCTTCATGGAGTCTTGCTCTTCTTGCCCAGGCTGTGCAATGGTGTGGTCTTGGCTCACTGCAACCTCCACTTCCCAGGTTCAAGCAATTCTCCTGCCTCAGCCTCCCAAGTAGCTGGGGTTACAGGTGTGCACCACCACGCCAGGCTAATTTCATACTTTTAGTAGAGACGGGGTTTCACCATGTTGGCCAGGATGGTTTTGAACTCCTAACCTCAGGAGATCCACTGGCCTCCATTTCCCAAAGTACTGGGATTACGGGTGTGAGCCACCATGCCTGGCCTACATATTGGATTTCTTATTCCATTCTGTTTTATACCTGGTTGTTATTTTTACTTAGGAAAATATATATTTTCCAATCTGTTGTGAAGATTATTATTATCTATTACATTTTAAATCATAACTGCATTTTTACATTTGCAGACATTTATTTAGTTATTAAAGCTCAGCCAGAGCTTTCATCACAGGTTCTGGTCTTTCATTATGGTTTCTATTTATTCTTTTACCTCCTTAATTATGCTAAAAGGTTTGTCTTATAGGGATTTGGGTCTGTTTTTGAAATCTATTCTGTCCCTCATGACACTTCCTTTTCTCGAGTGATTTAACATTTTTAGTTTGAGCTGGGCTACTTTTCCCGCATAGGAGTTCCTTGAATCCCTAATTGTGAAAATATTTCTAGAGAAGTTTTAGGATACTTCTGCAAGAGCCTTAATGTTTTCAATGGTTGTAAATAGATCTATCTTAATGTATTCTCTTTGGGACCCTTACCCTGTGATTAGTGTAGATTGAGACCCTGAGTGCCCTAGATTTGATGTCTCATGAGTTTCTTTTTATCCTCCCTGAGAGCCTCGGACAGATGGAAAACTTTCTCATCCTTTCCCCAGGCTTTTCTAATTCTTTTTTTGTGGAAGCGACAGCTCTTCAACACTCACATGTGTTATGCAGGGGGCTCAGTTTCAGCTGCTTTGCTTATTGCAGGCTGAGGTCAATTCTTTTCCTGTGGGAGTGTTCAAGCGCTGAATGTGCTTGTGTGCCTTGGGCCTATGTCTTCTCTTAAGAATCTGAACATTGACAAAGCTAGACTGTCCAGACAAAAATTAAAATGGATAAGGCCGTAAAACCCATAAATATCAGAAAAGAATAATCATGGGAGCATGGAGAAATTTCTTCTTATAGGAAAACATTAGAGACATAGACTACAGTAAATTTTTCCAAGTGAATGCCCCAGGGTTTTTGTCAATTTGTGCCCTTGCTTTAAGTAAAAGTTGTTACGGTCTGCATTTTCATCTCTCACCTTCATCCCTTTTCGTGTCAGAAGTTAATTATCCCAGTCTATGTAATTATTACCAGCACACAGAGTCTCAGCCTGCAAGAGGTTCAGAATTACATATGGGCTTTTAGCAATTTACACAGTATGGGCTTTGAGCCAATTTGAGAAACACTGAAAGCCATTATCATCTATCTGTAAAATGCCTTGCCCTGTGTTTGCTGCCCTGAGAACAGTGAGCTACAAGAAAGCCACAAAATACTGGTAAAATAATCTGACATGCAGTTCTGGGCTTTTTGTATACCCCTATTTTCTAGCTGCACATCCATTGTGTGATTATTGTGTGCTATATTTTTCTTTTTAGGAAGTCAGGAAAGTTTTTCTTTAGTTCTAGAGAATCACTATCTTATTCCAGCTGCCCTTTTCCTTCAGAGTATTTCTTTGCCATAATCCAATCTTCCCAGCAGACAATTTGATTTTATTCAAAGTCCATGAGTGTCGCATCCATATTGGCTGGAGTAGTCATTGCCGAGTGATGTTAAAGTTTTGTTTTTTTCTCTTTGAGTTCAGGGATTAAAGGTTTGGATTTCATCCAACAGTTGACTTTCTTGAATGTTCTTTCTCTTCTTTCCCTACCCTACTGTAATCTTAGTACTTTCCTACTTTCCCTCTAGTCGGTTTTCATACTCAAAAGTCATCCAAGCCTTTGGAAATACCTTTTTTTCCCTAGCCTTTATAGTCTTTGGTAGAATGCTTCCATCTTTTATATGAACTGCTGTTGGGCCATGAATAAAAGTCTCTTAAATTATTTAAGTCTCTTGACAGTGATAAAAGATAACTTTACACCATCTTTTCACTAGGTAAAAAACAACTGCACTATGCGTTTTTAGAAAATAAACAGTATCACACACCAATCAACAAAGCACTACTGGAAACCTTCAACTTATGATTGACTGGAATAATGAGAGGAGGCTGGGTTTTTGCTGCAATTTCAGACCTCATCATTCCTTACTGTACTCAACTATGCATTTGGCTATAAACCTTAGGAATAAACCATACACCTGATTGTTATGGTATGGAAAGGAACAAGTTAGTTACTCCTGCCTCAAGAATTCTTTGCCTAGAGCAGATGAGCCAAGTCTGTGGCTAGACATAGTGTAAACTGAGATTTGCCACTGGACTCAGAAAACTGTCTTTGGTGTTTCTAAGTTAACACTGTTTTCTCTTAAGAGACATCTCCCATGGAACGGGGCCTCAGATGCAGAGAAACTGTTAAGAAATGAGTGTCTTCCTTTTTAATGATAGGAATTCCAATTTGCACTGTAAGTGACTGCAAAAACAATTTTGTGGGGGCTCTGGACCCTCACTGGGGATGTATTTGGGGGAGAATGTGATGAGGATGGCAAAGTGGTTGCTCATGGCTCCCTGGGCTGCTTACACTGATGTGCTGATTTAATTCAAGGATGTGCTGAAAAGATGCTTCTCTGCTTAGAGCACAGATTCTGAGAGAAGCACCCTTGCAGTCAATAAGAATGAGGAGATACTAGTTTTGAACCACGAACATTTATTTTTCACTAGAGGTTTTCTCAAAGTTTGATAATTAGATTGATGTGGTTGGGCTTAAACCACGGTTCTCTCTCTTTCAAGGCCGATTGAGGAAAATGGTCTACTTGGTTGATGAGAACATTACAGGGTGTGAGTTTACTGACACAGTGGGTCCACATGTTATTTCAGAAGAGATAGGCACTGTGGCTGGGCTGTGGGATAGCAGATAATTGTCCACGAGTAGGGGCAGTTAAGCAGGAAGAGACTTTAAACACTCACTTGCCCCATCTGCTCTATCTTTTGGAGAGCTGTGGGATAATTTGCTAGGCAGTTCTAGGATATAGAACTAGAAATACCATTTGACCCATCAATCCCATTACTAGGTATATACCCAAAGGATTATAAATCATGCTACTTATTATAAAGACACATGCACATATATGTTTATTGTGGTGCTATTCACAATAGCAAAGACTTGGAACCAACCCAAATGTCCATCAATGATAGACTGGATTAAGAAAATGTGGCACATATACTCCATGGAATACTATGCAGCCATAAAAAAGGATGAGTTCATGTCCTTTTCAGGGACATGGATGAAGCTGGAAGCAATCATTCTCAGCAAACTATCACAAGATCAGAAAACCAAACACCACATGTTCTCACTCATAAGTGGGAGTTGAACAGTGAGAACACATGGACACAGGGAGGCGAACATCACACACTGGGGCCTGTTTGGGTAGGGGGCTAGGGGACGGATAATGTTAGGAGAAATGCCTAATGTAGGTGATGGATTGATGGGTGCAGCAAACCACCATGGCACGTGTATACCTATGTAACGAAACTGCATGTTCTGCACAAGTAACCCAGAACTTAAAGTATAATAAAAAAAATTTCTATCAAGAAAGAAAACATATTCTCTTAGCATGGATGGGGACTGTAGTAAAATAATCATTTTACCATACTACATTTCCTAAGGAAACTCTAGTTCTATAAAATCAATGTAACTGTGGCAACCTGACAATCTGAATTCTTTCAGTTTTTCTGTTACTTTGATGCCTGATAGAAGGAATTCAAAAAGCTGTGGTTTTCTTCTATGTCAGGGCTTCTGCTTCATTCAAATAGAATCTGTTTTTAATGCACTTTTTTATAAAGATATAATGATATTATTTGTAGGGCAAAATGTTTAGGAATTTACAGATATATGCATGTTTTCACTAGGGGAAGTTCATTGCTTCAGGAAAAGAATTCTGATTTTCAAGAAATAGTTGCACTGTTAAAATATTACTGTGAAGTACTATATTTGGCTAGCTCCCCACTACCAGCCTTAATTCTAGGCTTCTAGCAACTAAAAACACTTCACAATTTGGCTGCAGGTATTTGGGAAACTTGCTGGCCCTGAAGGTGACATTGCCCCCTTCTCTTATTTATGAGCTTTTTCTATGATACAGAGCCCTTAAATGAAAAGACATAAAGCACCCTTTAGAAACACCAATGAAAACAAAGCCACAGTAGAAGTCAGTTCATGGAAGCATTCCAGCTCACTCACACAGGTTGAACCCGGGTTTCCCCTCACCTTTTTCACCAGTGTGATGGGTCCCTTCAGTCATTTAACAGACCTTCCCTAAGCACTCAGTGCCAACCACTGGCAAGAATACCTTTACCTAACTCTGCATTGACTTTCCTGAGTGCAGCTCACCACCAAATAATCCTGTAGCTTCCCATGTCACCTGTAGTGAGAAATTTTTTGAATTTCTTTTCTGTGAGTATTTCCCTTTTCTCCACTTCTCCTGCAGTAGGGATATGGGTGATACAGGTGAGGTGGGAAAGACGGTATCAGAACTCATGCTGTGTGGGGATATAAAGAATATAAGAATTTAAGCTTCCCTGAGGGCTGTAGTAGAGTTTCTTCAGATTTCACAATGTCTACATTTTGGGAACATGTTTTAAAAAGTGAGACAACATTGGTTTTAATCCATTTCATGTGTTTAGAGTTTTATTGAAATATAATGGAATGACATCTAAGAGCATGTAATTTGGAATCATGCATAACTGTGTTCAAATCTAAGCTTACCAGTTACAATCTATGTGTACTGGGGTAAATTATATAATCTCTCTAAACTTAGTTTTATCATTATAAAATGAGGCTGATAATAATAACAAACTCATAGCATTGTTTTGGAGATTAAATCAATATTAAATGTGTAGCATCTGCCACATAATAGACTCTCAAAAACACTAGTCCCCATTCTCTTGTTTTTTAATATAATAAATCTGTCAGGAAACTTGTATGTCTATACTAAATTCAATTTTGGCATCTCAACTAACATCAGCAACATGTTAAAGTGACAAAAATGAAAGAAATTTAAAAGAAGGGCAATTGAAACAACTGATGTCAAGAATAAGATTCATTTATCCAGATGCGAAGGATAAATGTATTTTGGTATAAACTATGAGGGGAACACACCTCTGCAAACAATGCAAATATAAAAGCATTTTAAATAAAATTTAGTATAATGCATATTTAGTATAATGCAAAATGCTTTTTCAAGGATTTTGAAGTCTTTACCAATGTTTTTATTGCTTTTCAGAAGCACATGAGGAAGATATTTTCTCTAAATTGTAGATGAGAGGAAAAAAGGTACATAGAAACAATGTGATTTGAGCAAATTCACCCAATGAATCAGAGGCAGAGACTAAAATATCCACTCATTTGGCTCTTGCTGGCTGTGTCCAAGCCTTCATTGTTTTGGTTCAGGGGCCTGAATGTATAGGGCCACCTGCCACTATTCAAGAATGTAACAGATACCACCTTGGGACTCCTTCTCAGCATCTGTTAAAGAGGAGGAATTAATCAACCAGTGATCTCCCATTTTCACTGTCCCCATATCCAGCTTAACCTCCATGGCCAGGAGCTGTAGCCTCTCCTTTGCCCTTCATCATACTCTTTTTCCCAAACCACAACTCATGTTAAGTACAACTAACTTCTCCAGGCCAGTACCCATGTGGCTTAAGAAAAATAATCACACTGACTAGTCTCTCTTTAAATTCATGGCCTTGAACCTAAGTTGGGCTCTAAATGCTCCACTGATAATCATACCTTATTCATGTTTGCCATGAATTGGCAAACATTGACAATTCATTCACTCTTTTACTCTACTTGATAACTACTTCACTCTTTGCTCCTCCCTAATCTTCAACACGTTCTTCCCTACCTCCATTTTCACAGGGGAAATTGAAACATTGGAAGAGGGTTTCCATAGCCTCTCATGATATCTACTTTCAAAGCCTTCCAGCACCTATACCCACATACTCTTCCTCCTTACCTATGACCACAGGTGATCTATACCCCTATCTGAGCCACCAAGTCCCATCCTCTTTCACTTTCTCAAGGTGACTCATTTAGCAATTCTACTTTCTGACATTTTAGGGTTTTTGTTGGTTGGTTGGTTGGTTTTTACTGGTCTACTGGGTCATTCCCTTTAGCATTCAAATATGTGGCTTTTATCCCCACTATTATACTCAGACTTCTCTTGTCTGTATCACCAGTGTCTCCCTTGTTGCTAAATTCAGTGGTGAATTCTCATTTCACATCTTACATAATTCTGCAGCAGTTGACACATTGATCTCTCCCTTCTTCTTAGTAAACTTCTACCCTTGTCTTCCAGTACACTATATTCTCTGCTTTTCTTTTATAACACTGGTTATTCTTTCTCAGGTGCCTTTGCTGATCCCTCCTCATTTCCAGACCTCTTAACATGGTCTTCCCATCAGTCCTTGGATGCCATCTCGATCTGCATTCACTCCATCTCATGCAATCTTGTGGTTTCAAGGAACAAGCAAACCAAGAAGGACACCCAAATTTGCATCACCCTATCACACCTCTCTTATTAACTTAAAAGTGATACTTTTGACTGCTTAATTATTCTCTACTTATGTATCTAATAGACATTTCAAATTTAATACATCTAAAACAGAACTCCTGATCCCCTCTTAATAAGCTCTGCTCCCCCCCGTTGTAGGTGATAGCAAATCCATCTTTCCAGCTGTTCAGGTTCAGACCAGAGGAGTCATCATTCACTCTTCTTTCTCTCATATTCCATATCCATTTCATCAGAAAATGCTTTTAGTTCTTTCTTCAATATATCTTTAGAATTCAACCACTTCTCATCACCTTTACTGCTCCTACTGGCCTGGGGCACCATCACCTTCCACCTTGATTACTTCCAGCCTTGTAACATGGATCCCTGCTGCAACCCTATCCCCTCAACCACTGCCCACTCCTTTATTCTCTACTCTCAATATAGCACCCAGAGTGAGCCTTTTAAATGTGTAAGTCATATTATGTCATTTCAATGATAGAAATCTAGAAATATATCCCACTTGAACTAAAACTCAGAGTACTTCCACTGTTCTATAAAGCCCTTCATAGTCTGGCCCCATCTCTCTCTATATATATCCCATTACTCTCCCTCATGTATACTCTACTGCAGCCACACCGGCCCCCTTGCTTCTTCAAATGTGTCAAGCATGCTTCTGTCCTTTGTCTTTCATACATCTTTCAGGAACTTTCTTCCCCCAGATGTGCACATGGCTGATCCATGACTTCATTTAAGTTTTTTTTTAAATTAAATATCCACTTCTCAATGGAGTCTAATCTGATGGTCCTATTTAAAATTGCAATCTGTGCCATCTGCACATTCCTGAGTCCGCTTGCAATACTGGATTGCTTTCTATAGCCCTTATCATGTCTTGATATACAATGCATAATTTGCTTACTTATTATATCTATTATTCCTCTTCTCTATCCTGCCAGAATGTAGACTCCCTGAGGGCTGGAATTTTCATTTGCTCTGTTCACTGATGTATTCCAAGTTTCTGCAATTGTGCCTGGCAAAAAGTGAATGCTCAAAGCACATTTGTTGAATGAATAAATGACTTTAGAGACCTCACTGCCCTAGGGATACAGTTATAGACAGGGGTGACATTAGAGCATTTTGGGATTTATGGTTATATATTCCTAAGCCAAGATGATTCTTTGTTGAAGAAAATCAAGATATTTTATGGGGGAGTTTTGGGGATCCTTGGCCCAGTATAGATTTCATTTGTGGACTCCAAAATTCTCTTTTCCTAAGATTTTATGAAAGTAACCCACGTCTTTATTTAATTTTTAAAAATTATACTTTAGGTTCTAGGGTACATGTGCACAATGTGCAGGTTTGATACATAGGTATACATGTGCTTTGTTGGTTTGCTGCACCCATCAACTCATCATTTACATTAGGTATTTCTCCTAATGCTATCCCTCTCCTAGCCTCCCACCTCCTGACAGGCACTGGTGTGTGATGTTCCCCGCCCTGTGTCCAAGTGATCTCATTGTTCAGTTCCCACCTATGAGTGAGAACATGCGGTGTTTGGTTTTTTGTCCTTGTGATAGTTTGCTTAGAATGATGGTTTCCAGTCATCCATGTCCCTACAAAGGACATGAACTCATTCTTTTTTATGGCTGCGTAGTATTCCATGGTGTATATGTGCCACATTTTCTTAATCCAGTCTATCATTGTTGGACATTTGGGTTGGTTCCAAGTCTTTGCTATTGTGGATAATGCCGCAATAAACATACATGTGCATGTGTCTTTATAGTAGCATGATTTATAATCCTTTGGGTATATACCCAGTAATGGGATTGCTGGGTCAAGTGGTAATTCTAGTTCTAGATCCTTGAAGAATCGTGTCTTCCACAATGGTTGACCTAATTTACAGTCCCACCAACAGTGTAAAAGTGTTCCTATTTCTCCACATCCTCTCCAGCATCTGTTGTTTCCTGACTTTTTTTTTTTTTTTTTTTTTTTTTTTCTTTTTTTTTTTTGAGACGGAGTCTCGTTCTGTCGCCCAGGCTGGAGTGCAGTGGCGGGATCTCGGCTCACTGCAAGCTCCGCCTCCCGGGTTCACGCCATTCTCCTGCCTCAGCCTCCCAAGTAGCTGGGACTACAGGCGCCCGCCACTACGCCCGGCTAATTTTTTGTATTTTTAGTAATGATTGCCATTCTAACTGGTGTGAGATGGTATCTCATTGTGGTTTTGCATTTCCCTGATGATCAGTGATGATGAGCATTTTTTCATGTGTCTGTTGGCTGCATAAATGTCTGCTTTTGAGAAGTGTCTGTTCATATCCTTTAACCCATGTCTTTAGTATCTTACCTGATACATGAATAAATAGAGGAGCAAAGCTGCAGACTTTTTGTAGACGTTGTGGTTTTGTAAAGTGACATGAGTTCTAGAATATATTTAGTAGAGGGCCAGGGAACCAGCTGGGTCTCCTCTGTGGCCAGCTTGGACCTAATGGCCACATAGTATATACTGGGGCATTGGAAATCTACTGGAGGATGCAATGATTTTTAAATAATTCATGTTGAGGTGTAAACAACACAAATTTGAAGTCAGGAAGTTGTAGGATCAGGTCAGAGCTTGGACTTAATTTCTCCAAGCTTCTCTTTCCTTCAACTGTAAGCCATTGTGAGGCTCAAGTGAGATACTATGTGTAAAGTTCCTAGCCCAGGGCGGGAACAGAGCAGGACCACTAAGGGTGTTTTTTTTTTCCCTAGGCAAGAATCATCTGCATTAACTTCTATTGTATAATTCCCTGGGTATCACAAAGGAATTTAACTTGCCTCAGTGCATGATTGTACACTAAGAAGATTAATTTATAAATTGGAAGAAATGGAACGAAGGCCTTCTTGCCTCTCTTTTACAAACTGAATGCTTCAGATTTACAACAGATGTTATAAGACTATAGGAACTTTCCAGGGAATATCAATAAAAGGATCATGAATCATCAATTCTGGAGATGAAAATAACACAGTAGCTATTTAAATTTCTACTAAGAATATGTGATTATGAATACTTATTGAGAATCTACTGTGAGCAGGCATTAGGTGCTTTGTAGAACTGACCTTAGAAGAGATGAGACTTGTGGATTCCAGAACTACTAAATTGCTGGCTTAAACGTTATATGCCTTCCTAGTACTGGGCAAAATATTTCTATTAAGACTGCTAAAGGGCTTCTGAGGGACTTCTAAGAGACTGTTAGTACACTTCAGAGGATCCTGTTAGGAAGCTTTTAGGGGAGTTGTGCAAATGCATAGTCAGCTTAAAGCTGTTAGATGCATTAATTAATGCCAATTATTCTCATGTGGTAGCCATAGCTTCAGTTGAGAATGACTGTACCACATCTGTTTCCTTCAGGCAGGCACAGCTTTAGTCTTCATTTGAGGGAGTGTGTAGGAGATCTAGCATTAAAAAACCCTTAGGAATGCTAAGAAATTAGATTTCTCCAAAGCCGTATAAAAATCATCTACCCATTCAGTGCTACAATTACTTCACCTATGAAACAGAAATAGTAACAATGAAAATAAAAATTATTTTTCCTGGAACTTCTAATTGAAGTTCCCCAAAATGGAAGTGGGCTGAAATTGATTATGGAAATTGTAATGCAACTCAATGACTGAGGAAGCTCCATTTCATTATAAGGCTAAATATAGATTAAGCCAGTACTTGTTCCTGTTTGCCTGAAGTTACTGCTGCCTATACCTGGAAGGTAACACTCCAATAGCAAGTATGACTAATACCAGGTTTAAATTGAGTTTGTCTCATCTTCCAAAATGAGTTATTTTCAGCTATTCAGAAAAATATGCAAATAACTACCTCTAATGGTGCAAAACCAGTTTAGACTATTGACTTTAATTTATTTAAAATATGTAATAGCAACTAAACTGCTGATTTCTGAGTATTAACTGGACATAAATACATAAATTTATGATATACTTTAAATAGGCAGTAATAATGAAGGATATAATTTGGTATGCCTTCATCAACAGCTAAGTGAAAAATCACAATACAAAATTGAAAATAAAAAAATCTCAATTATGTAAACATATTTACATTCATCACATTTTCTTTACATGTATGTATAAGAAAATATTGGAAGTAAGCACAGAAAATCTTAGCAGTGGTCATCTCTAGGTGATGGACTTATTGATGTATTTTTTTCTGTCTTTTTCTTACTATTTTCAGTGCTTTCTAGGTGCTGGTGAAATCTATTAGTCTTATAGTATTAGAAAAAAGTCATTAAAATTGTGCTTGAATATGGTACTTCACACAGAGCAGGAGCAGAGTACAGTAAGTGCTGAGTGAACAAATGGATCCATCAGAAAAGCTGACAAGCTTTACCAACTCTCTGGCAGCTTTGTCCATCTTTCTTGTAGGATGATAATAAAATGTCACATTATGGAGGTTTCATCACAAAATAAATGATAGCATATTATAAATCACTACCATAAATAATAAGCATGGACTAATCAAGTCCCTTTTGTGATGAGACAGCTCTAATTGCTTTTAATTGCATGCTTTCACTTATAGTACTTGCTAATTCTTAAATTTGTAATCTCCAGTGTTCTCTTAGTCATTAGTATAAATTAGCAATGTTGTACTCTAGGCAAATCAGTTGGCTGAAAAAGTCAGTTATGTGGAAAATACTGTAAATAAACTTTTTCAAATCAATTAAACAATTTGGGTGTGATACCCCAGGCTTTAAGGAACAAGTAATTGACTAAAGCAGTTAAAAACCCCTGGGTCCAATCCAGAAAACCTTACACAGATAAAATTCCCACTTTCTTCAGCACTAATCTTGCACAACCAGGAATATCAGAATGAGTCCAGAGGTGAAATTCCACGTGGAAAAGAGAAGAGGGTTATGGGTAGTATTACTGACTGCTACATGCACTATCATAATTCTTAGTCCCAAAATAACTATGGCATTAAAATATAAAATACAATGAAAGGCATGCCCTTCAGTGTTTCCCAAGCTGTGTTCTACTGATATCTACTCTCTCAAGATGCTTTATTGGTTACAAATGGAGGCTTATGATTTTGGTAAATTTTACATTATACATATATATGTAGGTATCATGTGTATATTTATTTCAAAGGGTTTTAGAGACAGTAAGATATTAAAAGGCTGAACACATGTGCAGTAAAGAAATATTTTTAATTAGTTTATTCCAGAGAGTAATCCCACTTGAAAATGGAACTTTATTTTGTTTTACTTTTTTAACTTAACATCTACTAATAGTCCACAGAGTTTCATTCCATGGAAGAGACTCAAAAACAAAAATGTATTAAAACAATATTCTGAACATGGGACTTGTTGGATATGGTGCATATGTAATTTGGAGGTAAATTCTATAGTTCTCACATTACTCTCTAGTGAGTAGTTGTGGTACAATGCAAAACATATATTTGGTCTTTGTCCCTGGTTCCTGGTGCACAGCTGGAGTATCTTTTGTGGGTTGATGAGATGATTGGTGGCTGGGGTCTTTAGCTGGTTTCTTTCTGGTGACCAGGATAGGAGCTGGTCACCAGAAAGACCATGTAATTAGAAGGTTGGAACTTCCAGCATGACCTCCTGACCTCTGGTATAACGAGAGCAACCACAGATTGAGTTCAATCACCAATGGTGAATGATTTAATCAATCATGCCTATGTAATGAAACCTCCATGAAAACTACTAAACAGTGGAGTCCAGAGAGCTTCTAGATTGGTGAACACATGGAGGTTCTGGGAGGGTGGTGGCATTCTAGGAGAGGGCATGGAAGCTCTGCACCATCCTGCCTTCCACTCCCAAATATCGTCCTTTGCACCTTATTCATTTGGTTGTTCCTGAGTTGTATCTTTTATTAAAAAACTGCTAATAGTAAGTAAACAATTTTTCTGAGTTCTGTGAGCTGTTTGAGCAAAAACACTGAGCCCCAAGTGGGTGGTTCATGGGAATCTCCAATGTGTAGCCAAGTCAGACAGAAGTATGGAAGTGTGAAAACCTGGGGACCCAATGTTGTGACTAGCATCTGAAGTGGGGGCACTCTTGTTGGGCTAAGCCCTTAAACCTGTGTAGTCTCACACTAGCTCCAGGTAGCTAGTATCAAGATTGAATTGAATTGTAGGACACCCAGTTAGTTTCTAGATAGCTGGAGAATTGGTTGGTGTGAGGAAACTTACATAGTAGTGTTGCAAATAGATAGTCTGTTTGTTTTTGTTTTTTTTGAGGAGGAGTCTTGCTTTGTCACCCAGGCTGGAGTAGGGTGGCATGAGCTCCACTCACTGCAACCTCGGTCTTCTGGGCTCAAGCAATTCTCCTGCCTCAGCCTCCGGAGTAGCTGGGATTACAGGCACCCACCACCACACCTGACTAATTTTTGTATTTTTAGTAGAGACGGGGTTTCACCATTTTGGCCAGGCTGGTCTGGAACTCCTGACCTCAAGTGATCCACCTGCCTCAATCTCCCAAAGTGCTGGGATTACAGGCGTGAGCTACCGCGCCTGGCCGAAAACAATTATTTTGAGCCACAAATGTGAATAAGTTTTGACTTTCAATCCTGTATCATTGGAATGTGATCTGGGGGATGGTGGGGCAGGGCTGGTGTCTAAGTCCAAGTCTCATTTAGGTCCATTGATCCACTGTCCTCTTATTCTTTCTCAAAAGTCTGACAAATTTCTCTGCATAGTCCTCATTGCTCTACTGTAACATTCTTTTTGGGCCTTGTGGCCACTCTGTATATGTAGGAAACAAAAGTAAATCTCGCTCCAGAATTCTCCTCTATAAAAGGTCACAAAACTGTAGTTTAGGGGCACATCTTAAGGCTTTAGGGCATGTGTTGAAACCTTGGCTTGATTATATTTGCTTTTTAATGTTACAGGGATTTTCCATGTGTGGCTTGCACACGTTGATTTACACTAAGCAGACTGAACAAATACTGGAAAATATAGCAAATCTACAGAATAGGAGTGCTCCGAGGTAAAGAAAAAAAAAGAGTAATGCTTGGAAAGATATTGAATTAGAAACGGAGTTCCTGCTACTCTTACCATAATTTGTATGTTAAATTCCTCCAGTGATAAAAACCCTCATTAGTTCTTTCTAACCAACAGAAACAGAAATTTGTGCCAGAAAGAATAGAGAGATTAATTGAAGATCTTGCCTGCTGTTGGCCTATGAACTGCTAGAATGACTTTCTGTGCCCCTTTTTAAAAACATGAATCTTTAAAATCTTTAATGTTAAATTTCATATTAAATTAACAGTATTCACATGAACTTTAAAGGAGAAGTATTTACACTTTTTATTTCCTGAGGCAGTTGGTTGGGGTTTTTTTATGTGTTCAGTAGTGTCTCTGTCCCAAAGGTGTATGCTCACACTTGATTTATTTTTTCAATAAAATATTAGTGTATGAACTGATGCCTGTTATTTGTTTTTAGTGTCAGGGCATCAGGGCATCACCTCCTTCCTGAGGCATTTCACCTGTCTTTGTTAATTATTTTTTCACTCTGGGATTTTTTTACCCAGAGTATGTTAATTCCTTCTTTTTTTTTGTCATGGTTGTGTTAAGCATTATTTTCTTTGTTTAAGGTGACTCAGGAATCTACTCTTTATTGATTACTCTAGGGAGGTGGGTAAAATATTTGAATCTGAAAGCACTTTAGAGAACACATCTCAATCATATACAAATATCTGATATTTAGGGAAGATCAAATGTCATAGAATGGCTAGCCAAAAGTTGCTTTATGTCCTTGTTGCCTAATAAATCAGAACTGAGACATGAATCTTATTTCTTAGTCTGAAGAATTTGCCGCATATTCCTATCAGAACTTTAAACAAAAGAGGAATATTTACAGTTACCAAATACTAAATAGGTTTTCAAAAAAATTAAAATAAGACCAAGGTAAACCTCTTCACATTTTAAAAATTAGAAAAAGTTGAATTCAGCAATAGAGTGATATTCTTTTGTTATCTGTCTAGATCAGTGGTTCTTAGTGGGCAATATTCCCCCTGCAGAACATCTGGGAGTGGAGGGGAGTGGCGTTTTCTGCAGAGGCATGTTCAGTTGTCATATCTGGGGCCATGTTGCTACTGGCCTCCAATGCATAGAGGCCACAGGTACTGTTAAACATCCAACAATGCACAGGACAGTACCCCACAACAAAGAATTATCTGTCCCAAAATGTCAGTCATATTGAAAATGAGAAACCCTGGTGTAGATGAGTGGCTCTCATAGTGTGATGCCCAGACCAGCAGCATCAGTATCTCCTGGTACTTAGACGTGTACAGTGTTGGGTCTCAACTTGGGCCTCTTAATCAGAGTGGGCTCCAGCATTTGTGTTTCGTTGATTACTCTAGGTGATTCTGAAGCATGTATGTTTGAAAACCACTGAAACAAATATTTAAATCTTCTTTTTCAGTCACTTTAAAAAATATGAATTCTTACTTTCTACTCAACCTTTTTCTTTGAGCAGTGGCTGATGTTTGAAATGGAGCCTATTTACAAGCTCCAACTTCTTCTACCCACAAGAACATTCTTGGGTAAGGGCCTCTCTCCAGTCCTCTGGCCCAAAGAAGTCCCCTTGCCAGGAACAATCTGTGTTCTCTTCTGTTGTGTTGTTGTAAGAGATCGACAGTAGTCAACCCTATGCTTTGGTCTATCACAATTAGTCTATCCCATGAATTTATATAAAGCTGTAGCTTGTCCTGCAAAAAGTCAGAGCTGGTAGTTGGAAGTTTATGCAGCTGCTCCGTATGTTGCATCAAAGGGCTTTTGAAGTTAGCAGCCTGAGTTCTTTCTAGCTTTGAACCCATTAGTTTCATTTACAGTCCTGTAATTTGGGGCTGTAGTTTGTAGTCTGCTCTCAAATCTCACACTTACTAAATCAGTTATACTTGGGGGTTAGCTCAAACTAAAATCTGCACTGGCTTACAGTGCATATCTTAAGCCATGATGACTTGACATGGATTTCTTCATATATGAAAAAGTATACCACATTTTCTTGCCCATCTGTAGTACAGAAAATGGAACATCTAGAATTGTGAGGTAAGGAGATGAAATTTGTCATTGATGGCTTTTAGTAACTTGAGGAGGAACTGAATCCTTAAAAATACTAGACAGGAAACTTGTGGTTTGCCAGCCCATCTTTTTTTCCACCATGTATTTAAACTCTTGTATCAATGTAGGAAAAGACAGTTCTTGTATGAGTTTTTACAATAGAGTGGAGGAATGCAAATCTTATAATCAAGAACTCAGTCTTCATTATTCGCCTGCAAATCATACAATAAAATAAATCAGACAGACATGGCCAAATGTTCTTACTCAATTAATCTGGAAATATGTTATTCATCTGTTGTGGCCTGCTATTGCAGCTGAGAGTTTTGCTTCTCTTCCGCTCTATTGAGGGTTGCTGGCAAGTGGCGCTGCCAAGGGCTTGAAAACCTGAACACAAAGTAATTGTTTTGAATCCGGAGGAGAGGTGAACCATGTTACCACCTGTAGTTTCCTTTCTGAATCGCCCCTTCATTTCTGTGAGAGTTGGAGACTTCCACTGAGTCAGTATGAAAAATACTTTACATTATGCTGTCAGGAAATAATGCCTGCTCATAAGACTTTAGATAAAGTAATAGTCACAGGGCTGCAATGAAGGAAACATCCCCAAATTGGAGATAAACCTGTGTTCCAACTAGTCACATAGTCTCTTCATGTCTCATTCAGTGTCATTCTTCCAGAATTAAGAGGTAATTATGCTCTTCATGATCCTAGACACTTTTTCTTTTCTTGATGGCGAGAAACAACAAGGATCTGAATTTAATTGGTCTGCTTTTACCTCGTTTATTGACATAAATTTTTTTTTTAATAGTAGGCAGTTATGGTTTTTTTTTTCACCTTAGAAAATAGCCCTGGTGAAAAATAGACACTGTGGACTACTAGAGAGTCTAGAGGAAGTGGGTTAAAAAACTACCTATGGGATACTGTGCTCACTACCTGGGTTATGGGATTTGTACTCCAAACCTCAGCGTTACAAAATGTTCCCATGTAACAAATCTGCAATATACTCCCTGTATCTACAATAAAAATTGAAATAAAAAAATATAGCCCTAATGTGGACTCTTATGCTTTGGGATGACATAACCTGTTTTGGTTCCTTAAAATGTAGCTGAAATTCAGTAGGCTGCTTGGTTCCTTAAAGGTGATCAATAAAATACATGCAGACAATTTTCTTCAGAACAGTTATCACCCACTGAACAGGCAATTTAGTGATGACATTAATCCAGTGGGCTTGTTTTTGGTGTGTGTGGGGAGAAAACAATTTTTAATACTCTAAATCTGTGTTTTTTTGGGAACAGGATTAGAGTGGTTGATGATAGTCCTTATTTGTGTGTGTGTGTGTGTGTGTGTGTGTGTGTGTCCTTGAAGGCAGTAGACAGTTCTGAGGATGCTAGGGAATAAAGGAAGTAATAGGTGGTTTTCTTTTTCTTTCTTTTTTTCTTTTTTTTTTTTTTTTTTGCAGCTTCCAAGTCTTTTTATTTAGAATTTTGTGTTTGTTTCCTGAATCAATAGATACTATACAAAACAATGTAAAAAATGGCTACTATTTTCTCTCCCCAGCTTCCCCGGACCTGGGGACTCAATCCCCTGGGCAAACTCACTCCGGGGTTTTAGGGGTTCTCCCTCTAGATTTGGTCCAGCAAGTGAGGCTGAGTGACATAGTCCCTTGAATCACTTTCAAAGGAGCTCAGCTGAGGTGAAGAAAGCCTCTGGGATCTGGAGGTTACTAGGTTAGGGAAATGGATTAGTATTTTTTTGGGAGAAGAGCCAGTGCCTGGGGCAAGAGCCTACCCTAAAGAAAGGGTATCTAAAATGTTCACGGTTCCTTCTTTTGCCTCAAAAAGTGACATTTATTCAAAGAAAAAAAATGACAAGATGTCCATCCCTTGGCTCCCTTCCCTCCCGCCTCCTGCAGCTCCTCTGACCCCCAAGATTGAACCCTGGCTGGGGCTAGGTAGCAGGACAGCCCCTCAGATGAGGTCAGCAACATTGAGGGGGATTTCCTCAGTGAAGGTATGGAGGTATTGTAGAAAATCTCTATGTCTTGAAGAGTCCTCTTGTCTTCTTCTGTCACCACGTTAATAGCCACACCCTTACGGCCAAACCGTCCACTTCAAACAGTTCTACGGGTATAGTTTTCTCTGTTGGTCGGAAGGTCATAGTTGATGACTAAAGAAACCTGCTGCACATCAATGCCTCTGGCCTATGTCAAGAAAGACAACTCTTCAGCATGTGCACCAGAGGACAATCTATCCCGAAGGGAAGACACTTAGGTATCTATGTAGGCAGCCAAGGAAGGCAGAGGAAATAAGCATCCCTGTTCCTCAAAGACCTTAGGCATGCCAGATTCTATTCCAAGTTGCTACTTTCCTGAGAGGGGCACTAGATGTCCCCTTGGAGAGGGAATCGCCTTGGATAGGAATATGTGTTTTAAAGCAAGAAAGAATGAAATCAGTTAGGTGAATCCTCTGGGCATTTATCAAATGATTTTAAAAGTCAATCTTGTCTTTTTGGAGTCCCTGAATTAAACACTTTATTGTCAGGCAAGGGCATGAAGGCCATGGGAATCACCATGTTGGGTGGACCCAGTTTCTAATGGCCTGCATTTGCATATCAAAGTTTGCCTACCTGGCTCTCAACATATCTCCCCACATATCTCCACATGTGTAGAACATCCAGGGCACCCTGCATTTGCATATTAAAAGGCTACAGTGGGAGAGCCAGCTTTTTTGCAGCTATGTCAATGACATGCCTGGTCAAACCAATCCCCTGAGCCCTATGCAAACCAGACATTGCCTCATCCAGCCTCTGCATATATACCTAGCTGGTATCTGCATCAGGTGAGGACTTCCTCTTTCGGCTTTGGAGCCCCTCTCCCTCTCTCTGTACAGGGAAACTTCTTCCTTCTCTCTTCTCCCTTCCTTCTTGCCTATTAAACTCTCTGTTCCTTAAAACCAAAAAAATAAAAAATAAATAAATAAACACTTTATTGTCTTTAAGTCATCAATCATTTCTCAATTCAAATGCTAATTACTTTTCAAACAGACCCTTTCTGAAAGAGTTAACTCTGCCACTATTATGATTATGAGAGAATTCATGGTTCTGTTTCATGGGTACAGGCAAGTAGAAGACACATTAATGTACCAGCATACAAGTTATTTTCTACTCCTAAGAGCTCTAGGAAGAAATAGAAGGAATACGAGGCACATCTCTTTCTTTGTTAATGGTTTTATACAGTGTCTGTTACCTTGCAAGAACTCAATAGTTTATATCTTGAACAGATGAGCATGCAAACAAACATGAATTTGGTCTCCACTAGAAATACTGCAATGGTTACCAAGGGCCAATAGAAACAAAAGGTGCTTTTACTGATTACTTAAGCCATTTATTTATCTTACAATGAAATTTTACATAATTTACTTCAGGTACCATATGAAAAGGGAATTTCAAAATTGTCTTATTTAACCCTGTTATTCACCCCAAACAGGACAACTTAGCTCACACTAATGTATGTTTGTTCTTCAGTAAGTTGTTGTTTTTTTTGAGACAGTCTCAATCTGTCACCCAGACTGGAGTGCAGTGGCACGATCTCAGCTCACTGCAACCTCCCACTCCTGGGTTCAAGGGATTCTCTTGCCTCAGCCTCCCAAGTAGCTGGGACTATAGGCGCGTGTCACCACACCTGGCTAATTTTTGTATTTTTGGTAGAGATGGGGTTTCACCATGTTGGCTAGGCTGGTCTTGAACTCCTGGCCTCAAGTGATCTGCCCCCCACCCTTGGTGTCCCAAAGTGCTGGGATTGCAGGTGTGAGCCACAGCATCTATCCAATAATAGGTTTATGTAAGATCAGATGAACTTAAGATTACTCTAATTCTAGGCTATTTCTAGACTGTTGCTTAAGTAGATAGATGGGTAGTTTCCCAGGTTAGATGCTGGAATGCTTGTGGTGGGCACATTTTAATTCAATATTTGGGAGGAAAACGTGAGAGTAAACACACATCCTGACAGCCAAGAGAGCTGGTACTGGAAGGAATAAATGTTACCCAAAACTTCTAAATTCTGGACTGCTACTTTTACATCTTTATCTCTCCATACATTTCTCTCCCCTTGAATGGGTCTCTTCATCATCCTTTTTAAACCTAAACATCTACTCTCTATTTGTTTGTAGGCATTTAGATTGTTTATCTTTCTAAATCAACTGACCTATTTCCTCACATGGTGGATACTTCTAAGAGCTAGAGAAATAGATGACTTGGCAAAATTTGAGACTGGGATTTTTAAAAGGTTTGCCAGATCAATGTTCCAGATCAATTTTAACTCCTTATCTTGCTGAACTTGGACCTGTTGCCATTCTTCTTAGAGGGAGAGGAACTAATGTGTAGTGCTTAAATTCATAGACTCAGTGCTTGAGTTTGAATCACACGCATTTTCTAGCTGTGTGAGCTTAGGCAAGTAACTTAACTTTTCTGTGTCTTTTCAGTTTCTAAGCAGAATTTTGTAAAATGGAGTTCATAATAGTACCCATATCAGTGGATAGAAGATTGTATTAAATAGGTCAATTTGTGTAATACTTTTAGAACAGTCTCTGGCATACCGTAAACACTCAAAAAGTGTTAGCTACTTTTTATTGTCCTGTGTCTGTATCCCTGTAGCCTTAAAGGAAAACGTGCTCCTTGTGGCAGCCAGGACTCCCTCTCATGGCATTGTAAGTTTCTAGCAGGGCAGGAGAGAAGGGGAGCCTAAACACACACTCACTTGGGTGTACTTTGAGGTGAGGAAACTCTAGTGGACCCTTTTCACTTTTTTATTTTCCCATTCCCATAGCGATGACTAGCAAATTTCTAGGAAAAGTAAAAATAATTTTTCATCAGTACAATTTGATATTTTTATTTGGTCTAATCCATTTTAAAAAATGGCTGAAAGTAAGATAATGCGCAACAGATAGAGTTTTACTTTTCTCACAACCTAGGGAATCTAGAGTATTGGTTCAGTGGCTCAGGGGTGTCAGCACTTTGACTCTGAGATTCTTGTGGCCTTTTCCTCATGTTTGTTGCCTCTTTGTCTGTTTCCTTCTGCCTGAGAAAACAAAAGCTTACTCAGAACTACCCCTCCCACCTCCCTCCCTCCCCTCATACCCAAGAACTTTCTGCTAAAGTTCTCATTGGCTAGAAATGGGGCATCTGCAAACCCCAACTGCAAGGGAGCTTGGGAAAGTGGTGAATAGAGTACTCAGAATTGGTCTAAACAGATCATGCTCTTTTGCTTGGAACTGGGCACTGACTCTGAGCATTCTCAGGCATCTGTTTTCAAATAAAATGTGGGGAGGGATGGGCATTAGCCAGACCATTAGCAATGTCTTCTATAGTAGCTTTCATACTGGTTAATCTTGCCTGTCTCAGTGGTAAGCGCTTTTACTTGAATTATCTTCATTATTAATAAACAATAGTATAAATAGGTACCCCTTTTTACAGTGCAGAAAAATGAGGCAGCTAATAGGTGGTGAAGATGGGATTCAGGCTAAGGCCATCTGATGTCACGCTAGTGCTAACCCCCACCTGTCCATGCAATTATATTAGAGCTAGAGGCAAAGTGATTACCTGACCCCTCCTTGAGAAAATGAAATGTGATTTGTCAGGCTATTACTAGAGAGAAGAATCTCTGGAGTCTTTTATATGAGAATCCTGAACATTGAACTACGTGTCATGGCAAGTGACCCAGAATCTCTGAGAAGCACAGCCTCCCTTCTGAGCCCCTAGGTATATTCCTCTCTGTCCTCATTTGAGGAACTCTATTTTGATCTCTTTTATCCTTCTGCCTGGGATCTCTTTCTCTGTCAATTTATGGCAAGTTCCAGTAAAATATAACTCCTACAGTGTGGGTGACCCTGTACATTCTTTGACTTGTGAGAATTACCCTTATGTAATGAAATCTTTTCAAGAAACACTCACATACAATCAGCGTGCCTCCTTTCGGTGTAGGGAGGAGCACAAGGTTCACCAAGGATGTGGTCACATATTTTCCACTCTGATTGCACTTACACCTGGTTTGAGGCCTAATTATGCCATCAGCTCTGGCCCAGATGTCTGGCTGTGCAGCTGCAGGGAGAGTTGGTGCTGGGCTCACTTACAGGGAATTTAGTGGACTTTCACAGAGAATATCAAGGAGCTCCTTGTTTAGACTAGAGAAATGCTAGGGCTTCTGTTTTATTTTCACTCTTTTTTTGGCAGCGGCAGGCCTGGGTATACATTGGGGTAAGCAAAGTAAAGTATGATGCTCTAGCACCTGGCAGTTTGTAATGGGGAAGAAGACACTTTTCCTTGTAATGTCTCCCCTCCTCCACCAAAACATATTTCTAACAGTGGTTTTTCTCCTTTCCAATCTTCAGCCCAGAAGTGAAAAGCCATTCTGTATACTGGACAAGTTATTAACACTTCAATGTAAGGATTATCTGGTCTACTCATAAATTCTCAGAATCTGGGAAAGTGTCAGGGCAGCTATGGAGACTTTAGTACCTACCTCTAGAGCAGGGGGGTCAGCAGTGTTTTCTTGTAAAGGGCCAGATAGTAAACATTTTGAACTTGCTGGTCATATGCTTTCTGTTGACTCTATGGTTGTAACTCAAATGCACTCATAACAATCTGTAAATGAATGAGCATGGCTGTGTTCACTTGTGAACTTTGAAATTTGAATTTCACATAATTTTCAAATGTCGTAAAATATTCTTCTTCTTTTTTTCTCAACCATTTGAAAATGAAAAAAAAACATTTTTATCTCATGGTTCATACAGAAACAGGCAGTGGGTTCTACTTGGCCTATGGGCTGCAGCAGCTTGTTGACCCCTGTTCTAAATGACCTCTATCTAACAGAAACTTCTGTGATGGTTGAAACGTTCTATAATATTGAGCACTTGAAATGTAGCAATTCAATGGAGGAACTGCATTTTGAATTTTAATTAATTGGATTGTAAATTTAATTTTAAATAGCCACCTGTGACTAGTGGCTGCCTTATTGAATAGACCTAGAGATCTTCTATTTATCTGACCAAGATTTAAAACTTCCAATTTTTGTGTCTTTAGGTCAGAATTTTAAATTCCTGGAAGAAAAAATGTGGCTGGCCTAGTTAGGGCAAAAATCACAGACAGTTGTCTTCAGGAGCCCTATTACTGGTTGGGTCAAGTGGGATTTCCTGCAGAACAGAGCCTGCATATACAACCTGATGGAGGTTTGCTACAATTTTCCTGAAGTCTTTGAATTTTAAAAAGAGGTCCCTAATGGAAAGCAAGGAAATGACTCCAAGATGATATATGGTTGGTAGAATCAGAGTATGAGAAACATTTTGTTGCTATGCATTTTAGCACTCTTCAATTCATATTGTGATGTTGACTTGAATAACTCTGGGCCTGTCAGATAATATAATTGGCCCTTTAAAATATGCTGTATGTGTAGCCAATTAACAAGCCTTTTTTTTTATTTTTATTTTTTTTGACAGCGTCTCGCTTTGTCACCCAGGCTGGAGTGCAGTGGCCCAATCTCGGCTCACTGTAACCTCTGCCTCTTGGGTTCCAGTGATTTTCATGCCTCAGCCTCCTGAGTAGCTGAGATTAGAGGCATGTGCCACCAAAATCGGCTAATTGTTGTAATTTTAGTAGAGACATGGTTTTGCCCTGTTGGCCAGCCTGGTCTGGAACTCCTGGCTTCAAGTAATCTGCCCCCCTCAGCCTCCCAAAGTGATGGGATTACAGGTGTGAGCCACCCTGTCCAGGCAACAAGCATTGCTGAGCATCTACTATGTTTTAGGCACAGTGCTAAGTGCCTTCACAAATTGTTTCAGATTTATTCTTCATCTCATGAAAATTCTTATATACAATGCTGTTTCGTGAAGAACTAAAATGAAATTGAATGCCCTCATCATGAAAATGATTATTATTCTGTTACAGAGATACTTCGAGACGATATTGTGGAAAATAAAAGACTTTAATCTTACATTTATGTTCAGCGTCTTGGCCTAACAAATTGATGGCATGATTGCCAGTTTAAGCTCCCAATCATTCTTAAGGTCTATTGGAAACCCCATACCAATAGTTTCTTTGGAAACGTCCTTGTTTGTGTGATGGGCATGTGGGGGTGGCGACAGTAATTTAGAATGAGAGATAAAGCAAGATCTGACTGACAGGTGACATTTCATCAGAGATTTAAATGGTAGGAAGGTGCAAGTTGGAAGATTTTGGAGCAGAGATTTCCAGGAACAGTGACAGTAAGGATACTACCTCAGAAGTTAGCTCCTTTGTTAGAAGAAGGAAAGGTGGTCAGAAGGATCTGAAGCATAATGTGGCAGGAGGGCACCAAGAGGTAAATTCTGGAGATAGCTAGTCATTGGTTAGATTATGAAAGAAGGCATGTTAAACACTTAACACAGACCCGGGAAGGTACTAACATTAGCACATAATAAACAAAATTACATCACTGAGTTTGAAGAGTCAGAACTGTTTCCATATGGCTGAGTTGAAGGTTAGGAATTAGCCAAATGGACATGCATCTAATTGAAATAGAAAATAGGTTTATGGAATTATGTCTCAAGTTTCCCTCAAGGTATCACAGACAAAATAATTTGGGATGAAAGGCCTCATAGTAAGCCCAGCAAGGGCACAGGGCTGTCCATAACCCACTGAACATGGGTGAGTTGGATCTCTTTTGGTCTTCTATAGGGATTTTTTAAAAAATCTCAAAATGCTGATAAATTAAAGGATTCAATAACCAAGAAACACTAGCATTTCAAATCATAGAAGATGTAGAGCTAAGATATCTACATATAAGCGATTTGTTCTCAACAGAAATAAAGAAAACTTATAAGAACTTAGTAGGACAAGAACAAAACAGATCAAAACAAATTAACCAAGCTATTAAATCTCCAGAGCCCCAAAGAAGCTGTATGTTCAATGTAATCTGCAGTCTAGTTGCTTGAGTGCTGGAGCCTGGCACAGCAACTAAGGTTTAGAGTCACAATTTGTGAAGGTGCTACAGCAGTAGGGTTTTAAATTTCAATGAATGAAGGCAGAAACAGGATTCCATTAATATGACTCATTTGCTTTGTTAGAAATGTGTAGAAATATATTTGTGAACAGGAAGTAGCAAGGTAGTCTTTTCCATGGAAAACATGCAAACCATTTTGAACATATTTACTTATTATAGAAAAGTGGAAATGACAATTGCTGCTGCAAATGCAGGCACAATTGACACAATGTAGACAGAACGTTATCCTGATGAACCTGTGCAATGCATCAATCCATCATACAGGCCATTTGCATAAGGTATCTGCCCAGATTTCGAGCATTGGCACAAAGTTTATGTGAGATCACTATCAAATGTATTTCACATGATGTAGTAGTAAGAATATTAATGAGGATTGTGCAGTTATGAATTTGCACAAGCATAGCAAATGAAAACACTTTGAGTGCAAATAGGTTTAGTTCATTATCGGCATCAATATTATTAGAAATAAACTTTACACAGTACAGACTTGCTCTTATAAAATATTTACTTATGAAAAATTTGTATTGCTACTGGTAACAGTGCCTTAGTAGTATATAATACAGATAATTCTTCTAATACATGGAAGAGCTTATCAAACTGAAAATAAAAGACTTTCTTATGGTTACTTAAGGAAAGAAATGACAGCAAGTATATATTTGCCAAGAACTTTGGTTGAATCTAAAGCATAAGAATGATCAGGTTTTAAGTTGTTCATGAGGTTTTAGCTGGTTTTTATATCTGATTCATCACAACCATTCTGTTTTACTTTAACCATAATAGCAGTTTCTCAACGACACTAAGAAGAACATAAAAGTAGTGAGGACAAGGGTTACCAGGGCAGTGATACAGAGCTGGGGTGTGGGTATGGGGAGAGGTGTGGCATTCATTTTCCATCTCCATTATATCCTTTTATTTCAGAGATACAATTAGACATAAAAAATAAACCACTGTAGTTACTTCAAGCACAAATGGTGACTATGACCAAGGGTATAAAATGATTTCATTGCATAAATATTATCATTCTTTCTTTAGAAGGAATACTTTCACTGTACCTGCTTTGCTTTAAAATTTCTTGGAAGTTTTAAAATAAAACAAACAAAAAGCTTTCCTCTGTTGACAGCAAGTGGTTGAATCTTACTTCAGTTCTGCTGCTTCTAATGAAGTTGTATCTTAGTTCTTTGCAGCTGACTGGTCTCCAGCCAGTCCCCTCTTCCCTAGATGGTATAGCTTCAAAGGCCCACTTCTGGCATTGCAATATTGGTCCAGCTTTGCTGACCTCCCATCAGATAAACTTGGCCTTTTCAATCTCAAGGGGTAAGCCTAGTTCTCACATATCTCTGATTCCCAAAGGCAAGCTAGCGCTGAAAAATTATTTTTTGCCATGTGGCAAAATGAAGTCATCAGTAGAAATATGTTTTAATCTTTTTTAAAAGTTGGCTTATTTGAGTATAAAATAACTTGATTTTAGAAAACACACTCTTCCTTTTCACAATTTTGGTTCATTCTTTTAGCATGATTTACATAAAACTAGAAGCATTAGGGTTGAAGATACACCTTGATAAATGAATTACGATTAAAATATCTGTCCAAGAAGAGCAAAGGTAGCCTGAAATCCACCCATTTATAATGTTTTACTTTCTGCTAAAGGAGGATTCTTCCAGGAATACCATGTGAGATAAAGAGTGGGAAGGAAGTCTTCCCACAGACCATTGAGCAATAATTTTATGGTAACCACTTCATGTCCTATCCTATTTCTGTAATAATTTTTGACAAACTACAGCAAATTCTTTCAGTTTTTGGGCACCAGAGAAATTTGATGCCCCAAATATTGATTTTCTAATGTAATTGCAATTTTATCTGAAGGAATTCCAAACAAATGGAAGTAATAGTCATATGTACATAAATTCAAATATATATCAGTTAAAAGAATAGGTGATTCGTATGTGCATACACACACAAATATTCTTTTTGGATGAACTGAAGTGATTCTAATGGTTTTAGTTTTCTTCTTTGGAAAGATCATCCATTATTGAAGCTTGGAATGCAGCCCTCCAGGGAACAATGTAATCTATAAGTGGCTGAGATTTTCAGTTATATCTAGTAATTTCTCAAATATTCACTTCACTTAGCATTAGTGTTTACTGATAATTTTTATAATATCCAGGTTACTATGTCTGATTTTTTTGATCACTTTAAAAAATATAATGACTGATTACTCACCAATTTGCAGAGCTATTTAATAATCTTTAAATATGCACTTCTAAATGCACTTGGCTGGTTTGAATGTCTTTGTGTGTATGTGTGTGTGTGTGTGAGGTTCTTCCTAAATATCCACAATGCAAGGATGAAGCATTTAAAAGTGGCTTAAATACACAAACTGTTCAATTTAAACCTACATAAATCAAGTTTGGTTCAATTATGTTTATTCCATCTGTTTTTATCATCTGCTGTTACAATAATTTATCATTTCTACATGGTATTAAAATGTAAATGAATCAAGAGAGGAAACACATCTGTGGACTCTTAGTTAATAAAACTACACTCAGAAAGTAAGCTAAGTCATAATAATTAATTAAATTTCACTGCCCATATATGCTTGTAATTATATGTTTAGTGTGCATTTGCATAATCACATAATGGGATCTATATGATTCATGCTCTGCTGAGCATACTCTGGATGCACAAATCACCAATTCAAAACTGGAGCTGCTTATAAAGACATCACAGAGACATTTTTTTTTTTTCAGGAAATGATGTATAGGAAGTAAATAAGAAATATTTAAAAATATTTAAATATTACATATTCTTAATGTTTAGCAGAGTAATGATGGAAAAGACAATTTAAGTAACAGACAAGCCTTGGCTTTTTTTTTTTTTTTTTTTGAAATTTTGCTTTTAAAAGTACACTGCTCTTTCTCTCTTGCCAGAAGTGTATTTAGTAACTTTTGATCAGGGAAAGGTTTACTCTTTTGAAGAAGTGGAGTGAGCAGGTTAGATTAGGTATTGTTTTGGGTCATGTTGTATGTAAAGAGTCTCTCACTCATGAGAATTTTTTACTGAATCACCTTCCAATTATTCTAATCTCACAATTAATTAATTAAAAATGGAGCCTAGATAGTTGTTTTAGGACCATATCCTGGGGAAAAATTATGCATACTGGCCTTAAACACTAAGATATATGCAACTTATGACATTTGCTGAAGGTGCCAGGACAGTTTTTAGGAGTGACACAGCAGACAGCAGAGCTCTAGACAAAAATCTATTCTAGGCACTGTCCACCTCCACTTCCTCAAAACCTAGTCCTCTCCAGCTGCCCTCTGATTAGCTGATCAGAATAACTCTCAGCAAGTTGTGAATGACAGACTTCACTTTCTCAGGCATATTTGCATATTGAAAAAGAAGTTTGTAATTCAAATAACTTTTGAAAATGCCAATTTGTTGAAACCAGTTTCCTACTTGGTGCCCTTTTCTTGTTCATCAGGGCCTCAAGTTCAATTGTAAACTCCCTGCATTTAGCACTGCTTGCCAGGCTTAGCATCATTCGATCATCTTTTCTTTCCCCTCCTGCCTCCCTCATCTCACACCATTTGTCCTTCTGTTATTTAAGAGTTTAATTACCAAGAAACCCCAAGTAACGTAAGTTGAGTGTGGCATTTTTTTAAGGGAAAAATGATGTCAAGGACATGACTGTTTGGGTCTCACAATTATATTCTTACCTGTGCTAATGTCAGGAGAAGGTCAGTTGTCAGTAATGTCAGGAGTAATGTAAGGCGTAGGTCAGTTGCCTGGCTGTTCCAACTACCTGTTAATTGAGGTTGCTAAAATGTGATTAGAATAAATCAGAAGTATGGTACGTCAGTTAACTCAGATATCTAAGGACAATTTGTTTTATAAGTGGACAAAATAAAAATTGTTCCTCCTCCTGCCAAAGAGTTGGTGTTTGTGTATGGAAATAAAAACACAACCCTTGGTATAGACACCACACACTGATTTATCCACTAAGCACTTTCTCAATAGGTTAAACAGATTCAAGTTGCAAGCTGAAGCAATAGGACAGGCTACCAACCCAGACAACAACCAGACAAACAGTTAGTTGAAATTCTAAAACCGAAGAGTTCAAACATTAGTATTTATTAGTAATAAGTGTGTTTGTTTTGGTATTTACATTTTAAACTCTTTTTGGAAAATACACACCTTTCCTCCCTAAAAACCTCAAACATTTAAGAAAAACCCAAAGATAGAACAACATCTACAGAAAAGGTGAAAATACTTTGTTGTTATGGAAATGAAAGAAAAAAATTAAAACATATTTTGAATAGGCCTGATGAAGAAAAAGACCAATAACTCTCACTCAAGGAAATTTCGAGTAAGTTAAAATACTATGATGCATCAGTATATCTAATAATTACTTATTTTGAACATAAAGAAAATACATGATTTTGATTAATATAATAAGTTTCTCACTGTCTGTGTTAAACATTACATCCTTGCTTTCCTCTTGAATCTTCTTGTCAGCAGAAGCAAATTCTTTTATCCTGTATGACTTCTCCCTTTTTTAAACTTTTAATTTTGAAAGAATTTTAAACTTACAAAAATCTGCAAAAATAATACAGAGTTCTGCATACCCTTCACCCAGCTTCCCTCTGAAAAATGCTTCTGACAATGCACAATTGATAGACTCCTGGAATGACTTCATTCAACCTAAAGTTATCTCACACAATAGTGTTTCTGGCAAAGGAAATCATTTCACAGTAGAAGTGAGCCCATAGGCAACAGAATCTATTAGTCATATGTATACCTTATCACCCAGAAAAAGTTGGCCTCATAGGCATGTGGAATGGCCTGCTAAAAACTCAATATTATTCACACATGAGGACAATAAGTTGGTGATGCTGTATTACAGGATACTGTATATGCTTTGAATGGGCAGCAAGTGTATAGTTCTCTTTCCCCCATAGCTAAATCCAAGGGGTAGAGGTAGTAGTAGAAAGTAGTAGGAGCAGTTCCTCTATTATATTTGATGACCTTTCCCTTTCCCACAACTTCTGTCTGTGGTGACTTTTTGCCCTAATTCCCACAAACTTTGTTTTAGATATTTGAAATGTCTTTGTTATCAGAGAAGAATGCTTCCTTTGGGGTTAGATGTAGAGTGGCATAAAGATAGATTATTGGATTGAATTAGAATTCAGATTACCACCTGGCTATTTTGGGCTTATTATTCCACTAAACTGACAGACAGGAGGTTGCTAAACTGGCTGGGAAAACTGATTCCAATTGACAAGGAAAAGTTGGATTGTTCTTGCATCTGAAGACGTCTGGGACCCAGAGGATCCACTTAGTACTTCTATATGGAAGAGCAAATGTCAATGGGAGATTAGAACAATCCAATAAGGGCTGGACTAGTAGAGGCTTAGCCTCTTTAAAGAAGAATGTGTCGATCACTCCACCAGGTAGAGAATCTCTACTGTCAAGGTGCTGGCTACAGATGTGAAATGGATGGTGGGAAAAGAATGTGTTTAAGTGGTAACTGTCACCATAATCAGTTACTAGAAGGTAGAGCAGAAAAGATATGTTATTTGAGGTATATATTATGAATATAAGGTTTGTATATATTGAGAAAGAATAAAAGCAACCCCTGACATCTGGTAACTGGTTTAATGCTCACAGCTGGGCCATGTTATTCTCCTGCTGGACATGAATGAACTCATGAAACATCACCATCAGACAAGGTCACTCTGAGGCCATGTTAAAACGAGACAAAAGCAGGGTAACTGAGTAAGCCACAAAAAACCGAGTATCTCCCTCTTCCAGATAGGATGAGTGACTGCTGCTTTAATTACAGATTTGTCCTCACTCTAGTCTGCTCTCTGTGCAGACAAGATTTACTAAAATACTCAATCTTAGAATTACCCCTGCTTTCTGACAGGATTTCATTTCTGGTGAACTCCTGTTCTGTCATGTCCTATCCAAATCACCCAACTGAAGCCCAGACCCTCTCCTAAAATAGGTTCTTTCTAATACCCTCTTGCTGAGATGCCCAGATAAGTGTTCTCTGTGGTATGTGTGCTCGCCTTCTGCAGCAGTACAAGCCTGACTTGTTCATCTTATTCACCTGGTGGTCTTTCGCTGAAGAATGTTAACAATATTTTTTTTTTTTTTTTTTAGTATTTGATTGTGTATTTATACCACATTTTCTTTATTTTTTTTTTCTTTTTTTTTTTTTTTTATTATACTCTCAGTTTTAGGGTACATGTGCACATTGTGCAGGTTAGTTACATATGTATACATGTGCCATGCTGGTGCGCTGCACCCACTAATGTGTCATCTAGCATTAGGTATATCTCCCAATGCTATCCCTCCCCCCTCCCCCGACCCCACCACAGTCCCCAGAGTGTGATATTCCCCTTCCTGTGTCCATGTGATCTCATTGTTCAATTCCCACCTATGAGTGAGAATATGCGGTGTTTGGTTTTTTGTTCTTGCGATAGTTTACTGAGAATGATGGTTTCCAATTTCATCCATGTCCCTACAAAGGATATGAACTCATCATTTTTTATGGCTGCATAGTATTCCATGGTGTATATGTGCCACAATATTAACCACTCATTTTTCTTTCCTCCATCCCTTCTTCTACTACTACTATTTCACGTAAGGATTGTTATCTTTAATTTGGGTTTTTTTTTTTTTTGTTTTTTTTTTTTAGTAGAGACAGGGTTTCATCACGTTGGCCAGGCTGGTCTCAAACTCCTGACCTCAAGTGATCTGCCCACCTCGGCCTCCCAAAGTGCTGGGATTATAGGTGTGAGCCACCGCGCCCAGCCTACAATTTAGTTTTTAGGTTACAGAATACTCTGGTAGGATTTTGACAGAGCTAGATGAGAAATTAACATTAATGGGGCATCTTCTGTTTGAAGGTGAAGGTGAGGATATCTGGCTTAGTTTGTATGAAGGATGGTTCCATCATGACAGGCAGATACAAGCAGTTTTTGCTCTATGAGACTTAAATATAGTAGATTGTAGAGACTGATGCTGAAGAGCAAACATGATAAGCTGTGTAGACATTTGCCCCTTTGCTCTCAGATCTAGTCCCCCTTTCCTCCCCCTCCCTGTGATTTCCCAGGCTCCCTTCCCACTGGCTTACTATATATTTTGGCCAGTGGGAGGCACTGCCAGAATACTGGCAAGCAGAAGTTGGGGAGAAGCTGATGGTGCTTCCAGTGGTGTTTAGGACAGTGGCTACATCTCTTCTGTGGTTCTAGATTCAGTCATAAAGCCCCTGTCACCATAGTCCCTAATCCCTGGTTCCAGCTCATATGTGAAACCTCCACTCTTTGCCTTTGATAACATCATCTGCTCCATTTGTTCACCTGCCCTAAAAAGGGTAGCAACATCCTGCTGTGTTAATTTTCTGTTTGCTTTAACTTTATATGTATTCAGTTCTTCCAATATGTCTTTAAATAGTTACCCATATTGTTTCCTTTATTGAGATATTTGGATTAAATAATGTTTTCTTCATTTCACCTGAACTGATACACTCAATAAGCCTAAAATTTGCAGATGCATTTAAACACCTTTATGGAAAATAATGAGTCTTGTCACCAGTTATTTTGATAAGATTACATTTTCCAAAAATGAGACAACTTAATTCTAGAAAGCTTAAAATGATTTTTGATAATCAAATCTTATGGAATTACAAACTACAAAACATAGATGCAAAATTGTCATTTCCCTCACATTCTTTCTTTATTGTTCCTAGTTAAGCAGTTTCATTAATGCTTATAAACATTTGGACCATATAGCTGAAAAAATTCTTAACAGTTCTTTCCTAATAGGGATTGTAAAACAGATATGACAAGAGTAGAGGGCTAAAATGAACTACAAATTTAATACTTTTCCTGCCCCAGAAGCTCGTTGAAGGACATGCTTCTCTTCCTTTTGATGCAAATCTGCCCTGACTTTATCAGGAGTTATGCACAAATCCAGCCAGAGAAGAGAATCTTACTTTTTTTATTGTCTTAGTGGATACCTGCCTAGATTTGTTTTACCAAACTTAAATGATACCCCCAAGGTGCTTTCAAGATCAGATTTGAGTAAGGCTCAAACGCTAGAAATATCTGTAGGATACCTCTGGAGTAAGTAAGCATCTTTGCAAACTGCCTTATATCTAAGTAAGGAGAAATAAAATCGAAGGGTAGGAACAAAACAATTAGTAGAAATTGATATCTCTAAACTTTGGGTACAATTTATCAATGGAGTCATGTTGATTCACCATTTTTGTTATTTTTGATTGGTGGCTAAAGTTATAGCAATAGCTGGCACTTGCTTTTATATAATGTTTACAGTGTGAAGAAATAATTCAATTCATAATAGGAGTGTCACTGGTGAACATTCTGCTTGGGTTCAGTAAAACTAAAATCAAAATTCTACTCCCTCTGTGCTAATTAACATGTTGCAGACAGCCTGATGCTCCAGACAAGCCCAGGGAAAGGCTCTCACCCATCTCTAGAGCTCAGGGGAATACTGTTTCCCTCTTGGTTTTTCACTATATATTCAGTAAATGGGCCACTTGTGGCCGGAAAGAATTAATGCACCTCTTTAACTGCTCAAATTACCTTCAGGCAGTGACTTAGAACTGTGAAAAAATCCAGCTCAGGGTCTTTGAAGAGCTTTGAGTAAGTCTGATGAAAAAAGTCACTAAGAAGCAAGTAGAAATATATGCTATTTATTGAAGTGTTGAATATGTTTATTAGATGAGCCATTTGGCCATGGGGAATTTAAAACTTTTCAGCAAGTAAACATTCAAACCAGATTCTTTGTGTGTCCCTGTATCTTCACACGCTCTGAGGACAAACCATTTTATAGACTGTTATTTTCTCTTATTCAGGACAGGTTTCATCCATCCCTTTCCTGTTACTTGTTTAAGAGTCAGAAGAGTAAGTAGAATCATAGAGAGAAGACAGTAATCTCAAGGAATTAGTCTTAAGCATGAAGGCAAGGAGAGTGCTGTTGTACATATAGGCAAAGAGCCAGGACTTAAAACACATCAAACCACAAGTCATGTTGGAATTTGAATAAAAATGAGAAATGTAACTTCATAATATGTTTTGATTCACACCTGTTTTCCCACCTCTGGGCCATTCCTCCTCTTCTCCACAAATCTATAGATTATTGGCATCTGAATATATAGGACAAGTCTTTCCTTTACATTTTCTGACAACAGTCTAACCTGTACAGATCCCCTTTCTTTGCATTCTCATTGTTTCTATTATCTGTATCACTTTGAGGTAAAGTATTAGGTATTCAATCAAATTCAATCAATATTAGTTGCATGAGTAAGTCAGAAACAATCTTTTTTTGCCTTGCATTTTGTTTGAGAATCACATCATTTTTGTGTCATTTATGCTTTTTCTGCTTAAGCCTCATTTCCCTTTCCAGACTATAAACTCATTGAAGGCAAGGATTAGGTTTTATATCACTTGGATACAAGGATTCCTGCCATCTTCAGAGTATATCTATATATAGAGAGAGGTCAAAAAACACATACTAAATGATTATTGATGACCCCATCATTACTATTTTTGGGGGGTGGGGAGACAGGGTCTCACTCTATTGCCCAGGCTGGAGTACAATGTTGCAATCTTAACTCACTGCAGGCTTAACCTCTTGGGCTCAAGTGATCCTCCCACCTCAGCCTCCCAAGTAGCTGAGGCTACAGGTGTGTACTACCACACCAAGCTAGTTTATTTTTATTTTTTGTAGAGACAGGGTCTCACTACATTGTCCAAACTGGTCTTGAACTCCTGGCCTCAAGCAACTCTCCTGCTTCAGCCTCTAAAGTGCTGGGACCACAGGCGTTAGCCACTGTACCTGGCACCATCATTACTTTTTAAATCATGACAAATCAACTCGTGGTTGCCCTGGGACAGTCTAAGATTATGCAATGCTGTTCTTCAGGACTGGTACTCCATCAGAGAGCAAGTGATTCAGCTCCCAGGAGCCTGGGTGATTACCTTGTTAATTTTCCATGAAAAAGGCTCGCTACTTAGCATCGATTTGATGTGTATTTCTTCAGACATAATGTTGCTCCTCTGAGATTGTTAGGTCATAATTTACCATTATATTGTCATTTTGAAGTGTATAATATCTTAGAATTTCCATTTTTGGTAAAAATATTTTGTTTCAATATGATTTTTGTGCCCCATAGAGCAGAGTTTCGAAGTGATTTAAAGCATGCTCACAACCTTTATCTGAGGAGGCATTTTTCTTTTTCTTCTTGCATCTGCCCTTAGAAATTATGAAAGTTCAGAAATGGAAATAGGTTGTGCATTTGCTTAAGCACTGCTGTTAGGTTTGCTTACTACTGCAGGTTTCTGGAAATTTAAATAAATGAAGATGGTTTAATATTTTCAGAAAGAGCTTCTTTGTTAAATGCCTCGGTACTGATAAAGGCCTTTTCATACAGAACAATGGGGCCTGCAGAGATCTCAGGGTTTATATTTTAACTTTGAAAGGAAGAAAAGCAAGAAAATACTTTGAAGTTCCCCTTGAATCTAATCAATCAAGCAGATATTGATGGAGCACCATCTGTGTTCCCCTGTGCTAGGTCTTGGGATAAATATAAATCAGACACAGGCTCCACTTGCAAGAAGTGTAGGTAGTTTGAGGCAGGAGCACAAGAAGGTGGGCATTCCAATACAGGCAACATCATGTGCAAATAACGGGAGATGCCCAGTGGCATTGACATGTAAACAGTATGGTGTGCTTGAGATGCTGTAAGCTGTTCAGAATTGCTGGAGCGTAAAGTGTGAGAAAGGCATAGCAGGAGATAAGATTGGAAAGTTAGTCCATCCATCTATATCATGATGGGCTTTTCCTGTGATGCTAAAAAATTTGGAATTTGTTCTCTAGGGGATTGGAATCCAGTGAAGTATTAGAAGCAGGGAAGAGACATTATCAGATTATCATTTTAGAAATTTCACCTGTGTTGCCATGAGGTTTGAAAAGAAATGTAAATAGAGGCAAGAAACCCTTTAAGGAACTCTATAGAAGTTTATGCAGGAAAGGGAGCACCTACTGCACCTCAGTTTATAGAAAAGTAACAATTATGTATTGTGTTGTGATGACATTATTATCCTTCATAGGAATTCATATTTTCTGTGGAGGAAGATAAATTTATGTTAATGGAAAATTGTCTTTTTCCTTACATATATTTTATCAATTATTATTTCAGTATCATCCATTTAATATAGTGTGGAGCTAACTTGTAGAAACATCTTCAGAAATTCATATAGAATACAAGCTATGATAATAAATTTAATAAAAATGGAAATATTTTAAATTGATTACTGAACATTTCTTCCTGCATGTGTAGCTATAGGAATTTTTAATATACCAGGAATATTTAATTTTCTTAGACTGAAGTCACATTAAAAAAAATAACTTGACCTGTCCTTATTTAGAACCATGGATTATCAGGCATTCAGAACATGTTAAAAAATAATTATCTTCTGTGAATTGAAATATATTTAAAAACTAAATCTGTATATAGCATTTTAGGACTTCAGCAAATTATGAAATCTTTCATCTAGTACCAGGGTTATTACATCCATTTAGGATACTCACAGATAGTTCATAATGTACAATAGTCCAGAGATGATTTTACCTTTCTGGTGTAAGTTAATTAAAATTTGGAAGGAACTCATTTCTCTTTCCTCATACACATTTTTGGTGTATTCAAAAAACATAAGGTAATCCTAGGTAGGATAAGGTAAAGCCTAGGTAATCATTTGGAAATATTTTGTGTTTATTTCAGTGCCTGTTAAGAAATAATGGAATGGAAATTTATTGAGTGGTACTGATTTATCAGGTTACATGGCACACTCAATTCCACCCATGTTAATGATAAAGATATGCTCCAGTACATGCAAAGCAGAGCACAACTGATGGGTTTCTATGACTCTCTATTTTGTTTTATGTCTTTCTATTTTAAAACACATCAGTGACTTAATTGAGCATTGTGGACAGTTTTCAACCCATGATGGTATGAGAAAATAAATGTAGCATCTAATAGCAAATACTTTTACAGGACTGTGTGTCTGGCAAGTGTCAAGTCTTTCCCAATATCAACTCATTTGAATTCACTGGTATGTTGTATTAGTCTGTTCTCACATTGCTATAAAGAACTACTTGGGTCTGGGTAATTTATCAAGTAAAGAGGTTTAATTGGCTCATGGTTCCGTGGGCTCCACAGAAAGCATGGCTGCGGAAGCCTCACGAAACATACAGTCATGGCAGAAGGTGAAGGGGAAGCAAGGCACTTCTTACATGACGGGAGGAGGAAGAGAGATCGGGGGAGGTGCTACACACTTTTAAACAACCAGGTCTCCTGAGAACTCACTCACTATCACAAGAACAGCAAGAGGGAAATCCGCCCTCATGATACCATCACTTCCCACCGGGCCCCTTCTCCAACACAGGGGATTACAATTTGACATGAGATTTGGGCAGGGACACAAATCCAAACCATATCATGTATCATCCCATAAATTATGCTATTACATACAGAGTTCATGTCCCAATAGTTTTCAAAGCCATTATTATCATGAAAGAGAGGCTCAGTAATGTCCCAGGAATAATATTGAAGACTCCTTAATAGTCTACATTACATTTATGACAAGCACTGTTTGCTTCTCAAAGTTATAGGAAAAATTTGGTCATTTCTTTTATAGTTTTAAATAGTTCCTTTGAACTCCACCTTCGTACTGGCCAGGAGGTCCAGCATTTCCATCATGAGCACACTCTCCTTTGTCAAACTATCTAAGGACCTAGGAAATCAATCATGGTGTCACTGTTGATGCTTATTGATATGGTTTGGCTCTGTGTCCCCACCCAAATCTCACCTTGAATTGTTATAATCCCCTCGTGTCAAGGGCAGGACCAGGTGGAGGTTATTGAATCATGGGGTGGTTCCTCCATACTGTTCTCATGATAGTGAGTGAGTTATCATGAGATCTGATGGTTTCATAAGGGGCTTCCCCCTTTGCTTGGCACTCATTCTCTCACCTGCCACCCTGGGAACAGGTGCCTTCCATCATGATTGTAAGTTTCCTGAGGCCTTCCCAGCCATGCAGAACTGTGAGTCAATTAAATCTCATTTCTTTAAAAATAATCCAGTCTTAGGTATTTCTTCATAGCAGTGTGAGAACAGACAAATCATACATTTAGTCTATACAGTCCTATGGACACGTCTCCATTGGAACCTGGGCTCAATTCTGCAGGCAAATGTGCTTCATCTTCCATGGGGGAAACTTGAAATTCACTCCTCCGCTCCAACCTCATCACACTACCAAGTGCTAAGTGCTGCCAAAGCGTCTGTATACTAGGCCTCCCAGGACCCCAGCTCTATAGTTTACCCTTTTTGCCCAGTGATTGTTTCTCATTGTCCTCAATTGCTCTACCAGGCAGGCTGGGCCCTGAGAGTCTTCTAGCACTGGACATACATTCTTCAGAAATCAGTTCTTCCCCTGAACTCAGTATGAAATTATCATCACCAGCTGAAATGGTCTGATTATTTTAGGGTTCTCATAACCATAATCTGCTACCAGACTGTGGTCAGGGTTATCTAATATACTCTAACAATTTTCCCTGGTTTCAAGTTTTAGTGAGTGGGCATTAAGATCTAAATACTCTCTATTCTAAAAGATCCCTGGGTCCCACACATTGACCTTATTTTGCCTTATCAACAATTTCTGAGTACAAGAGCTATGGTAGTAGTATCCTTCAAACATGCCCCAATTCAGAACAGAGGGTGTGTTCCCCTTAAATGTGCATAAATATGTTAACTTCTTAATTGGCCATTCCCAAGATAAAGTATAAAACTTCTCTTATTAAAAACAAACCAAACTGCGTTACATAATGTCACACCAAATAAAACTAAACCGCAGGCAAAAACGAACAAAACCAAACATTCCAAACTATATCAAGCTACCTACTTATATGCAAGGTGATGTGATCTTTTTTGCCTTAAAGATATTCTATGTCTCCCTGAGCTGGATTTGAGCTTCAAAGTCCATTATCCCGATTAGAACAAACAATTCCCTGTGTAAAAGATACTTTGACCCCGTACTACTGAAGAACTAAGATAAAGCCTTCTTTAAAATATTCTTAAACCCTGCAATATTCCCTACTCTCATTCTTCTTTTTATAGAGAAAGATAGTAAAAATGGAGATGAAGAGAGTGCAAGATGTGTGTGTGTGTGTGTGTGTACGTGCACGCATGTGTATGCTTAAATCCTTGGCTCAAGGAATTGAAAAGTCATAAAAATTATAGAACAATTCTAAGAGGTGAAGAGTCAATTTTTCAAGGTAAAAGTGTCTCACAAAATGATTTCCTTTTGTGTTGGCTTGCTAACGGTTTTTATACCTCCCACAGTGCATCATTTGACATATGAAACAAAACCCAGGGGCTAAAATTTTTAGACCCAGCTGTTCAAAGCAATTCCAGATCAAGAATCCTGTTTCTTTCCCCACTCTCTGACTTAAGGACCCATCTTATTATTTCTCAGTATTCTGGGCACCTCTCTCTCTCCTTCTCTCCCAAGCTCATTTTTTAAAACTTATTATTAAATAAAGTGTTTATCATAGTCATCAACTTACACTTCACATCTTACCTAATGCTTTTCTTTCTAGTGTTGGGCAGTTTTGAATGGCAAATTTATATTACAGATATAACATGTATGTTTTGACTAATATAAATTATTTCCTACTATACATTTTCACATACCCACTACAACCTACCCTCCAATGATGTTTCTAAAACATGTCCGAACTGGATATGGAGTCATTAAAATGATTGTGTATGAGAAGAATTCCCTGGCTAGCTGAGAGTTTCCTTTGACAATAAAGGAGGGCAGAAGGGGACACACATACACACAGGTATCAGTCTGCGGAGATGCTGCGAAAGTGCGAGTTTGCAAAATTTCACTCAGCAGCATCTAAGTGTAGGGTGAAAGGTATAGCGCATGATATCTTCCCAGGTGACATCTACCCTCTTAATGTCTTTGCCTGAAATCTCTCCCTAATAAACTTAGACCTTTGAGTGCCTTCATAGTTATTCCTACCACAAAGACTGCATATTTCATCCACAAAGAAATTTACTTTGGAGGAAAATAAGCAAGGATAGAAGAAGCATTTTGATTGACCATCATTAGAAACTGTGTTAGACACTGGGGATCTAGAATTAAACAAGTTCAGGAATTTACATTTATAGTGTGCAGGAGGGAACAGAACTGAAGATGTACTTACCCATTACTTAAGCATAGTTTAAAAATCCACTTATCAAGAGAAAGATGCAGCTATGAGACCACACAACAAGAAACAAGGAGGACTGTGGAAAACTTTCCTGAGGCCTCTGAAGAAGTGATATTTAATCTTAAACCTGGAATGTAAGTTAGGCAGACGACAAGTTGTTAGAGATGAAGGCATAGGGAATAGTTTTCCAAACCTAGGGAATGGTGCTTGGCATTTGGGAAAAGCTAAAACCATCAGGCAGTATACAGTGCAAAAGTAAGAGTGACAAGAAATCAAACAGAAATAGGCAATCAGGCCCAGGTCCAGCACGGCCTGATAGGTCATACTTGAAACGTTGGACTTTATCCTAAATGCAGGAGTATGGAAATGGAGTTTAAGGAGGGTTACACGGTAAGACTTCCTTTATATTTTATTGTATCTTTACCCTGGAGAGTGGATTAGGCAAGAAGAAATGCCAGATGATGGGTTAGGAGACTATTTTAAATTGTGCATGTGAGAAATGATGGTGCCTTACAGTAGGGTGATGAAGTCTAAAAGACTTTCTCATAATATTTCCTAATATCCTCCATTCAGGAGAATTCATGGCACCAAACTTGACATATCAAGTGAGATTTTTAGTTCAGGAAGAAAAAGAAGATGGATGTTATTGCTATTCTTCAAAGAGTAGAGAGACCACAAGTTGAGGAGAGTCTTACCTTGGGATAAGTTATTTAGCAATTTCAACTTTGCTGGAAGGAATAAATACATTGGTACAATCATTCCTGAGATATGTTTTAAATTCTAACTTACATAACTTATTGATGAAGAAGAGTTGATTAGGAATAGACTTCTATCAGATATCGTGTTTATTATTTTTACATAACATGTTATTTATTTTTATTTATTTTTTTTTGAGATAGAGTCTTACTCTATCACCCAGGCTGGAGTGCAGTGGCATGATCTTGGCACAGTGCAACCTCTGTCTCCTGGATTCAAACGATTCTCATGCCTCAGCCTCCCCAGTAGCTGGGATTACAGGCATGTGCCACCACACTTGGCTTTGTGCTTTTAGTAGAGACGGGGTTTCACCATGTTAGCCAGGCTGGTCTCAAACTCCTGACCTCAAGTGATCCACCTGCCTTGGCATCCCAAAGTGCTGGGATTACAGGTGTGAGCCACCACGCCCAGCTAATTTTCACATAACATTTTAATCATTAGTGTATATTAATTATTTAGCTGGGACTCAATAGATGACTTTTGACCAAAACCAAATTATTGCAATTTTGGGGTCTCAGGTATTAGCGTGTAGACATTGTGATGCTGCACCTCAATCAGTCAGTTACTGTGGAAAACTGCTTGCTATGCGAAGTGATAGACGTCTGTGGAGGAAACGAATAGGCAATTTTGAAGATCAGTGCACTTAGTAAAGGATTTGTAAAGATGTTTTGACTTAAAGCTCAGACTTTAGAAAATCTTGAGAAACATAGATACGTTGTCATGATGAGGATTTTTTGAAAAGTACAGTCATGCCCTGCATAATGACATTTTGGTTAATGACAGAACACATATACAATGGTGGTTCCATAAGATTATAATACTGTACTTTACTGTATCTTTTCTATTTAGTTATGTTTAGATACACAAATACTTACCATTGTGTTATAAATGCCTGCAGTATTCAGTACCGTAACATACAGTACCGGTTTGTGGCTTAGAAGGAATAGGTTATACCATCAAGAGTAGGTGTGTAGTAGGCTATACCATCTATGTTTGTGTACACTCTATGATGTTTGCACAATGACAAAATTGCCAAAGGATGTATTTCTCAAAAAGTGTCTCTGTCCTTAAGTGACACCTGAATGTATATGACCCTTAAAGTATAGGAAATTCTAAAAATAAAATCCTGATTGGGCAATCTTCATCCAACCAAATGAGAAAAAAAAGAGGAAAGGATATATCCTTAAAAGTATTTTTTGATGATAAATTTCTAAATTTGGAAACTACAGAAAAGTATAGTGTAGAACAGGTTCACTGTGCTCTGATTACCAACTTGTTCGAGCTGGCTGAGATTGAACATACTCATATGCAACAAGTTACATGAAGCTGGCTTGCTACTTACAGATAGGCTGCAAAGGACAAAAGAAGTCTAGGAGCCATTGGGAGCTGGTGTCCCAGTGCAAAAAACCTGCCCATGGTGGATGAAGTCTTGAGTGCGTGTGCTCCACTTGCAGCACAGCTGAGGGACCCTGAAAGTGAGCCTGCTGTGGATTACCTGCCTCGGGAACCATGTGATTCATTGGGCAAAGTTTTGACAGACATCCTGCATCCAGGAAAGAGAGAAGCAAAGCCCAGGCTATCCTGAGCAGTTCCTTTCCAACTCAGGATGTTGGAAGGGCAGGAACAAGGCTTGAGCTGTTTCAGGCAGCTTCTCCTTATCTGAGGATATTGCGTTCCCAGCACATACTACAGTTATTCTTGAGAGCTACAAGCAAGAAAGGGAGAAAAACTAGGTCAGCCCAAGCCTACCTGAAGAACTGTCCTGCATATATAGTAAGTAAAACACATTATAAATTATCCATCTAATCCAAGGCAGAATATTTTTCAGATTTCTTTTTAGGCCTTTTGTTATAATGTAAATTTGTTATACACATGAGAACATACTAATATTTTGTTTTCTGCCCTTTTTTTTTTTGCCATACCATAAAAAACACATTTCATGATATTATTAGAAAGTTGATAAAATGCCATTTTGGATAGCATAGCATATGAGGCTATCAAATTAATGCATCACTTTTAAATTTTATTATTTTTTATTTTAAAGGACATTATCAAACACATATAGAAATAGAGAAAACAGTATAACAAATTCCCATCAAATACTCATCAACAAATTTCTGCATTTAGGCACATTTAACCAGTCTTGTTTCATTGATCCCAATGATATACATATATTCTTAAGAAGTCAAGTATTTTCTTTTAAATCTCAGATATGTTAAACATCAGACATCATTTTACTTGTAAATACTTCCAAATGTACATCTGATAAAACTTTTTCTTTTGTATAGCTAAAATGCCATTAGCACATCTTAAAAAGTTAATTTCTTAATTCATCCAATACTTAATGTATATTTAAATATCCCCATAGTCTCCATAAACATCTTTTTTTTTTTTTTTTTTTTTTTTTAAATTGAGACAAAGTCTGGCTCTGTCACTAAGGTTGGAGTGCAGTGGTGTGATCTCAGCTCACTGCAACCTCCGCCTCCTGGGTTCAGGTGATCCACCCACCTTGGCCTCCCAAAGTGCTAGGATTATAGGCGTGAGCCACTGCGCCCAGCCTCATAAATATCTTTTTTATAGTTGGCTTTTTTAAATAGAAGCCAAATGCTGCATTTAGTTGCCATAGTTGTTAAACCTCAGTTAGTTTCCAACAAGCTCCCAGCCCCCACTTCTTATGTCATTTACTTGAAAAGGAACCTTGTTGTTTGTCCTGTTTGTCCTCTAGTGTGTCCCACATTCTTAATGTGGCTAATTGATTCTTCACGGTTTGTTATATTTCTTCCCGTCCCCCCTATATTTTCTGTACACATTTAGTTATATCTAGAGCCTGGGTTGGGGTCAGTTTCCATTTCTTTTTGTCAAGAATGTCATAGTTTGTGCTGGTTACTTCTTATATTGCACAAAAAGGCCCATACTGCCTGGTTACCCACATTTAGTAATCTTAAGATAGATCAGATGTTATCAGCTCCATACAAGTCCCCCTCATGCTTTCATCATTTTAACATCTATTGATGAATATTGACTAGATCTATGACTTCATTAGGGGTTGAAAATGCTAATTTCCTAATTTTTATCTCCCTGCTGCATCTATTATCCCCAAAGAACTTTCCCTAATTAACAATTTTGTCACCCCCAAAGATAGATTGTGCAGATGAGTAAGGTCTGATTCTTTCCCTTTATTTGTTACTTTTTATGATGATGAGTTGGTGCCCAAACAATCTCTAATGGTGACCAAAGAGGTGTTTTGCTTTTCTAATTTCATTATAAATGAAAGAGTTTTTATACTAGAGTTTTTTGATTATTCAACTGCCATCTTTGTTTAGTGGGAGTCCCTTTAGCTTGGTTTCTGTGTCCCGTTGACATGATGCCACTTATACTGGATGTTTGTTTTGCTTTCTGACACAAAGAAAAATATTCCTATTCTTTTGTATTTCTTATCTAGAAGTGGAAGCAGCCATTTCTCCTTACTGCCATAGTACCATTTAGGGGAAAATCATATCAAACTTTAAAACTGTATTAGATATTTAGATTACTATAAAGCTTTCAATTATATAAATATTTCAGAAATAGCATCTTTGTGCCTAAATCTTTCTTAATTTTTGATAATTTGTAGGATAGATTTTATGAATTACCGTATCATAGAGCATAATCATTTCTAATGCTGTTGTTTCATATTGTCATCTTTTTAAAAAGGTTACACCAATTTATGCTTTTACCAGGAGTATTTATAAGTAAAGTTGTTTTATTCTCCTGTCAAATTGCTATTATCCTTAACAAATTAAAAAGGAGAAGAAGAAAATGAAACCTTATTTTACTTTGCCTTTCTTATTAGTGAAAGTGGGGACATTTTCCTTTTGAAATGCAAAAGCAAGTTTTTAAGTTAATTTTACTTCTTGGATCATGAAACCTACTTATTATGTATATACGTAAGACTCTGCTATTTATCCATCCATCTACCCACCATTCATCTATCTATGTTACCTGTCTTCATATATCCATCCATCCATCCATCATATATCTCTATCTACCAATGTGTCTATTTCCATGTATTTCCATACTTCAATCCCATTTTCTTACTAGTAAATGTAACCATTTTATTATGTATCATGGATAGCTTCTGACTCAAATGTTTTCTAAAATGTGTATTATTTTATGAACATTTATTATAATTTATGTTAATAATATTGTTATGCATCTCATTCTATTTCCCATTTTTCCCCACTAAATGTTGCTATAAAATCTGTCCATGTTATTTGTATAGCGAATCTTTTGCTCTACTGCAAAATTCTCCATGGTGTGCCATATTTTGGCCATTACTTTTTTCCTGTGATGGATTTCCAGGGTGCCTTCCATTTTCTACCAATCATAAATAAATGTTGTCTACCCATTTCCACATATACCTTTGTAAACATTTATTTGGAATTCTGAGCATGTGTAAGTAATAATTTTACTAAATAGTGCCATAGGATTTCTATCTGTAGGCAGTGCAATAGTCTTTCTATATCACCGTATTCTCATCAACACTTGGTGTTCTAATTTTCCATGCTGAAACATGTATTGTCTCAGTGATTTAATTTGCATTTTTGAAATATCAATGATTTTTAGGATCTTATAATATGCTTGCTAACTTTGTGTGTACATGTGTGCATTTTTAATTGCCTATTCATCTCTGTCATGTGTTTTATCTATTGGGGTTTTTTGAAAGATCATTATTACTTTCCCAATTATTCTCCAGGTCAGTCACAATCAATTTGAGAGTTATTTATCTGTTCTATTTTCTTGCTCTTTGATCTTAACTTTAAAAGCATAGCACCCTATGAGCCTTTTCAATCTGAAGTCTTCTATTGAAATTTAGATGGCTTTTTCTTTAGCTCCCTAGTACATTTTAAGGCTTATTTTAAGATTTAATTTTTCAGATAAATTCAGTTGGCATATGCTATGGTCTAAATTCTCAAGGCTGTGCCATATTTTGGCCATTGTTTTTTTCCTATGATAGATTTTCAGGGTGCCTTCCATTTTCCACCAATCATAAATAAATTGTGTGAAGGATACCCTTGTATGTATTGCCACATAGAACTTTGTAAATATTTATTTCGAATTCTGAGTGTGTCTAAATGTTTATGTCCCTCCCAAATTCATATGTTGAAATCCTCACTCTCAAGGTGATGGCATTGGTAGGTGTGGCCTTTGGTAGGTGATTAGTTCATAGGGGTGAAGCCATCATGAATGAGATTAGTGCCCTTATAAAAGAGGCCTAAAAAAGACGCCTCATCCCTTCCACCTGCTGAGATGAGAGTGGGAAGAAGGCTGTCGATGAGAAAGTCGGACCTCATTGGACACTGAATCTGCTGGTACCTTGATCTTGAACTTTCCAGACTCCAGAACTATGAGAAATAAATTCCTGTTGTTTATAAGCCACCAAATCTATAATATTTTGTTGTAGCAACCTGAATGCACTAAGAAAACATATTTTATCCAGTTATTTTAAGAATTTTCATGGAGATACTTATACATCTTATTATGACCTGTGAACTTATTATCACCTGGCACATGAGCTCGTTTGTTTAGTAATGTGAGATGAGGGCAGGTTGAAGGCCACCTTCCAGTGTTTGCTAATCTATTTTGTTTGTTTGTTTGTTTTGTTTTGTTTTGTTTTTTGAGACAGAGTCTTGCTGTGTCACCAGGCCAGAGTGCAGTGGTGCACCCACGGCTCACTGAAACCTCAGCCTTCCAGGTTCAAGCAATTCCCCTGCTTCAGCCTCCTGAGTAGCTGGGACTACAGGTGCACACCACCACGGCTGGCTAATTTTTGTATTTTTAGTAGAGACAGGGTTTCACCATGTTGGCCAGGATGGCCTCCATCTCTTGACCTCGTGATTCACTGGCCTTGGCCTCCCAAAGTGCTGGGATTATAGGCATGAGCCACTGCACATGGCCTGTTAATCTGTTGAATTTAAGAAGGGTGGAGGAGACAAACACAGTCTTGATTACGCTCATTTCCCTCCAAGGCACTGCATATATCATCTCTGTTCTGCCTCCTGTAAAGGCTTAGAGAGAAACAGCATTAGGACACTGTTTCTCTAGGTTGTAACTCACTAGTCCTGGGTGATTGGATTGCAGGGTGGGTAAATGTGAATGTCTGGGGGCAGCTGTTTCATGGACACTTGTTTATATAGATCACATATCTCAGCAGGGCTTTGGCAGTCTCCTGATAATGCCTTGGAACATCTGCACTGGCAATATGAATGGTTGGCACTGGTTTTTATGGTGAAGGCCTAGGAAATGATTGTCCCACACACAGAGGAGAGGCCAGAGGAGTATTTACAAAGCTTTACTTTAACAGATCCTCTCACTGCTCCTCTAGCTGTTCTCTGTCCCAAGCTTCAGGCAAAGCCCTCCCCTCAACATGTCATTTAAATCAGCTTTAGCATCCCAGTGGAAAATTTGTTTCTGTAATATATTTTCCCTCCCACTTCTATAGTTATTCCAGGTTTAATTTTACAGAGGAAGCCAGAAGCCCCATGTTAAGTTGCCATATGGGCAGGAACCAGAAGTTCCTACTATGTTGAGTAAATATTTTTTTCACAAGCTGATGTCCTGTTTTAAAGACATCTGTTCATTCTTTTGCCCACTTATCCTCTGGGTCTTTGTTTTTTTAAATTAACTTATATGAGCTATTTATCTATTATGAATATCATTACATTTCCTGACATTTTAATGCAAACATTTTAAATGCAAATATTGAATGTTTTTTTTAAATTTTTGCTTGTCTTTTACATATTGCTAATAAAAGAAAATGTATACTTTCAATGTAGATAATTATATATATAGAATTTCCTTTGTGATATCCTTCATTAATTTTAATCTTAGAAAATTCTAGGGATATGAAGTCCATGACAGGAAATATTTAAATCATTTAACTATATAGGATATACATGTGTAGTGAGCATCCTGATAAAAAAAGTAAACATCCTATTCAACAAATATAAAAGGCATAACCATCAATGACTGGTAATAGGGAGATAATTCCTAAGACTTAAGGCTTATAAAAATTGCTTAAAAATTTTAAAAGAAGTCTTTAAAGGAGTTTTTTGGAACAAGAAAAACCCAGGATTCAGGAGTGAGGATCTAAGAGTCTGTGTCTTAACTGCATTTGAAACTTTCTAATGAATAAGCTTACACATTATTTAGCATCTTTTGGTCTCAGTTTAAAAGAAAGTCTGTTAAATGATGATGATAACAGTTGAAAGCACATTGTTGTAACATTTTAAATTGAATAATAACTTTATGTATTAATAGTAGCAATAATAGTAACAAAAAAGGGAATGACTAACTGCTTAAAGAAGGTAAGACTTAGTGAGATTGCTGAATTATTTTGTGTTCATATTCTACAGAAATACATAATAACTAGAAAGAATGAAAAAAAATACTCCCAAAATGATTTGGCTTCACTAATGTGAGAAAACAATAGAAGAATACATAGGTGCTTTCAATGGTGCTTTGTTTTTCATTGCAACATCCAGAACTGATGAAATTCATATACATGATATTCCCATGAGTACCCATGACATTGATTAAACTCTTGACTAGTTAAGAAAATAAGTCAAAATTAAACTTACTGTGCTGGTTAAAATATAAGTTCAACTAAACGTAAAAGAAACTCAAAAACAGTGGTTAAACTGAGAGAAGTTCATTTTCTCAAACATGTAAAAATGTGTAAGGAGGTGTCTGTCTTACAGCTAATATGATTTCTCTGCACCAGTCAATCTTTCAGAGAGCCATATGCCTTCCATCTTCATGATCTGCTAGGATGCTGCCATTATCTGCACAGCCCAATATGGTTTACAACCATGATTATGTTTCAAGTGGTGGATGGAAAAAGAACAAGCATCTTCCTTTAAGGATGTAATCTAGAAATTACACAGTCTACTTCTTATATCTCCACGGCAGACCTTTGTCAAAGGTCTACTATTGCTGTAAACAATAAGGAGGAATTTTGTCTTTATTCTGCACAGTCAAATGCTGAGGTAAACAGTAGATTCTTAATACTCTGAGAGTGAAGCAAAGGATGGACATCGAGGGAACTATTATCGACTTCTGTACATTAGTTCTTTGGGTGTTGGACTGCCTTCCTATTCAAATCCAAATTTATATCTTTTTCTTTATCGAACTGTCATGTTGCCCAAACCCTAACAATTACAGATTGATAAACTGAACATGAATTTTTGGCACATTTTAAATAAGCTGTTCATAAATATTTAGAAAAATACATCTTTGAGTGACATTTGGTCAAACATTATTCTGGGTGAGTCTGTGAGCATGTTTCTTGATGAGAGTAACATTTGAATTGGTAGACTGAGTAAAGCAGATTGCCCCCTGCATTGTGGGAGGAACTCATTCAATCCACTGAAGGCCTGAGTAGAACAAAAAGGCTGACCTTCCTGAAAGTCAGAGAAAATTTCCTCCTGCCTGACTGCCTTGAGCTGGTACATTAGATTTCTCCTGTCTTTGGATTCAAATGGAAACATGAGCAATTCCTAGGTGTCAAGCTTGCGGGCCTTCAGACTGGAGCTGTACCATCTGCTCTCCTGGTTCTCGGGGTGTTGAACCTGGACTGGAACTACATTATTCGCTCTTATGGGTCTCCAGCTTGATTATTACAGATCTTGAGACTTGTCAGCTTCCACAATCATGCGAGCCAATTCCTTATAATAAATCTCTTTCTACATATATATCTTACTGGTTATGTTTCTCTAGACAACTTTGATTAATACACATGTTAATGATTTTTAAACAGCTATTTTAGCAAATGAAGACAAACTCTTTGCTGGCATTACAGGCCTATTCTTATAAACTGGTTTTGCTTCTTGGAATGAATATTGCTCCATTTTGAAAGAAGAGGATTTTAAAGAAATGTATTGCTTATTGAGTTTCACTATGTAACACACATTTCTCATTCTTTTAGACTATTTCTGAACATAAATACAACAAACACAAAGGATCAGATTTTCATAATTAACAAGTCTTTGGTATAACATTAGAGATCAAATATTTTGTGGTCCCTTAATCTTCTGTCATTTTTCCACATTTTGCTTAATTGCCATTCACTTTTACTGCTTTTAGGCTATTCTTGGCTGATTCAGCCTCATCTCAGGAAGAAACCTCTCACCTGGAATCTGGCCAGGCACACAGCTTGGGCTGCAAAGTCTCTTTCATCTTTCCAGGAAGCTGCCAAGTAACATGTCTTAATTTGCATTTCTGGAAAACATTAGTAGAAATGTGTGCCTTTGCTCTCATGTAGAAGATGTTGAGAGGGGCATATAATATACTTCAATGCTAAAATTGTAGGGAAAAATATGCCAACATTTTATTTGGCTTCAGTTTTTTGGTGGAAATTCTTCCAGGTTTTAAATTCTGTAGTGGTTACTTGATGCCTAGTTGATAATGGAACATTTTTCTATAAACAAACAGGTGTCCTGTTATTAAAATATAACAATGTAAAACAAACTTCTTGTTTAATGAGAAGTTAGCTAATTTTGTCTTCCACGATCCTAAAATGGAGGCTTTACATTTCTATCTTTTATGTCTTAAACATCTGAAAAATAAGCATAAATAATGAGAATATTATTATTAGTGTTTAATGAAAAAATCATGTAAAAGTCTCCTAAAGATATGGGTAGGTGTACGCCAGCAAAGAAAACAAAGATTTGAATGTATTTTCCAGATATTTAAAGCAAAATGTGCATTTTAATTCAAGTATTACCTTTAGGTCTTTCTAGCTCTTACATGCTATTTGTCCCCCTTTTGAATTTTAGAATTAGTTTATATCTATATTTTGTTTTGCTAGTATAGACATGAATACAGGGAAATTTTATTATGAAATGGAGAATATCACTTATAATATCATGACATGTTATTACCATAGTCCTTACAACGCACAGGAGTTTTTGCAGGTAACTTTGTACACTTATTTAGAAAAGTACTTGACTTGAAAAATAGGACAGTATTTATTGCCAGTAAAGAAACTAAAAGATGGAATTAAGACCAATAATTGAAAACCTAAATACAAAGGTAAAAGGCTTCAAAGCTAGGCTATGCTTAGCTACGAAGTTAGATAAATTACAGGCTAGTCCTTATAATTCAGATGTAAAAGGCAAAGATATTTGAGACTATACAGCATTAAAAATTAAAATTCTTAAAATTAAATTGTGATAATAAGAGAAATTCAGAGGAAATTATTGTCAATGGGATATGAATTGTCTATCTTTTCAGAATACAAACATTTTTCTTGATATATTATCCATATATATTTTTTAAAATAAGATTATTTTTAACACCTTAAACAGGACAAGTTTCCTATACATCCCTTCAGTAAACTTCATGTTCTGAAAGGCAGTGAGCATGATATCCAATTTCTTTTTGAAATGTGGTATGACTTTGGAAAGTTATTTAACTACTCTGTGGCTCAGGCTCTTACTTTTAGAATGGGGATAATAAGAGTACCTATGTAATAGGGTTGTATGGATTAAAAATTAATACAAGTAGAAGACCTATAACAAGTTAATGCTCTCTACATATTACTTATTATAATTTTATTACTAGACACTTAAAAGTAGCCTTTAGTACTTCTGAAAACATGTACGCTGTATACTGAAGAAAATTATTTAGCTAGAAAGTAAATGCTATCTCAGGTGGAGAAAATTGGGAAGTAAAGCAATCAATGATATTGTAAGCTCAGATCCAGGCTTCAGATAGTGCAATATCTGGTACTTTATTGATTGCAATGATTCAGTAAATATGAAGAAAGGAAGATATGTATATGTATTGAGAGAGAGGACTGCAGAATCTGGAGTAAATATCCTCTTGGGCTAAGCAGTTCTAGAAAAGTTCTTCACATTGGCTTATATTTTAGGTCAAAATAGAGTTATCATTCCGATTGTCAATGTAGCCATGATTATTTTTCCTCTTTGATGCCAATCAACTAAATTTCCCTTCATTTGGAGATTATATCAGGAGATTGATATTGTTAATAAATTAAGTCTGATGGTGTCTTAGGTTCAGAATGATCTTTCCACTAATAAGCACATCACTGTCAAATTTCTTCTCACTAGTGCATATGGAAGACATGATTACACTACAGCATTGTTATTTCTATGTCACTTTGCTGGTCTTATGCATTTAATCAGCTATTTTGTTTATTACACAATTAGCAATCAGCTGCAGTGTTGCAAAGATTTTAATGATATTGTTCAACAATACGAAACACACCAAGAAGTGTGTGTTTTTTTTTAATTCTTTTCAGTACATAACAACAAACACTCAGCCTTTAAGACACAGAGCAGGGTCTCCTTTGGGAAGCTTCCTTCAGTGCCTTCCACTGTTCCCTTATACCACTTGTGGTTCCCTTTATTGTGGCACATATTGTGTTGCAATCATAATTTTAGTTTTCTGTATCCCCAACTAGATTTTAAGCAGGCCAAAATCTATTTGGTTTTTGCCTGAACATTCAGTATCTGGTATGTAAGTAGGGAATCATAAATATTTTCTGAATGAATAAATTATTGGGAAATATCTATAAATTCCCACATCTCTAAGTCCATTAGATTTAATTCTGGGAATTTGCAAGGCAGACAAAGAGGATGAAATGTTTCTGGAAAAATACATCACATTGGACAAAGGGAAAAGAGGGTGAAAATAAAGTGTATTTTAGGGACTATAAAGGTTTTAATAAGGACATGGCTCCATGTGCCTCACTACTCACTAGAGAACTGCCGATCATTCTTAAACACACTGCTCACATATTATATTTTTGAAGAAGACTTCTCAGAACTTTTCTTCTTTCTTTTACCCAAGGTAGAATTTTTACTACTCTTTATTGTCATTACTTTACATTGTACACATTTATTTATGTCACATTAAATATCTTATTTATTTGACCACCTTCCCTACTTAAAACTAATGGCAGAATAGGGAAGAGAGATTGGACTTAGCAGTCTGACAGATCTTGGTTTAAATACTGACTTTGCTACTTGTAACTGGGTAATTGACAATAAACAGTCATTTAATTTTCTTTAAAGCCTTAATTTCTTTATCAGTAAAATGGGGAAAATAGTACCAACTTCACAGGAGTTTTAGGATCACTTATATTAGGTACATAACAAGTGCACAATAAATTATATTTCCTTTCTCTTTCATCTTCTCTGAAGACAGGAATTACGTTTTTTTAATTTATTCATAGCAACTAGTACATTCTCTGGCACCTAGAAATGTTTTATAGATGCTTATTGAATGAACAAAGCATAAGTTCATTTAAATGTCTGATATAGATATGTGTGTGAGTGTATATATATGTGTGTGTGCATATATATATATATATATACAAGTAAATATTCAGGAAGAATTTATTTGGAAACAAGAACTATCTACATTTCTAAATTGAGTGTACCAGGAACCCTACTGTAGTAATTCCTGTATAGTCTAGTCTGCTTTGCCATTCTTGGTAGGGTATCAAGCTATCCTGAATTCAGATATGGAAGACGACAGGAAAGAACATTCCAAGCATTCTACTTGCTGAGGTTGCTCCTATTGGAATATCTGGGGAAATAACCACACACAACTTAACACAACCTTCTAAGTAAGTACACATCATTTATCAGCTTACCAAAGTTTCTAAGTCTTCCTTTCCCTGAGGAGGCGCACAGACACTTAAATAAATTGAATTGGTGTTGTTTGTAACTGGTCTGTTATAAATCATTGAGTGAGTGCATATTATTATCTAGGTTGCTTTAACATGCTGTCCTCTTTACATTCCTGAGCATAATTGCCGATTAAAGATTGATTCCAGGGAGCCTCAGTTTTGCCTTATGACAGCATGTACACATGAGTACCTTATGTCATTTCTATAAATATTAAGCATCCAGCAAGCCTGGAGAATGTGCAAGGCAAGGTCCACAGACGACTTAGTCCCTTTCTACATTTCTTTTTGCTCTGTATATTTGGAGTTCCTTGGACTTGCTTTTTCTCCCTTTCTCTTCCTTTTGCTTCTCTTCCCCTCTTCTCTTCCACTCCTCTCCTCCACTTTTTTATTGGTTCAATAGCTGGGTCAATGAGACAAACTGCAAAACTGCATGCCTACATCAAGAATGTGATGAGGCAGATAAACTTTTTACCCTGGCAATCCCATTTTGGTCGATTACTACCTGTCAGTAAAGGTGGTTTCTCCTACTATTCATTTAGAGAGTTCGATTACTTTGAAAAGCTTCAGTGCATTAGTGAAAGAAAGTGGAGAAATAAGATAATGTGGTTATGAGAGGACCATTCTACTAAATAATTTATCTATTTTGCTAATTGAACTCTCAATATTTAATTATTATTTGGGGGATATATAACTTGATTGAATTTTCTAACTGTAAAGTTAAATTAACAGGAGTGGGATTTATTGCATAAAACTGCTGAGTTAATTCCAAGCTGAATTTTGTCTTTTGTCATTTGATGTTATTCTTAACTTTCTTCAATTTAAATGTAGAATAATTTTATATACAGAGAAAATAGATAAAATTTAGACCTTTATACTTTTTTAGAAAGATTCTTGGTTTGTATTCAATATTTTTAAATCTACCATCCAATAATATGATCTTTACATTTACTTTTTTACATTTGTTGTGTGCCAAATTGGCTCTGACACTAATAAGCAGCCAAGAGTTACATATCCTGTGATTTTGCCTCATCCTTTAGGACATCTCAGTAATTTTTAAGATGTTCTTCAGTATATGATATTTAAGGGAATCAAAATATAATTCAAAACACACTGTGTATTAAAATCTTAATTTCCATTAAATAATGGAAGAATCTAAATGTTGGATTGAAGATTGTTTTTCCCAGTGTACAGTAGAAGGAAACTTCATACTGATTTAATGCCTGGTGTTTCATAAATACAAAGCACATATGTAAAATTCACATAAGCAAATTTATTTGTTAAAATAATTTCTCTAGATTTGCAACCAAGCTATTGTGTATCAAGAAAAAATCAAGTACTTAAACATGTTCATGTGTTTCGGGGATGAGGTATTTTTCTGGGCACCTTGCCCTTCCCATTTTGGAAGGCAGGCTTCACTTCAGCTGAGCTTGTCGAAGCTGATGGCCTGGCACTCTGCTTCTGGCACTGAACTTGAATCAGCATTTTAAGAGAAACATGAAAAAATCAACATTCTGTGTTTACACTTTGCCAATTGTTGTACATTAGTAAAGAATCCCTTTTCAATGTTTTATAGTTCAGCAATGCCTACATTGGCATTTAGTTTTCACTTCTCAACAAAGTATAAGTGAAATGCCAATGTCTATACTATGAACTTAGGAATTCATCTAAATATCTTTAATATAGTTCTGAATGTGCTAATGCCATTTTGCTTTTTCCAAGTAAATGCCAGCTTAAATTAAAACATTGTAAAAATGAATATTTCTTTATAATATAGAGAAATTATATTTCATCTCTTTATATATTTTCTTATAAACAATGACTACATGGAAACAAATTATTTACCAATATTCAATGTTATTTTTAAGAAGTGGCATTCTTCCATCCTAATTTAAAGTAATGTATATATATGCACAATGAATGAAAAGGATGACTTATTCTCCCTGTAAAAACTGAGCTGTGCCCCCAACCCCTCCAAGTTCCGATGCTGAAGTTCTACTTCCTAAAATGTGACTGTATTTAGAAATAGGATTTCTAAAGAGGTAATTTAGGTTAAATGAGGTTAAATAGGTTATAGGCCTTAATTTAATATGACTGGTGCTCTTATAAGAGGAGGAAGAGCTACCAGGTATGCTTGCACAGAGGAAAGGTCACATTTGCTGTGAGGACAGCAAGGTGGTCATCTGGAAGTTTTCCAAGGCCTCAAAAGAAACAAAACCTGCTGATACCTTGGTTTTTGACTTCTATCTTTCAGAACTGTAATAATAATAATAATAATACTAAGTTTCTATTGTTCAAACCACCCAGTCTTTGGTATTCTTTTATGGAAGTTCTAGCGAAAAATGCCCTCCCTTTTATTTCTTTAACGAAATTTGATGATACTCATTCTCCTTAAAAGATAAGGGTGAGAGGGCCGGGCGTGGTGGCCCACGCCTGTAATCCCAGCACTTTGGGAGGCCGAGGCGGGCAGATCGCGAGGTCAGGAGATCAAGACCATCCTGGCTAACACAGTGAAACACCGTCTCTACTAAAAATACAAAAAAAATTAGCTGGGCATGGTGGCGGGCGCCTGTGGTCCCAGCTACTCGGGAGGCTGAGGCAGGAGAATGGCGTGAACTCGGGAGGCGGAGCTTGCAGTGAGCCGAGATCGTGCCACTGTACTCCAGCATGGGCAACAGAGCGAGACTCCATCTCAAAAAGAAAAAAGATAAGAGGGAGAGAGAGAGAAAAGAAGGCGGGGGGGAAGAGAAGGAAAGAAAGAAGGAGGAGAAAGAGGAGGAGAAGGAGAAGGGAAGGAAGAAAAAGAAAGAGGAAGTTAAGAGAAGAAAACATGATCAGATGATGCCTAGACGCAATGTAGAAGATATGACACGACCTTTTTCTAAGGTCACATATGTGGGCAAAAGAGAGGTAAAATTTGAGCCCAAGTCTGTCAGAGATCATAGCTCATACTTTTAAACTTTATATACTATATTTGATGGAGTCAAAGCCCTCAGAAAAGTGAAATTGTAGTTTTCATGTTTTCCAGCTCAAGCTGGTGTTTTCAAATCTGTGATAGTTAGAAGAGTTCAACCCAGTAAACATTTCCTCAGGATCTCACTGTGAATGTGAAAGACACTTTTGCTCAAAGTAGAATCTAGTAGTAGTAGAACTAAAGACAACTGCAGTAATACAAGAATGATGAAGGTAGAGAGGAAGGAATGACACAAATTCTGTTGGTGGTGGTTGTGGTGGTGTTGGTGAAGACAAGAGAATGATTCACCATTTTAGTTTTGCTCTTAAATATTTTTATGTTTTATTATATTTTTTTAAAAATTATTAGCCTCTATGTCCCCTATGCTTGATATCATATTTATGTGCAGAAACAATACTGATTAATTCAGGATTAAAATTAAAATACATTTCAGCTATGCATTAATATCATTATTGTTTTCACTGGTTGCTTTGTTGAATCACTTTATTCCTAGATATGTTAGGCCTTCTCTGAACTTATTCAGTAACTTGGGTACCATTTTTTAAGAAAGGATGTTAATGCTGATATTAAAAATTACATCATAATTTTTTTTTTGTCTACAGATATAATCGACTTTTAGCAAATTCAAAAAACCTCATGGGATTCTCCACTACTCTCAAGTTACCAGACTCTTCTTCTTCCTTTTATCACCAGGGTATCCAACACCATGGCCTATCCATTTCTTCTTAATGGTTTCTAATCTGATTTATTCCCCCATAGCTGTCCTGTACCAGCCGTATCAGAGATTACCAGTGACTCCCAGCTACCCATGACACCACCCTTTCTCATTCTCCTCTTCTTTGATTGGTCTTTGCTCATTACGAGACCTGCTCTTCTCCTGCGTTCCATGACACTACACTTGCTTGGTTCCCCTCATTGTTCTCTGAAAGGCTCTTAGACTCTATAATGAACTCCTTGTGTATTGGCTTCTTATTGATAAGTCCTTTTCAGGTCTTTTTCCTTAAGGCTTTCAGTCATGCCCGTGAGTTGGACTCTCGCCTCTGTAAGGTTCTCTTCCAATGTTTATCTCTGTCATCTATTCTAAATTAAAAATCTCTCTCTCAAATGTTACACTTTTATTTCTTGATTTCTCCTTTACTCCCTTGATATCACATCAGTATCTAAAACCTAACATACGTCAAATACTCCTTTGAGGTCATCCTATTTTCACTTAAAAAACTGCCATTTTCCCAATTTGAACCTGTTGACATTGCTTTGAATCTTCAAAGTACCTATTTCTACCGGTAGACTTCACTTCATGAGGTTTCTGACATCCATCGGTTAGGAAATTAGACTTTGACCAGAAGGCTAGGGTTTGAATCCTGGCTCCTACAATGAAATTCTGTGGTCTTAGTTATCACTTTCTCTTTCTAAGGTTATATTTTCTCTTCTGTAAGTGGGACAATAATAGCATCTACCCGTAGGGTTGTTGTGATGACTAAATACATCAACATATGTAAAGTATTTAAAATAGTGCCTATTATAGTAATCACCATATATATTAGTTTATACATCATCATCATCTATAATCTTTTCATTTCCATGGAAAATCTGTTTCTCATTATGTCCTATTTGGCCTTTGATAGATCTCTTCTAACAGGTTTCTCTCATTCTCAATCTCTTGATCTCTTCCTATGCTACTTAATTCTATAACACATTTCAAAATTAACATTCCAGAAACAGAATCCAAATAATTACAGCCCATACTGGCAAATATTCAGTCATTCAACTATTAATCATTTGTGTGGCATCACAAAAGTCACTAAATTTCTCTTGTTTTAGTTTCCAAATCTCTACCATGAGAAGTAGGACTGAATGCTCCTAGCAAAAAGATTAGTTCTGTACTTTTGATTCCTCATTGCCTATATAGTGCATACATATCCCTAAGCATGACATTCAAAGATCTTCCTGCTTTGCTTACAAACTGCATTTCCAGCATTAATTTCCCCCTCCTCCTCCTCCTTCTTCTTCCACTTCCTGTCCTCCTCCCCATCCTCCTTGTTCTTCTTCTTTTTTTCCTTCTCCCTCCTCCCTCTTTCCTCCTCCTTCTCCTCCTCTTCCTCCTCCTCTTCCTTCTTCTCCTCCTTCTCCTTCCTCCTCACCATCAGACCATCTGTAATGAAATACAGTATTAGCTCCATGAATATAATTATGACATTCTCTCTGCCTGGAATTTCCTTCTTCATTTACTAAACAAAATTCTGTCATTTCTCTATGCTCAGTTCAATGCCAATGCTTTCATAAATCTACCCCACAAATCTCCACAAAAATACATTTGCTTTCTCCTCTGTAATCCATAATGAATAGTGTGTATTACATAATTTTTTATCTGTTTCTCCTCCCTTAAATGTAATTTCCTTGTGATTAGGGACCCTAATTTTTATTCATTACTGCATTCTCTTCTCCCAAACCCAGTATATGTGCTATGCTTTGCACATAGTCCCTGCTTCATTGATATTTATCAAATAAATATATGAGGAATCTAGTGTCTATAGGCTCAGCAGATACTTATTAAAAATGATCCTAAAATGTAATAGGAACCTTCACTGTAAGGTAGCCATGGGAAGCTCCAAGTTTTTGCATAATCCCATTACAGGTCCTAGCCCAGAGAGAATCTTTTCACAATGGCAGTGATTTGTGAGCCTACTTTGATTCAGCTGTATCAGAGGACTCCATGTCCTCCTGCACTCAACTGTTGGGCTAGAGTCTTTTCTTTTCACTTAGGAGAACAAATGTTGTCTCAAATAACACACATGGGAAAGGATTAAAATGTGAGCTCCTTATTCACTTTGGTATTTCTAGAGCCTAGCGAATGGTGGGTTCTCAATACGAGTTTGGGACGGAGTTACGACAGCATGCATATTTGGGTGAGGCTCCTGAAAGGCCCATCTGAAGCTTGCATCTTATGGCTGAACTCACCTATGCTGAGGAATGGCACGTGGAGGCAGGAGAACTAGGGTCAGTCAGAAGACAAACTACATTGTCTTTCCAAATAAATAATACCGAGCTGAGTAAACTCTTTTTTGATTATTTAGAGGTTTCTTAAAATATAGAAATACAAGTGTTAGGAATTTTTTTTTCTGGTCACTTGATTTCCAAGGACTTTTAAAGATAACATGGTAAAGCCCCGTCTCTACTGAAAAATACAAAAATTAGCTGGGCGTGGTGACGCTCACCTATAGTCCCAGCTACTCAGGATGCTGAGGCAGGAGAATCGCCTGAACCCAGGAGGTGGAGGTTGCAGTGAGCTGAGATCACACCACTGTACTCTAGCCTGGCGACAGAGCGAGACTCAGTCTCAAAAAAAAAAAAAAAAAAAAAAAAAGATATTGGGGTTAAAATAGTGCTGTCCTTTGATTTAACCTCCTTGCATTATTTAGAGGACGCTGGTGTTATTTGTAACCTAATGCCATCTGTCCTGTGAAAGTTAATTGCTCTTCCCTATTCTAATGCAAAATCTCCATACACAGAGACAGGGTCACTATATTATCTAGGATTAAAATTCCACATCTTAGTACAAATTCTTTGATTTACTGACCACATAGTACTAGTTCACAGGGTAACTTCCAATTCTCTATTTGGTGGAGAAAGAACCATAGTAAAAAGGACTGAAATAATTTGGCCAGGCTTGTACAGCAAACTAAGAACAAAGGCAGGAATCAATGCTGAACAATGATGCAGCTTCTACAAATTTATATTTCCTCTGTCACCCTTGAACATCTCTTTAGGCAGTAACTGTACCCCTGCTATTTTAACTGGCAAAAATAAAATAATGCTGAAGTATTGGCCTTTGAGGTTATTATCTCAGTCACTTTCAAAATTCTACTGTTTTAGTTTACTACATTTAAATTATTATAAAATAATGAAATAACCCTTCGGTCAGGTTTAGTTACTGTATGCATTTAGAGACATGGGCTTCCTAATTAAATTTAGGAAATAAAATTGGTATATAAACATGAGCTGTCCTCAAAGCCAAAAGCATTAACATGAGGGGAAGTTCAAAGTTCAGCTGGTTTCTGAAGTTCTTTGGTTTAATTCATTATGTAAGCAATGCTTCTCACTACTTTGTATGTGCTATTTTGAGTTATACAACCAGGAGAAATAAATGCTCACTAAAACATTTTTTTTCTGAAATACTTCAATGCTATTCTTCCTAAAATAAAGAACCTTTCTACCAAACATCTCTCAGACCTATAAATCTACATGACTATAAAGGTTTATTAAATATGTCTTTACATGTAACTTCTTTAAAGAAATAGATATTTAGATACTCTAGGTAGCATTAGAAATAGTATTTAGATACTCTATATAGTTGATCATAGAAAGTGCTTTGGCTGTGTCCATACTTTATAACAAAAGCTGTGCTTCAAGCTAGAGCTTCAAGAGTTTTAGGCTACAACCTTGATCTTTTAGTAAGTGGCTTGAGACCTGGAATTGTTCCAAAGAATCTGGGTTACATTTTTGCATCTGCACAAAAAGCCACGTGCACAAAACTAATTTGTCAGTTTAATATATAGACCGACAATGCTATCTTAAAGATTGCCCTGTAAACAGCTCCAAATCAGTAAATTTGTGAGTGAGTTCAGCAGAGAAACACACCTATTATTAGAAATATATGACAAAAGAACCATGGTAAAGTCCAGATGGCAGCACCCATAAATCTTACAATGTCATCAAAGCCATGTTACTCAAATAAAATGAATGGGTGTTTACTCCAATTAGCCTAACATCCATTCAGTGTATCAATGCTGCTGCTGAAAGTGTGTAGGGCATGCTAAGTATTAAGTATCCTGGGTGTCTGGTAAGTTTGTCTGATCAAGTCTCATTATATTCTATAGCCTCTTATTTCCTGCATTAATGATTCCTTGTTTTAACACTTTTGGCCAGTCACCTCATAACAATGCAATTTTTAATTTTTTCATGGCTACATTGTCATTCTCATTACTTTAGTTAAATGGTTTCCTCCCTCCTTTCCCATGTATCTGGCTATTTCCTTCCCATATATAAAAAATAGCACTGAAAGATTACTTCCTCCAGGACACCAGCCTGCAAGTCACCTTGTAAACTCAGAGCTCAAATAGCATGAAATTCTCCAAGAGATTTCAGCTGTGTGGAATCTTTTCAGAAGTGAATTCATTTACCAACTATGCATTAAACATATAAAATATGCTGCAGCTATGCTCATTTCTATGGGGAAAATAAATATTCAAAGATCTCTACTTTTTAAACTTTGCCATAATGAGTTGTGATAAATATCAGAAAAGTAGGTAAGAAATGTGTATATAGCGAAGACAGTAAAAAGGGGGAATATTAATGTGATATTTTCATTAAGAGCTTACTCTCAAAGGCCTAAATATGGCTTACAAGAACTAGAATTATCAGGAGTAGGCATAAAATAAACTCTTCTTCCATTAAATAAATACTGAATTTAGTGTTCACAAAGGAATGAGGGACGTAAAAAAATTTATTGTGTATCTCAGAATTTATAATGAACTTCACTCACACCAATAATGTAATAAAATGGTTGAATTGGTTTCATTAATTGAAGGAATTAATGAAAACAACAAAACCAGATAAAGAAATATTATGACTAGAAAAATGGGATGAACATAACTTTTCTTTAAGCTTTCAAATATGTAAATGCTCATCTAAGTCACAAGATAGTTGCTTCCAGCCTCTAATGTTCAAAAGAAACGGAAACAACCGGAAGATGAAACTGGTTATCAGTAAATTAAACAAAATCAAGCACTCTGTTTGGAAAAGGGCAATTGAGGTGAGGTGGGCTTTAAGTACATTCCAAGCATTTTTATGTGTTTTTATTTCATCTAACTTACCTCTACAAATTTGATAAAGATAAGAAATATAAAATAATAACATTTTATTTTCTTCCCTAAACTCAGGAGCATTAAAAACTTTCCAACAGAAAGGTTTGCATACTCATTAGTGTGCTATTTACATTATTAGGGGTTATACTACATTATGGGCAGTGGCTTCATTGCATGTTCAGTAATTTTGCTAACAAGCATATTAAAGTGAAAAGGAGCCAGAGAGGTTACTCAGAGTTGTTAAGCATTTCATAAAGGTAATTTACTATCTTTACTTAATTTTCACACCTGTCCAATTTATCTGTAGAAACATTAGAAGAGAAACCCGACTGATCAGAACACCACCATCATCTGGTGAGGTTTTTGAACAAGATGGTATCACACTGGAGAAACTTCCTTTTTGTTATGTTTGAACCCTGGCTTTGCCAGTTTCTGTTTAGCTAACCGAAACATTTTTTCGTTAAAGCAATCACACTGAGTCCATGTTTAACCCTAAAATGATAGCCACACATGATTCTTTCAGATAATAGTGGCTTGAACTTGCCCACATTTGCCTATTTTCAACTTGAAAATGGCAAGTACATATGGTTCAACCTGTTAGCAGTGAACATATATTGAGTACTTACTGCTGCCAGATTCTTCACTATGCATGTTACTTGTGTCAGTTATCTTTTTTGTAACATCCTTCTAAGGTGAGAACTATTACTATTCCCCATTTCGTAGATTAGAAAACTGAGGCACAGAGAAGGTAAGCAACTTGTCCAATGTTCATTTCATAGGGATTACAAGAGAAGGGCATGAAATTTATCTTTATTGTGTTCGTGAAGAAAAAATTAGAACACTTAACGACTGGAGAGACTGTTTATACGATTTTAGAAAAGTCAGTCTTGTTTTTGTATTCTAACAATTGGTAGAGGAGGAAAAAATAATTTTCACCTTTCCAAGTTCTCAGCTTGAGCCCCTGTAGCAAAAGATAGATTAACAAACTGAGGTTTATTAACATGCATATTTCATATGTACATGGGAAATACCTGGGGAACGAGTAATTCTCAAAAAGGTAGCTTAGAACTCCAGCTTATATAGCATCTTTAAAAATGAACAATAAACTTTTAGAGAAGTGACAAGACAAAAAACAGCAATCTTGAGTCTCTAGGCATGCCAACTTGTGGGATGGCAAATATAAGGAAACTAATGGTAGATAAAAGCTAGTTAATAAATCTTGTTATGTAGAATCCTCTGAGGCTAATTAATAAAGCTTATTATGTAGAATCCTCTGCTGCCTTCTCCAGGCTGATAAGGGTCTAAAGTTGTCCTTGTGATCAAGCTGTCCTTTCTGTTAGAGAGAGAGTAGGAGTGCTACCTTTGTAAATTTATGCCTTGCTTTTAGGCAAATAGGAGGAAAGGCAGAGAGCTTTTCTCATATTTGCTTCTTCTCAATTGTCTTCAGCTCAAAATAATCCTGATGCAAATGTGGCATATTTTGGTGTGGCATATTCTACTACTCTTCATACCTGACAGTTGGACCTCTCTACATCTCAGTTTTCTTCTTTATAGTGGGAATAATATTACTGCCTCATATGTGTTAGATTATTTTCCAACCTTGCCGCTTCTTTCTGTATTAGCACTGCTATCTACAGATAGGCCATATTTTCACACATCAGCTCCATCAGTAATAAAGTTAGCATTTGGATCTTTCATCTATCTTATCATTTGTTTTGTTTCTCAATTGTTTCACGACTTAGGCATGGAAAATATTTTTCCCCCTTCAAATTCTTACAGATAGGGTTGCTAAGAGGGTTAAGTAAACAAATGGATATAGAAAGGTTATAACATAGACCTTGGTAAATATTAAGCACTTGTCAAGTTTATTGTTATTGCTTTAACATAATCCCTCTAGCAAACTTATACTTTACAATTCTTTTAAGCTATTTAAATTGCAAATTGCTATTATAGTAAGTAAAAGTACTAAAACTGTATTTTTGAAATGCTAAAATTCAGATCTTTTGCTTTTGCTAGTGAAGTGATATTTATTATACTAAAATTGTGAGACTTAACCATACCATATTTCATGTAATCTAAAATGCCATTAATAGTAGCATACACATTTATTTTTATGCCATTAAGAAAAAAATGCTTCTAATTAATTCCAAGATGCTGTGGATTAAAGATGCATCACAATTTCAAAAGGGTTAAATATGTGAAAAATGTCTTAGAGCTGATGAAATATGGTAATAAAATTAATGAGTTTGATTTTTCCCTTTCACCCATAAGTTGGGATAGTTTGAGATTAAACCAGATAGGCAGCATGCAAGACATTCCATATTTTTGAGCTGTATTAGTGATTTCCAAGACACTCTTGACAGTACAAATACGCTTCTGCTCCAAATGGGCCAAATCTGGGAAATTAGTATGGATCATTCATTCCACAAAAGTGTTCCTTGGTCATGGACGTGAACTATGTCCAGAAAACTAAACCGGTATGAAGTTGCTGAATTTCAATCCACATTCAAATTCTGATGTCTTTCTAAGGCACTAGCAAGTCAAAACGTTTTTGTTTACAACACTTGAAGCGTATACTCCTGGATGTGTATGCACAGTGGTTTACAGAACTGGCTTGCAGAACATACAGTTTGCAAAAGCTACTTCTTAATGCAAAGCCAAAAGATTAAAATAAACTCTGCAAAGCATCTTAATTGTATCAGTATTTCTTTTATTTGGGTAGCACTTATAAGAACGAGAGATTTAAAGAAACCACAATGAATATGCACACTTTATGCAAAATAACACACAGGAATTACGACTCTTTTAGTAATGTATTGTACTTCTCTGCTCTCGATTTTCAAAGCCATTAAATAGAAAGACTGAATATAAATTCCTCTAAGCAGAGTTATTTTTTTCTTCAACTACTCTTTCTTTTTCTTTTAATAGTACTCTACTGCCACATGGACATGTTTATTCATGTGTCTCATTGATTCATGTTCTTAACATTCTTATTTATATCTGGTACACAGTTGATATCATAAAATATGGGTTTGTGGAGTGAGACTTTTGATTTGAAATAGCTGGCCCATAAAACTAAGCTGTTGGATTAACAAGTCAGTGCATTAAAGCAAGGAATCAACACAAGGTTGATTTTCAGTCTGTTTATCACTTTCACACCAGAGGAGAGAAAAAAGTGACTTAACATTTGCATAGTTCTTTAGTCTCTCTGGAATGATTTGTACACTTTACTAACATTGTGCTGGCAACAGCTAGATCTTACAGTCTTGTGCCGGATCCTATGTCTTTTAAATATTTTGTGTGGTACTATCTGATGCGGCTTACCCAGAATGGCAGTAAACAAATATATGTTTGCAACAATCCACTAGTACTTTCGTTTTCTAAAAGTTTTTATCCTTCAAGGTTAATGACCAAGTTACAAGATATTTTCTGCTTTTCTATTCAAAAGGTATTCTATATGTGGTTAGTTAAGGGTCCTGGGATTTTGAATGTTATAAGAGACAAAATATGTCAGGCTATTTATGACATTACAATATCAAGGAACCATTTACAAAGAGTGTGACAGATTTTAAAAGGATATCTTTTTGTGTAAACTTTTACATTTTGGGTTAAAAAATGTTACTGTGTGTCATGAGTGCTAACATGGAGAGTGTAGACTTGGTCAGTATTATCCTATCTCTTGAGCAGAAGCATGAATTAAGCACAGATTTGGAACTTGACTCATTTTGTTAATTATTTTGATCTTTCAGAAATCCCAATTCTTAGTGAATCTTGCTCATTGGTAGAGTGGGAACAATAATATTGGTTTCTGTTCTGTTTTGTTTTTGTTTTTGTTTTTGTTTACCTCCTAAGTTTTTTCCTCCTGTATGATTATAAGCTGCTAATTCACATCTTGAACCATTTGGAATGGGTCGAAATGTGAATTATAAATGGAATGGTAGGCTTAAAACCCACACACTCATGGGTCCTGTTTGTGAGAGGCAGGATTTATCCACGATACTACTATTTCTAAAGCATATTTCTTACCTACTCTGTTTGTGCTAAGGATTGCAGAGAGAGTGTTTAGGGGGTGTTAAATTGGATAGTGACCTCACTAGGCACCTGCTAAAGATCAGGCTACATCAGGGTTTATCCATTAACTTCTCCTGATTCAGAAATCTTAGTTTTCCATTTTTTACTCGTTTCTTAGTTATGCACAACTGGCAGGCTGAGACAGGGCTTCCCAAGTTTGCTGCTAATTTATTTCTTTGACTAAACACTTTACTTTAGCATGGAAGGAAAACGGATTTGAAACAAATGTATTCATGTTATTGCTTTGTTAGAAAAATTAGTATCTGGGCCCAAATGCATAAATTCTTTGCAACTATTCTCCTCTTCCCACGAAAAAAAAAATCTCAAACATACAAATAATTAAGTCATAAACAGGCTCAATCTAAATTCAAACAATTGGTTATTTGGAGTAATAATAAAATACTTTCAACTATGCCGTAAGAAGTTCAGCATACTTGAATTACTCCATGTACTTCTGAAAGATAGGACCCATTAGAAACATGTACATTGCTCCCCAGATGGATCATTGTAGAATGCATAAACAAAAGAATATCTGCTTTGAAATTATTCAAATATGGATTTGAATCCTAGGTCTGGCACTTGCTGTGTGAACTTGGGCAAATTGCTGTCTATCTCTGAGTTTCAGTTTCCTTTTTTATAAAACAGACATCATTATATCACCTCGGAGAGCTATTGTGAGGAAAAAAAAGTAGTATTACATTAATACTTACAGTAGTTTCTGGAACGTAATAGGTATGATGTTAATTCTATTCTACCCTGATGCCCTGAGGAGTTATTCAAGATCCTGAGAATTTCCTTGCTGAGGATGTGTTTACACAAGGTCCACATTTCTTAGCTATACTGTGTTTTGGAGTCTAAATTTTTCCCCCCATTCTCTGTATACCTTTCTACTTTCATTCTGCTCTCCTTTTTGGTCAGTCCTATTGAGTTACATGGCCTTGATGATGACATCCACAGAAGACCCTGGTTTGTCTGTCTTTAGCCCTCATCTTCCTCTGGAGCTCTAGGCTCCTATTTGTATTATCTGTGGATATCTCACTTTAATATCCTGTCAACATATCTGAATAGGGGCCCCAAACTGAACTAATAACTTTTCCTTCCAAACCTGCACCACTTTCTTCGTGGCTTTTGGGTCAGTTTAACTGACTGTCCCAGAAAGCTTGGAGTTATATTCGATTCTTATCAGTACTCCTGTCCTTGATAGTCTGTCAGCCACAAAGTTCCATGGACACTGCCACCAGAAATCTCTCACTTTTATCCCATCTTTAACTTCCTCTGCCCTTAACAGGGCACAGATCTAGTTACCTTCCTCCATAATTATGGAGGTGACCTTTTACTTATTCACCTGACCTTCATCCATCTCTTCCCTTTTCAATCCATTCTTCACTCAGCTATGAGAGTTATCACAGTCTCAAGACTGTCGTTTCACTTGTCAGAAACTTCAATAACTATCACTTTCAGACCAAACTGTAAAACAGTAGTGTGGTATTAATATTTATGTCCTGATTTTGCCCAGACCTACTTTTTAAATAAAATTTCTTTAATTAAATATAAAACTTTTCAAACTTAGAGATAAGTATAAAGATTATGTAACAGAAACCAATATACTGGCTAATTAGAATTATAATTCATTGATATTTTCCATATTTGCCTCATATTTTTGTTATATTTACACATGTTTAAATAAAACCAAAGTCCTACCTCCTCATCCCTTTCCCCACCATCCCTGGTATCTACCAACCTTATTTTCCCCTTTCTTTGTCATACCCTATGCTCTTGGGGGGTAGTGAGGTGAAAGAGAGGTGATGTTTAAGGTGAGAAGATCTAGAGATGGTTCTCTAAGGAGATGATCTGAGCACACATGACTTCTCTCAGCACAAAACCTCCACGTTATTTATCATTTTATTCCTTAGAAGACGGAATCACTGTCTTGTGAGGAGTATGCAATATAACAAAGTGATTTCTAATCATGGCCATGACACTTACAAGCAAGGTACTTAACCTCTATAAATTTAGTTTTCTCATTTGTAGAGTGGGCATCTCCGTACCTACCTTAAGAATTGTGATGATGCCTTGAGATAATGTAGGTGAAGTGTCTGGATCAGAGTCTGCCATCTAGTAGGCGCTCAATAAATTGTACCTGTTAATGCTGTTAGCACAGCAACTGAGGAACTGGAATGGATCATAATAGACCAGATGATTCAGTGTTGTTCTCTTGTTGCAGGAGCACTGCCTTCTGAATGTGTGAGTGCCATAAATGTGCCCCTGAGATTTTTAGGGGATTATTATAAAATCCAGAATGTTTGGATTTGGTTTGATCTTAAAGCATGGCAAATTCTAAGTCTACCCATAAGCCTGCTCCCCTCCACCAGCCTCTGTGTCACCACAGAGGCTGAAGTGCGTTACTTTGTGCGAAAATGTCCAGTGGTCATTGCCTACAGGGAACTACGATGTAGTTGCTTCAGTAAAGGCGTTGCTACCTGCTACAAAGCAATCTCATATTCTCCGTTTTATTTAGCTTAATTTTTGTACTTGAGCTAGGAAATAGTTAAGTGGATTTCTCACGTATATCTTTGACTTGAATTATTTTGAAGTGACTTCCTGAAATAAGACATCAATGCTACATCTGCCACAGAGGAAAAAAGAAACCGTACATATATGAATGATTATAATCCTCGCCCAAGGCAGGAGTCTCCCAGCACGCCAGAAAAGGCCATAAATCCATGCGATATCCCTGACTACTGCATTTTACATCTAGGACTCAGAGTAACTGAAAGGTATGTAAAATTGTGAGCAGGCAGAAAGTGGGTTGACTATACATCTGGGAAAGTTCTCATGCATTGCTTATTCCAGGCTGTTCATCTTGTGCTCATGAAGTCTGGCACTGTAACGCTTGTGGTTGATGACAGGAGCTGAATAACTTGTGTGCAGCTGAAACATTTATCCTCTTAAGAAGCCTCTCATCTTTTAACTATTGGTTAAAGCCCTTCATAGACGACATAATACCCTATTAGTATGGGAATTAGAAACAATCCTTTTCTTGTTCTGATGTTGAAACTAACTCTTATATGAAGGACGATAGAACTTTCAGTGATATATATATATATATATATATATATATATATATATAACATGTATAATATATATAACATATATTTTATGTATATATATTACATGAAACCCTAACCATTAACATTTAAAAGATAGACAGATACAAACATTTCTCATGATTTAGGAAATTTTGAAAAATGTGTTGATGAAGCCAGCTCCCAGATAGCATTATACTAACTCTGAAAAGTCAGATGGTAGATAACTTGGGAAAGGATAGAAATCTCATCTGGATTTTTCACATTTGCTTACAATTCACAATAATTTAGGTTGAGAAGATGTATTTTCATCATGCGACTATGTTAATGAATAAACGAATTCAATTTTTGTTGAATAACACTCATTAAGGATCTATGCCCATAAAAATTTGGATTGAAGTGTATGGGCTGAATTAACCACTGCTTGTTCTGAAGTTAGTAAAAGTGGTTGAGTAGAGTGCAAACTGAAGCAGGAACTAGTTAAAGATTTCAAGCTGGAAATAATAAATCAGTTAATAAAATTATAATTTATTTGGTTGATTCTTTTGGTATTGACTTCTCTCACTCTAAATAACATACTTTTATTGATATTTTATTGTTTTAAAAAAGTTCAGGCATTATCTATTGACTTTCTAATAAAGACTTAGCTTTGTTTTACCAAATCCTTCTCTGCTGACTACTGAGAAACACACTTTCCGTAGCTCCAGTTTCCCAAATACATTTCTATTGTCACTTTGACTATATTAGTATTCATATTAACTTTCTTAAGCAATGCAAATTATTTATAACGGAGCCATGTAGTAAACTATAATTATTCTTTCTTGCTTGCTCGATTGGAGTTAATAATTATATTGTTTCTGTTTAGTTTTAAAATATATGTATCACTAATATAACCTCACTTATTCTGTGATATTAATGACTGTGCCGTATTCCTTGATTTTTGAAAAATATATTTATCAGTAATTTTATCTCTCATTTTCTGTTAGATATGTAAACTTCTTTTCAAGATGATGTATATTCCCTTCAAGCATTTTACCAGCATCACCTGCTTAAGAAGTGTCTTTATCAAAGCCTTCTGACTTGCTTCTGCCTAGATTGGCTGCCCCTCTATAAGAGGGCACAGTTGAATTTTAGAGATCTATCAGGCCTGAAAAAGACATTAGTTTACCCTCATATTTGATTAATAATTTGGCTGGATGTAGAATTCTAGGCTGGACAACATTTTCTTTCATGCTGTTAAAAGCCTTGGTTTTTTATATGTAAGTATCTAGAGTTGTTGAGAAGTCTTATGACATAATTTTTGAGACTTTTTAAGCACTTTTTTCCCCTTCTACAAGCTTGTAGTATTTTCCCTTTGTTCCTAGTGCTATAAATATGCTTTGGTCTCTTTTTGATCCATTTTTTCTGCTATAATTTTTAAATGGACAAGTCTTCATATTTTTGTTTGCAGAACACTTATTTTTCATAGCATTTTGTTATTGTTCATGGATGCAAGATCTTTTCTTACCCATCTAAAGACACTACTGTTAGGTTTTTTCTGCACAGTTTTTGTTATCTCCATGTTGCTTATTTCTGCAAGTTGTTTTGATCCTTATTTTCCATATTAGAGACGTTCATCAATATCAGGTAATGTGTTCTAATAGATGGGATTTGGTAATTGTAGAATTCCTTGTAGAGTTATTCTAGTTGTTATTTGCTTAAGAAATTCCTGATATCAGTGTCTTTGAGTCTTTTCTCTGGAGACTTTTGAATTTTCCAGGTATTATTTTAAACACGTTTCTGAAGGATTCTTCCAAACCTAAGAAGTTATTTCAGTGTAAATATTCAAGATATTTATCTTCCCTTAATTCCCGTGTTTACTATAAAGTGCTATAAACTTTTAAGTGAGACTGATTTGCACTAACCCCTGGTTTTTTGTCAGAGCTGAGGAAAGGCAGTCACTGGCTGCATGGAGTGGGGAAATGGGATCTGGAAGTCCAAGTGGTTCTTTAACAGATTTTTCAACCATTCCTCCTATTTTTGGCCATTTTTGCCTGTATAATCAGAGATATTTTAAAATTATATTGTGTAAATCAATTTCTTCCTGGTTTATTCTACTACCAGCCCTAGGATTCAGTTTTTCAGTATTTTTCCCTTTAGATTTACTTTTTAGTATTATTTTTCATTTAAAAATTTTAAACTGTTCTGGATACATAATAATTGTACATATATATATGAAGTACATGTGATTTTTTTGTTTGTTTGTTTGAGATGAAATCTCACTCTGTAGCCCAGGCTAGAGTGTGGTGGCACAATCTTGGCTCACTGCAACCTCCGCCTCCTGGGGTCAAGTGATTCTCCTGCCTCAGCCTCCAGAGTAGCTGGAATTACAGGTGCACACCACTGTACTTGGCTAAATTTTTTGTATTTTGTAATGGAGACAGGGTTTCACCATCTTGGCCAGGCTGGTCTTAAACTCCCAACCTCTGGTAATCCACCCGCCTCAGCCTCCCAAAGTCCTACGGTTACAGGCATGAGCCACTGTGCCCAGCCACATGTGATATTTTGATACAAGCAAACAATGTGTGATGATCAAATCAAGGTAATTAACATATCCATCACCTCAAGCATTTATCATTTCTATGTGTTAGGAACATCCCAATTCCACCCTTTTAGTTATTTTGACATGTAAAATAAATTATTGTTAACTATAGGTGCCCTATTGTGCTACCAAATATTAGATTGTATTCCTTCTATCTAACTGCATTTTTGTAGCCATTAAACATTCACCCTTTATACCCCACTCTCCACTACACTTCCCAACCTCTGGTAACCATTCTTCTACTCTCTCTGAGTTCAATTTTCTTTGTAGCCACATGTATGAGTGAGAAAACGTGGTATTTGTCTTTCTGTGCCTGGCTTATTTCACTTAATGTCCTCCAGTTCCATCCTTGTTGCAAATGATAGGATTTCATTTTTTATATGTAAATAATATTCCATTGTGTATATATGCTACATTTCTTTATTCATTCATCCATTTATGGACACTTAGGCTGATTCCATATTTTGGCTATTGTGAACAGTGCTGCAATAAACATGGGACTGCAGATATCTCTTTGACATACTGATTTCCTTTCTTTTGAATATATACCCAGCAGTGGGATTTCTGGATCATATGGTAATTCTATTTTTAGTTTTTTAAGGAATCTTCATACTGTTCATCACAGTGACTATATTAATTTACATTTCCACAAGGGTTCCCCTTTCTCCACATTCTTGGCAGCATTCATTATTGCCTGCCTTTTGGATAAAAGCCATTTTAATTGAGGTGAGATGATATCTTATTGTAGTTTTGGTTTGCATTTCCCTGATGATTAGTGATGTTGAGCATTTTTCATACGCCTGTTTGCCATTTGCGTGTCTTCTTTTGAAAAATGTCTATTCAGATCTTTTGCCCATTTTTAAATAGGATTATTTGTTTTTCTTTCCTATTGATTTGTTTGGATTTCTCATATATTATAATCATCAATCCCTTGTCAACTGGATATTTGCAAATATTTTCTCCCTTTAAACAGATTGTCTCTTCACTTCGTTGATTGTTTCCTTTGCTGTGCAGAAGCTTTTTAACTTGATGTGTTTCCATTTGTCCGTTTTTGCTTTGGTTTCCTGTGCAAGTACTCAAGAAATCTTTGCCAAGGCTAATATCCTGGAGTGTTTCTCCAGTGTTTCCTTGTAATAGTTTGAGGTCTTAGGTTTAAGTCTTTAATCCATTTTGATTCAGTTTTTCTATATGGTGAGAGAAAGGGGCCTAGTTTAATTCTTTGCATATAGATATCTGGTTTTCACAGCACTTTTTATTTAAGAGACTGCCTTTTCCCCAATGTATATTCTTGGTGCTTTGTTAAAAATGAGCTGAATGTAAATGCATGAATTTATTTCTGGGTTCTCTATTCTGTTCCATTAGTCTATGTGGTTTTTTTTTTTTTTCCTATGACAGTGCCATGTTATTTTCATTACTATAGCTCTGTAGTGTAATTTGAAAGTCAGATAATGGAATGCTTCCAGCTTTGTTGTTTTTGCTCCAGATAGCTTTGGTTATTCTGCGTCTTTTGTGGTTCCATATTAATTTTAGGATTAATTTTTCTAATTATGTGAAGAATGTCAGTGGTATTTTGATAGAGATTGCATTGAATATGCAAATAGCTTTGGGTAGTATGGACATTTTAACAATATTTATACTTTCAATCCATGAACATGGAATATCATTCCTTTTTTATGTGTGTCCTCTTCAATTTCACCAATGTTTTATGGTTTTCATTATACAGATCTTTTATGTATTTGGTTAAGTTTAATCGTAAGTATTTCATTTTAGTGTCACTAATGTAAATAGAATTACTTTCTTTGTTTGTTTTTCAGATTGTTCATTATTGACATATAGAAATGCTATTGATCTTTTGCATGTTGATTTTGTGTCCTGCAACTTTACTGAATTTATAAGTTCTAATAGTTTTCTTTGGTGAAATCTTTAGGTTTTACTAAATATAAGACCATGTCATCTGCAAACAAGGATAATTTGACTTCTTCCTTTCCAATTTGGATGCCCCTTATTCCTTTCTCTTGTCTAATTACTCTTGCTAGGACTTCTAGTACTATGTTGAACAAAAGTGGCAAAAGTCTTGTCTTATTCCAGATCTTAGAGGAACAGCTTTTCGTTTTTCCCTTTTCCGTGTATGATACTATCTGTGAGTTTGTCATATATACCTTTTATCATATTGAAGTATGTTCTTTTTATTAACTTTTTGAAAGTTTTTTTTTATGAAGAATGATGAAATTAACCAAATGCTTTTTCAGCATATATTGAAATGATCATATGGTTATGTCTTTCACTATGTTGACATGATATATCACGTTTATTGATTTGAATATGTTGAGCCATCATTGCATCCCTGAGATGAATCCCAGTTGACCATGATGAATGACCTTTTTAATGTGTTGTTGAATTTAGTTTACTAGTATTTTGTTGAAGATTTTTGCTTCAATGTTCATCAGAGATACTTGGCCTCAATGTTACTCAGAGATATTGGCCTGTAGTTTCTTTTTCTCAGGGCAGCACTGAGTTTCAGTGCAGAGTCCCATATTCAATTTGTTCTCTTTGCCCCAAATACACAGATTTTCTCTCCATGCTTTGCTTATTGAGGTTGGGAGAGGGGTGGTGAAGGCAATGCAAGACTGTCTTTCCTACCTTCTCCAGTGCCTCTTTCCTTGTTATTAGGTTAAAATGAGGTACTGTGATTGCTCACTTGATTTTTTAGTTCCTATGAAGGTGCTTTCTTATGTGGATAGTTGTTTAATTTGGTGTCCCTAGAGGGGACCACAGGGGCAGTGTTCTGTTGAGTTGTCTTACTCCTTCCCCCAGCCCACCTCCATTTTCTTTTTTTCTTTTTTCTTTTTTTTTTTTTGAGATGGAGTCTCACTCTGTAGCCCAGGCTGGAGTGCAATTATACAATCTCAAATTATTGACACATATTTACAACTGTTCCAAGAAAATAAAAATATCTATATTTAAATAAAAATTTTTAATAAATTGAAATTCTCATCCTAACTTTAGCATTTGAAATATCATGTATAAACATTATTTTGTTAAATATTTACTGAAAAAACTGGAGCTGGATAGACACAGGCAGCCCCTAGCAACCCTCCATTAAGGAATGAGCAGAATAAGTACTGCTACCATATTCTACTACTTCTTTCTATCTCTCCATGGTGTTCAATGTTGTTTGGATCCACTAGAAAATATTAATGCAGTTGATACAGATGACTTCTCTCCTACACCCACCTTTCACAGAGCAAGGAGAGAAAGAATAGAGAGTGGAACTGGAGGGAGAAATTAGAGCTACTCTTAACCTACTTTGTGATTATATTACTAAACTTATTTAAGAAAAGCTAAAGGTAAAGGAATTTAAACTCTACACAATTAGATGGTAAGAAATAGCTAAGGAAAATTATTCAAAACACTTTAAATAAGAAAATGAAGTCAGAATTAGACTTCACTATATCTTGTACCGCTTTTTGACCTCACAAAAATAATAAACATGATTAACCAAGTCACACACATATTATTTATGTGATTTAACTCTTAATGCTTCTAAATAAAATGGCTGCCAATTTTATTTGAACTCAATATTTCATATTTGTATGTGACAAAGATGACTTGAAGTTACTCCCCTATGAATGGACCTGTATATAGGTATAAAAGTATACCTATATAAAATATATAGGATATATACTTTTCCACATACTTCTGCATTTCAAAGGAATTTGGTGGAGGCTTTTCCTCTTGAAAACTTATTGAATATTGAAATTAATCCTGAAGTTCTATTTTAAAACTAATCAGGCAGTGTTCCTGATTTTAAATTCAAGTGCAAGCTAAAGCAGGGATCTTTTCAAGTAAGCTGAATTTTAGTGAAATTGTTTCCACAGGGGTTTAATTATTAGTAGAATATTTCCTCCATTGTGTTTCTCCTTTTTCTTCTAATTCTTGAAGAAGTCATACAAATTTTGAACACAATATTAATTATACACAAAGGAGTTCAAGAGTGCTTTTATAAGACTAAGTTTAAAATTTGGAGGGAAAACTTCTACTGGAAAATATTCAACGCATTAAAACAGAAACAGAATTTTTTTTCTCCCGATATGTTTGATCACCAAAATTATAAGTTTGCAGCCAGAGTAAATTAAACAACATAATTAGAGATACCATTCTAATAGGAGAATAAAGGATCACATGTTACTAAGAGATTATATGAAGAGCCATGTAGACTGACTGAACAGCAACGTATGGATTTTTGATAAAGTTTCTCTACAATGAAGTCAATATAAATAAAGTAGAAATATCATGTTCATTTATTATATCTGTATTCATGACATGCTTAAATATTAACCTCCTCCTTTCTAGAGTAACAACTCTTATATTTTTGGAGATCTGGCAGGAAGTCCTATCTCTCTGAACATCGCCGAGAAATCATAAAATTTGTGACAGAATTGACTATGATGAGGGAAATGGGGCATTTCTCAATGGTGGCAGAGATGGTCAGCAGTTTTCACACTTGAGGAGAATAGGGAGCAAACTGAAGCTTGTGTAGTAGCGTGGCTCTGGGAAACTAGACATTTTTTCAATGCAAGCAGTCGGATCTTTCTCAGCCTCACAGAACCATGTGACTGCTTTTCCCTGAATCCAGTTCTAGCCCTTCTCCCTGCATTTAACTAATGCATTTAAGGGGTGCCAGTACATGTACACTAGAAAAGTATTGTGTGAGAGTAGTTATGGTACAACATGGGAATTGTAGGAAGGGTAAAATTCTGTTAAGTTGTTTCAAGCTTATGCCTAAATATGAGATACAGAAAGCTACAGATATTTGCTGTCAGAAATAGGAGACAAGTGGTTAGCTGTTAGAAATTGGGTAACAAAAACCACTATAACCCCTAGTCTATCATAAGGCCATTCATATAGTAAAGTCCTAACTCCCAAGTACCTTCGAATGTGTCTTATTTAGAAATAGGATCATTGCAAATATAATTTGTTAGGATGAGGTCATACTAAAGTATGGTGGGCCTCCTGTTCCAATATGTCCATCATGATGAACCATACAAAAGGGGAAATTTCAACACAGACACATACACAAGGAGAAAACCATGTAAATATTGGAGTTATGCTGCCATAAGCCAAGGAACTAGAAGAAGCAAGGAGATAAATTTGGGACAGATCCTTCCCTAATACATCCAGAGGAAGCATGTCCCTGCCAACATCTTGAGAACTTCTAGCCTCCAGAACTATGAGACAATAAATTTCTGTTATCCAAATAACACAGTTTATGTTATTTTGTTATGACAGCCCTAGCAAAGTAATGCATTCACCTTGCTGAGGCTGATATAGGGATGAAGAGAAGCTTGGCATGAGCATATATAACAGTGAACTAGAATAAGTCCACAGAGGATTGGATGCAATATAGCTACATAATTTGCTAAACTCACTTTCCTTGGCACTTAGCTAAGGTGCTTCCACAGCTAAGATCCCAGAATGTACAGATAAACTGATCCAGTGAAAAGGAGGACTCAATACTCATCTTATCCCCTTTTATTAGTTTTCATGAAATCCTAAACGTGAAATCTTGAGAAGGAGGATGGGGCATTAAAAAAATCCATCTCTGCATCTCAACTCTGCCTGTTACCCTGTTTTTTTTTCAAAACTTCGTTGGTATCTCAGAAGAATTAAGATGGGAGCATAACAGTGCCCCCCCAACAGAGTTTATCATACAGATTTGGACCCTAAAACAGTCAGACATCTGATTTTTGAGTGCTCAGCATCTATTCTTTTATTTTGCTAAGGCCACACCAAAGTGTTCCCTGGGAAAGGATCCCTTCCTCATCCTGCTTGGCCTTGGAGGGACAGTCAATGGAGGACCCACATCTCCTTCTCTTGCCGGGGTTTGTGCATGTCACAGAGACTAAAACAATCAGATGCTTTCTTGTGGGAATTTGGACCTTGTCACAAGAACAGAAACATTTGGAATCAATTTATTTTCATGGTGATGGCCTGAAAAGACTGTCCTTTTGTTACTGGTTATAAGAGCCTCAGAATTGCCTGTTCCTGTCTTTCCAAAGACCTTAACTTCTCTTTTGGTGCTGTGAAATACTCAGTTACCAGTGGATTAGATTTTCATAAGTTAGTAAGGGTTGTTTTCTGCTGCTTTCAATTGAAGATTCTTAACTAATTCAGCATACCATCCCATTTAAAGTTTTTTAGTATTCTGATGCTGGTATTTCTGGGGATAACAATGGTAGTAGGGCATTTAAATTACTTATTTGATAAATATTGTTTTGAAGACTTTTTTCCTCTCAAAATCATCTAAGTAAAGTACTTTAGCAATTAACTCTGGATCAATAGTGGTTAAATTCTGCATTGAAGCATAATAGTTATGAAAACCACACAGGGTTTTAACTTTAGGGTATGGAAATACTTTTGAATTTAAATGGCTTCTCAACAATTTACATTGTTCCTCAGTCTCTTTGTACACTGTCCTTGAAGAATAAGATTAAAACTAGAGGGAATGTTTTCTGTTCCCTGAAAATGAAAATTGCTGGTAGAAAAGGGAAGGACATTCATGGTAGCCTATACAGCACAATATAAATGATATTTAATTAATGTTTTTGAAAACACATTTTATTGTTCAAGAAAAATATTCACTTGTTTATATATTATTTGTCATAATAAGGGGGAGAAAAAGCATCCCAAATTTCAACAAGAAAAATGTAAATTTTAAGGTTATAGAAAAAACCCAAAACAGTCTATTTTAGTTCATAATACACGTAACATTGAGTTTAATAATTTTAAATATATAACACATCTCTTGTTATTTTGGTAATACTTCTAAAATACATACAACTTTGACACAAATATATAAGATGTCTAAGTACTGTAAAGTAGCTGAAAATGGCTTAACTAGAAATCAAGTACTTTTCCAAATCCTTTCTTTCAAAATTCCAAGTTCATTTCCAAACATCTCATTTCTAAGTTCATTTCTTTTCTATCCCTGTAAAATTCATCAGCCAAGACCGCAAGCCAGAATCACATCTGTCTTTCAACTCTGGCTTATGAATTTTACAGTGATAGAAGACATACTCCTGTCAAAAACAAAATCTATATACAAACAAAATCTATATGTATTTTCTAAACAAGGAGATACTTTAAAAAAATTATTTCCATAGGTTATTGGAGAACAAGTGGTGTTTGGTTACATGAGTCAATTCTTTAGTGGTGATTTGTGAGATTTTGGTGCACCATCACCCGAGCGGTATACACTGCCCCCAGTTTGTAGTCTTTTATCCCTCACCTTCTTCCCACCCTTTCCCTTTGAGTCCCCCAAGTCTATTGTGTCATTCTTGTGCCTTTGCATCCTCATAGTCTAGCTCCCACTTATGAGTGAGAACACACAATGTTAGGTTTTCCATTCCTGAGTTACTTCACTTAAAATAATAGTCTCCAGGCTCATCCAGGTTGCTGAAAATGCCGTTAATTCATTATGAAGAGATAATTTTAAAGGCTCAAAATAAGTTGTAATGTATAAACAATTATAAATGTTAGACATTTTGTTATGTAAAACTATAAATTATTTAGGTTTAAAAATAAATGTAAAAATTTTCACTAAAGAAGACCAAAATGAAACAATATTTTAATATAATTAAACTGAAATTTATCATTTGTATTACTTCCATTTTATCTTGTATCTATTCTAAAATTATATATGTATGTATGTGTAATCACCCAGCAGATTCTTCTTCCTTGCTGCACAGATAAAAAGCCAATTCTCTGAGACAATGGTATTGCAGTAGAGAAAGAGTTTAATAATTGCAGGGCCAGCCAGGTGGAAAGACTGGAGTTATTATTACTCAAATCAGCCTCCCCAAAAATTCAGAGGCTAGGGTTTTTCAAGGATAATTTGGTGGGCACTAGGGAATGGGGAATGCTGATTGATTGGGTTGAAGATGAAATTATAGGAGGTCAAAGCTGTCTTCTTGCACTGAGTCAGTTCCTGGGTGGGACCACATGATCAGTTGAGCCAGTTTGTTGGTATGGGTTACTTATCTGGATGGTGCCAGCTCGTCCATCAGAATGCAGAGTCTAAACACCACCTCGAACACCAATTGTAGGTTTTACAGTAATGTTATCTATAGAAAAAATTGGAAAGGTTAGGAATCTTGTAACCTCTGGCTCTATAATTCCTGACCACAGTTCTAATCCTGTGGCTAATTTGTTAGTTTTACAAATGTGGTTTTTGGTCACCAAGCAAAAAGAGGATAGTTTTGGGAAGGGGCTATTATCATCTTTGCTTGAAGGTTAAACTATGAAATAAATTCCTCCCGTAGTTACCTTGGCCTGCACCAAGGAATGAACAAGGGCAACTTGGAGGCTAGAAGCAAGATGGAGTCAGTTAGGTCACATTTTTTTTCACTGTCATTGTTTTTCTATGTCAGATTTCTCTCACTGCCATAATTTTTGCAAAGACTGTTTCAATCATATGCATATACATACATATGTATATGTATACAATTGTGTTCAATGTAAAATTTAAATAAATACATTTTAAAGGTTTTTTTTCCCCTTTAAAGTTGATGAAACAATGTCTTACACTTACAGTCAGAAAATCCGGTGATGAATCCTACTACCCTTCTAGTAACTGACTAAGAAATGCTGTCTTGAAAATGTCCCTTAGTTTCTCTGAGATTCAGTTTTGTTATTAATTCAATGTGTTATTGATTAAATTTTGCCTACCTGTATCAGTTAAATAGGGTAAGTTATGCTGTGCTAACAAATTACCTCCAAGTTTCAGTGGCTTTAAAAGAACATCCTCTTTTTTTTTTACTGCTCACCTAAGCAACGTGTCAATGTTGTAGACATACTCCATCCCTGCGTCTATGGCTCCATTGCCTTCCATCTCATCATCATCATGGAACAAAGCTTGTGGGGGCATTACATCTGGAATCAGATCTGCTTCTAAAAGAAAACCAGGCATTGCCCAATGAGAGGCAGCTGTCCTGGGAGGGGCGGGGGGGCGCCGAGAAATCCAGAGGAGAAGTAGATGGGCTTGTCAACAGGGTGTGGTCAGAGGAGCTCAAAGATGAAAAGTCAATCTCTTCTTTTTCAAGAATCAGATCTGCCTTGTGGCCTTGGCTTATGGATTTTACAGGGATAGAAGACATACTCCTGTCAAGAAAGCCAGCCACTTCCTTCTGGCCTCTTCTGTCTTTTGCTTCCTGAGCTCAAGACCTTTTCTCTTTTAATTCCATGGCAGATTCCACAGGATTCTAACTTGCCTGTTTTCTAAGTCCCTGAACAGTAAAGATGGGATCTAAAGTTGGTTTTGAGGCGGCTTTTACTTCAAACTTGAGGCAGACAACTTTTTTTCCTTCAGGTTTCAATGTTGAGGGTTTCTTATGAACAAGTTTCTACCATCCTGGTTATCCAAATTCCTGAGCACCTGAACAGAAGTATATGGGATTTTCCATACTGAGGCAACCTGCTACTGTGCTCCATTAGTTTGAAGTCTTTTTATTTTTCCCTAGCAAAAAAGTCCAATGTTTCCCAATAAAAATGCAGATATCTTCGTTCTATCTGAAATAACCTTGATGTCCACTTCCTTCCAGAGACAAGTTGTACATTGCCAACATGATGACTTTGCTGCTATGTCAGCCTCAGCCTTTCATACTGTTCCTTGCCATCTGCTGAGCAATCAGAAAAAGTAAATCTAAAAAAATTATCACCCTTAACGTAACTGAGCTGTCCCTTCAGCTGTCTGGTTGGTATCCATTTTTGGTACTTGTCACAGAAGCAGGACAGCTGCTTCTCCATCCACAATACATCTTCTTCATCGCTGTTAGGGAATCCCTGCTGTAGTCATGACATAAGTCTACTGATGTCTGATCCTCCAATTTGACAATCAGGGGAGTCTCTCTCTCCACTTCACCTTCATCCAGCCCTTCCGAGGTAGATGTTATTATGGCTTCATCACTATGTTGACTGATCAAACTACTTAGGTGGATGTAACTATCTATTCCTTCTCACAGATTTAGCAGTGCTTTTCAGTCACAAACCTAAGCTCAGGGCCATGAACTTAACAGGACTTTTACCAGGATCACATAGGCAGAAACTCTTTAGGAGACTGTATGCCCATACTTCTTTATTCAGACATAAGGAACTTTGAAAGCAGTAATTTACAATATATGATCCACTGTCCTTTATTTGATCAAGTTTAAAAAGACAGTGACTAAAAAAAGATTAAGATACCACTAAGCTATTCTCCATCAACAGGCACAGATACACACACACACAGTGTCATCTGTCCCATTGATATTTCACATTCATTTCAAGTTAAGTTCTTTGAAATCCTTTTGCGAATAACATCTGTCTTTCTGCTTCAAGTTGCTCAGTTAAAATAATCTGTTCTCCCAAAACACAAATGTCTCCTTTTTTCTAATTTTGTCTCTCAGTGTCTCTGATAACTCCATCATGAAGCCTCTGCTGGTCCTGCCATTGCTCCAGATGCATGCTGGCCACTGTGGCTGCCATCAGCATCACCACCGAGAGGCCCAGCAGTGCCTTCAAACTCCTCGACATCTCTGTGCCAGCTTCCAAGGCCTCTTTCTCCCACCTCTCAAGGCTGGTCAGTAGCATTTAATTTAGTTCAACAAACATCTATCGACTGTCTGTTATAGGTAAGGCATCAAAAGATTTACTAACTAGTGGAGGAGGTATACAAACAAAAATGATCTATATTATAAGTCAGAGTAGAGTAAGTGGTGGAAATAAGTGCAATAAAAGAAACATCTAGGGAAAGAGAAGGAATAATATTCTGACTTGGGGACCAGATAATGTTTCACAGAACTCTAATATAAGCTGGGCCTAGAACAATGAGTAGAGTTTCAAAAGCAGGAGGAGGGGAGGTGTATGCAAGGTGGGGCAGAGGAAAAAATATTTCAGGTTAGAGTCAAAATATGAGAAAAATCATAGTGATAACAAAATTTATGGCCTATTTGGGCAATGTCAAACAGTCTAGCATGACAGAAACATTTTGTCTGTGTGTGTGTGTGTGTGTGTGTGTGTGTGTGTCTGTGTGTGTGTGACTGGACCATGAAGAGCCCTGAATGCCATGCTAAAGTGTTTAGATTTTATCCCTTAAAATAGATGTCCTAAAAGGTTGCCCAGCTAGGGAATGATATGTGCGAACTTTTGCTTTAAGAATATATATAGCTCTTGAAGCTGAGTGAAGAGTGATTGATAGAATGATAGAATGACAGTTAGATCTTGTGGAATAAATTCAAGCTAGGAGATCCAGCGATAAGAATGTGAGAAAGAAACCAGGAGGGCAGAGAGAATGGAGAGGGACTGATATGGAATATTGTGGAAGTGGACTCAATTGGACTTGACAACTGCCTACATATGGACGGCAAAGGAGAGGTGGGAGTTTTTTACTTGGGTGATATTCACATTTTCTCAGCATTTACTCCCCTCCCACTAGGGGGTCATGCAATGACTCCACCGAATTCAGTCAATGTCCCTGGTCTCTTCTTTAGTTTTTCCTTCCTAAATTCATTCATGTTGTTGGGCATACAGATTTTGCCTCACTGCCCATGCTTTGGGCATTGATGTACATACAGGGTCTATAATCATAGAAGCAACCTTATGAAAGTGATCTTTTAATACTGATCAGTAGGAGTAGTACTTTACCTACCACTGTATGCAGACTTGAGGAAGCACCATAACTCTTCTGTTCATCCTTAAGTAAGAGAAAGAGTTATAGCCACTTTAAATGACTTGTCTCAATTAGGTAAAAAGAATGTGTAGTCAAATAACAAAACTTAGAATGTCATTTAAAGTATAAAAACATTCTCCCACCACCCCTTCCCAAGCTGGGGTCTGCTCTGCAATGGGTGCTGGCAACTCAACTCCTAGCATTTCTTCTCTTCCTTCAGTTTTTTAGACTAATGGGAAGAGAGGAGAAAGAAGGGAGACGGAAAAGTTGTTACCTTTGTTCTCATTGTAACATGAGTTTACTCCCTTGAAGCCTGAATGATGATGAAAGCTAATTCTTTAGTGGGCACTTTGGTGGAGTCATTGGAAACCCTTGTGTATCATCTCATCTATAGTTCCCTTGATACAGATGAAAGTTTCCCTATTTTATCTGTTCACTTACTTCCTCTGCAGCTCTTAGCAATTCTTTGGTTCACCTTGAACTCTTGTCTGCTGAGGTCTCAGCACAGGCAGTCCTTATAGGGGAGGCTCTAATACAACTCACATGCTGGCTGACCCTCATCTGGTCCATGGGAAGCATAAACACATTCTTGGCTCAGACAATAAATCAGCAGATAATAAATTAGCAGATAATAAATCAGCAGCAACATGCTCCTAAAGCTTCTGGCCAGACCATCCCAATCCCTAGATTTTCTGAGTATGAGTCAAGCAATAGGCTGCCATGTCTCCATAATACATAAGACTCATCAAACTCTAGGCAACCCCTATAAACTCCCTCTCACTAGTTTGCGATGAGGCACAAACAGCCATCAACTTTCCTTTGTTCCTCAAGAGGTGGGCTTGAGGATGGAAGCAGTAATCTGCAAAGACATTTTCCGTACAAAGATAGTTTCTACTTTTGCTCTCATGACTATTTTTAAACTTAAAAAGGCTGAGACATTTGAGAGAATCATGGAATCAGTCATTAACCAAATTCATTAAAATTTTTATATGGTTTAGCACCCCCTTTCCAATGCAGAATTTTTAATATTTTGATATTTCAGTTGAAACTTCCAAATTTAACATTGGTTTCAATCATTGTCCATTTGATTCCCAAGCCCACCTTCTTCCTGGAGGTTGTTCTACTGTATTCAGGTTCCTCTTGATCCAAAACCTCCAGCCACTTTACTTTCAAATTCAGCTTATACAGGTTCCTGGTGTCAACATCTATGCCAGAGATGCGAATCATTTGCCTGGCTGGAGGGGAGATAGGGAAGTGATGGGAATAGAGAAATGTGTTGTAACTTCAGCACTGTTAACATTGTGGGTCAGATAATTCTTTGTTGTGGGAGTCTGTCCTGTACATTGTAGGATATTTTCAGCATCAGTGGCCTCCATCCATTGGATGCCAGTAGAAACCCCATTTCCTGGTTGTAAAAACAAAAAAAGTCTCTAGAAATTGCCAAATGTCCTCTGGAGGCAAAATCACACACAGTGGAGAACTAGTGGAATAGAGTAAGAGAAACAGTTTAAGTTTTGCTGTTTATGGTGAAAGTAATGATTTTGGTTGTGTATGTTAGGAGAGGAGCTAACAATACACTTATCTGGGGTGATTTAACAGTTGTGGTCTTGCATTGATAAGCTAAGTCAAAGCTTGACTTCTGGTTTGGGAGTCATTTGTACATAGCTGATACATGTACACCAGTGTGGGATGAGTAGTGCAAAGGGCTGAGGAGAAATGAGTGGGAGACCTTTGTTCAAGGAATGGACAAGTTGTAATTAGAGATTACAGTTGACTTAGAAGGGTGTGGTGGGACAATTATAAAGCAAGAGAATGTTTCAGACAGGAGAATCAAGGAAAGAATGTTAAGAACTGCTGAGAGGTGAAGGAATACTTCTTTCTGTTTGACTTGTTCAGGCCAGACTCCAAGTAGGGCACATAGATGGTCTCGGCCAGGCTTTATTTTTTATTGGAATTGCTGGAGGCCCAGTATTGAGTCTGATTTGCCAAGCGTCTAAATAATTTTAAGAAAACTCATCATCTTACACAGTAACAACATGAAAATTCTCAGATACCAAGAAGTTCTTTCTCTAACAATAAAGCTCCTAGACTTTCATGATGACATTTTTTCAGAACAGATTCTGTGAAGTCTGTTGTGTAATAGCACCATCTGATATATCATTTCCTAGGGTGGAATTGTTGACTGAGACTAATTTGTCTGTTCACAAGTAAGAATCAGAAGACACTGCAATATCTTAGACTTTGTAAAGTAACAGAAAACCTAAAGTGGAACAACATACCACGGATGATAATTGTTAATAAGCTAAAGACAAAGACTAGAAGGAACTAGAGAAAACAGGTTATGGATATTTTACATCAGTAGTTCTCAAACATTTCATTCTCAGGACCCCTTTGTACTCTTAAAAGAACTTTTGTTTATGTACATAATATCTATCTTTATTATGGTAATTGGAGCTGGGAAAATTGAATATACATGTATGTGTTTATTAATCTAAAAAGAGCAATAAGCCCATACCTGTTAACATGAATAATACATTTTTATTAAAAATGACTATAGTGATAATGAAACAATTAGTGAGGATGAGGGCTTTTTAAAATATTTTTGAAATTCTCTTTAATATCTGGCTGATAGAAGACAGCTGAATTCTCACATTACCTTCTGCACTCTGTTATGATATCATACATTATGTAGTCTCTATGAAACTTCATGTACATTTAAGGAAGAATGAGTAAAAATAGTATTATTTTGAAAGTAGTTTTAACTTCCTAGACCCCTAGACAGTGTCCTGAGAGTCCCAAGACCACACTTTGAGAACCGTGGTTTTAGATGATGGCTGTACGGTTTTAGGAGGACTAATGTTAGTTTTAGCAAAGGCATCAGATTTTTGAAACAGGGTTTTAAGAAACAAAACTGATAGGAAAATACTTCCCCATACACTTGATCTTTAAATAAGCTTGGGGCATGGCAGGAGACAGCTAAGACTCATATTTACTGCCAATTTTTAGTAGATTTTAGTTGGCTTCTAAAATTGGTTATAATTATTATCTATCCTCTAATGTAGAATAAGTAGGTTCTTTTATTTCTCTTTCAATAAAGTTCAGTCCTGGATATGACAAAAGGAGCTTTTCTGGAATGAATATTTGGAATGTAGAATTTACATTAGGTAATATTAGGTAATAAATATAAATGAGATTAAAAGAGTTATTAACATTTCCATTTGCAGTATTAATTTTGGCCAGGTAGATAATACTCAGAACATAAAACCTTTGGTAAGAAGAAAGCAGATGTTCAATAGTTTCTCAAGTATACAATAAAATAGATAGCATGGACCTAGTATTTTCTAGCAGGTCATGGCAACTCAGTCAAGCTCATGTATGATAGAAATATCTAAGTAAATTTAAAGGATTATAAGGCTATCTATCTATCTGTCAATCATCTATCTATGTGCCATGTATTATAAAACTACTTCACTCTATACCTTGTTCAACTCTTAGGAGGAAATAATATATTTATTAACAGCACAGGCTGTGAAGCGAGATTGCTTAGACCAAATTTTAAGTTTACACCATCTCTGTGCCTTTTGGTTCAGTTTCCTCATCTATAAGATTGGGATTGTAATTTTACAGTATTATTGTAATAGTATAATCAATTTAATGTGGTTCGTATAGTGTTCAAAATATGCAATTAGAGGTAAAATTCATAGCACACTTCCTGGAACAGAATAAATGCACTTTACCCATTGTTTTTTAAAGCTATTGTTAAGAATTATGAATTTTATAGCTATTAGATGATGGATTGAGGGTTTAAGAATATACTTAGGGATGTAAAACACTTTCTTAAAGATAGATCTCTAAAAAGAAGAATTTGTACCTTGCATTAAGAAAGTTTCTCCAAAACTCTGGGTTTATAAACAAGTTACTTGATGATAGAGGCAAAATGGAACTCATGAAGTAGACTACTATAAAAAGGTCAGTCCAGACGACAGTCTTGGCTTTGAAAATTATTTTTTTCAAAATTAATTTTATTAGAGCTTAGAATTTCTCATTCAAGTCAACTTGAAGGTGGTTAATGAGTTGAGTACCTGAGCAACATGTCGGTTTTCTTCTGGCTATATGTGATGGCCAACTACCATAATCCCTTGCCTCTTGCCTCCCAGCAACACTGTGAGCTCTGGGATAGCAAGATTTATAATATATAATGAGCTTAGCCCCTTGCACAGTAGTTGAGCAAAGCAGGATATTTTTACTTTGATGTTTTAACCGCAGGGGTATTTGACTATGTTGGGTCTATTGAGATGATGTTTAGTCAACATCAAAGAAAATTAGAACTAACATAAAGTAATTGAAAGTATACAGAAGCTTTGGTTTATAAATTCTAGACATATAGTAGGCTTTCAATAAATGGTTATTGCTCTATATGTAATACTTCGTAACAAGTCAAACATACAGAAGGAATTATTCAGAAATTGTTAAAGCACATTTTAAAGAATAGGCCATTTTAAAAGATTCCTTTAAATCGACAATGATAATCAGATTATTCTGGAAAAATGTATTGCCTCTCTAGAATAGGATGGTTATTCCTGAGGCAAAGAGGTAAAGTTGCATATAAAAAAACTTGCTTCACAAGCCTTGACTAGATCCACTGTGCTGGTGGCAGTATTTTTCCTCTTTATACTGCTGTTTCCATTATTGCCTAAATTTTTATTTATAGATAACGTATTTAACTTCTCTCTTATGAATAAAAGAACTGTTGCTAATTTCCTTTCAATTTTGTATTTTAAAGAAAATTACTCCACTACTTATTTATAAATAAAATGGATTATTTTAGTGTTCAACTCACAGGATATATTTCCTGCTTAGTTCATAATTGGTGTTCTCTTGGCACACTATTATTATTGTCTCTTATTGCAGGTAAACAATGCTATGTGCAATTCCAATTTGCAAATATAAATATTTTCTCATTTTCTTGGCCCCACGAAGATAAATAAATTTAATGTCTACACTGTAGTATTAAGATTTGGGATGGAAGTTCAGAGGTATAGACAATGATATAAATGATTTAACTAGAATAAAATGTGTGATGAGTTAGTATATAATTTTAGAGAAATTATACTTGGTAAACATTAATTAATCACCAAGAAATTTATAAAGAGATATTTCTGTGGCTCCAATTTACTTTTTTTCCAGAGTTCAAAATTATGACCTACACTGAACACAAAATTCCATTTGCTGGGAACTTACAGCTATTTTTCTGGTAAAAAAAAAAATAGCTAACAAATTAGGACTAAGCTAGGACATATTTAGAACATTAGAATTATAGCTAGAACATCACAAATTACTTTATAATGATATAACATTTTACTGAAACAGCCAGGGCAACACACAACTTAGTAAATCTACATGGTTCTGCTTGGTAGAACAGGTTAAGTACATAATTAATGGACCAGCGTGAAGGAGTATTTCCTTCACGTCTACAAAAGCTCTCTGAAGAAAAGGCAGGATGCATTTAGAGGAGCTCATTGGTCTGAAAATTCTCCTAGAATTCACTGGCTTCATATTTTCTTCTAAACTTGATAAAATAACCTAAAACATTGATTGGTAAAAGAGGTACTGTTCTCCTCTGGTTTTCATGTAGGCAGCTCTGGTGAAAAAGAAAAAAAAAAGAAGATTGTAATATTGAATAATATCTCAAGCTGAAAAAAGATAGTGGGATCCATTTTCTTTTATTGACAATGGTACATAAATTAGTTATTTCAAATAGGGTAGAATAAATAATAACAATATTAAATGCTAAATCAGAGCTACCTTGTGGGAGAAACTGTGATACTTAAATTAGAATTATGGCTCTATATTTACTAGCAGTATACCTTTGAATGAGTAACTTACACTATCTAAGTCTTTCAGTTTTTAATTCTATAAATATGGGAAAAATTATTGTGGATATTAGATATCATACATATACAGTATCTAGAATAATATCTAACTCATAGTAGATGCTCAGTAAACGATGTATTTTATGAGAAAAATGAAAAGACAGAGTATTCCATAAAAATCTTTGCTGGGGTTATAGCAACAACTCAGTCTCTTCTTTCAAGTAGCTTATAGTTCATTAAGTGTAGGTAGGTATGAAAATAAAAATAAAATACATGAAACTGTGAAACTGGAATGGTGAATTTTACCTGATGATTTAGGGGAAAAGAAAGTTTTCATCTAAATGATAATGCTTGTGAGAATGATACAATGGACTTTGGGGACTCGGGGGAAAGGCTGGGAGGGGGTGAGGGATGAAAGGCTACGCAGTGGGTACAGTGTATGCTGCTCGGGTGATGAATGCACCAAAATCTCAGAAGTCACTGCTAAAGAACTTATTTATGTAACCAAACACCACTTGTTCCCCAAAAACCTATTGAAATAAAAATAATTAAAAAATAAAAATCCTTGAAGGCAGGAACATGTAAAAAATGGTAATGCTTAAACTGAGTGTTGAAAGATAAGATGCTTATTAAATATACTCTAGAGACAGGAAGGAGAGGATGAGATGGTGGAAATCCAGGTAGAAGGAGCAGGTACTATCCGAAACTATACATAGTTTAAAATTGCTGCATCAAGGATATGAAAGGGTGGCTTGGTGAAAGGTAAGAATGACAAGTTAGGCAGGGGCCAAATCACGTAGAGTCCTACATTTTAGTATGAACTTCATCCTGTGGGCACAAGAAAGTCATTGGAGGACTTCAACTGCAGAAGTGCCATGACTATATTTTATTGGAAAAAAATATTATGCTAGTTGCAGTATGAAATATATATTAAAGAGGGACAAGAATAAAGGCTGGGACACTAGTCAGAAGTCTAATGTAGCTGTCCAGCTGAGCTGTAATGACTGCCTAAACTAACCTTTTAGAGTGTAATGTGTAAGAGAAGAAGCAGATTGTAGCATTTGCAGATTTTATTCATCGTTTGAAGTATAGTACTGAAGGAAATATGGTACTAAAGATAGTAAAGGAAAGGAGGACTTTAAGATAACTTTTTAAGATCCCTGTCATTAAATAAGAGAAATGAGAGTTTCAAGAGAAGAATAAGAAACAGTTTCATCAAATGTTAAGAAGGTGCCAAGTAGAAGGTGAACTGAAAAAAAATTAGTTATGATTTGTAACTACGTTACACACACACATACCTACACATATATGTTATATATGGGTAAAGGTCTAGAAGAATTAGTGGCAATTATAATAGCTGTGGGAAATAAAAGTATGAAAAAATCTTACTTCCTACAGTTCTACTGAATTCCGGTTATTAGTTTAAAAACAGGCACAACAGAAATTGTTTAAAAAGAGAAAATAAATTTTTATTTTTATTTTTTGCTTTTGTGTGTTTTAAGCACTGGAATTATGAGTGGTTGATTATCTCATGGTGAAACTAGTGTGGTCCAAATTTGGGTCAATTTAAACCCCAAATTGTCTTAAACATATATAAATTTACATGTTGCATTCTTATTGCATGTCATTTTGTCAGAGATTTTATAAGAAGGTCATACTGAAGTTTAAATTTTAGTTTGAACTTACATAATGAGAATTAAAAATAGGATAACTAAACCATTGAGGAATAAAGGATATTTATGTTTACAATTTTATATTAATACAATAAAATTACACGTTTAATGCAAAGGATGGAAGGGTATTGGGGATATTTGCCCAAGATGTTTCTGTGCCGTGGTGTACCATGGGGGCCCATGACGGTGAATAGGAGGTGGAGATGTGGGGAATAAGAATGTCGATGTTTGAGGTACTTGATGTGAAGGCTGAGAGAGAAGGTGGCAGGTAGCTGGAGGATGACACCAGGTTAGAGGGGATTGGAGATTGTGTATTTGTTTTTAACCCAGGATAGAGCTGAGTGTATTCACAGGCTGTGGAGAAGGAGCAGGGAAAAAGAGATTTGAAAATCCAGAAGAGAGAGGATAATAATAGATGAACAAAGTTCTTACTCCCTTTGAAGCAGGAGAGGGTAGTTGGAAAAAAGGTCACAGGAAGAGAGACTGGCTTGAAATGAGACAAAGGGCTATTTCATCTTCTGAGACTTGAGAGAAGGAGGTAAACAAGATCCTGATGTTTGTCACTCAGAGGGCAGGAAGTTGAAGACTATTCTTCCTGACAGCTTCAATTTCTCTGTGAAACAGAAACAAGGTCATTGGCAGAAAGGAAAGCTGGAGAGAGGGAGGGGGATGGAGTAGCCCTTGAGAAGGGTGAAGAACTCTGTGTGGCTTTTGAGGACACGGAGAAGGCTCTAGCCATCAAAGGATAAAAGGTTTTACGTCAGTCCCACCTGCACAATTGTGTGTTTTTTTCTGGCAAAAGTCAGCAGTCTGGGTGGAGAAATTCTTTTGAAAGGAAAAAAAAATCTGGTTTGCTAGAAATGGAGGCTCCTTCAGTCTTCTGCTGTAAATGGAAAAATAGAACATCCAAATCTGTATTCTCTCTTATGCACGTTTTAACTGTTTTAGGTACATTTTAACTATTGGGCATGAAGCATTTGAATCAGCTCATTTAAAAAGAATCATTTAATTGCGATGGTTGCTGAAGGAGATGTAATTAGGCCTTAGGTGACTGATGCTATCTTTCCGACCTGTTTCTGAACATGTCTGGTGCTTAAAATAAGTGTCCCCTGTCTCCGTCATTATCTTATAAATGACATAATTCTTGCTGGTTAACTGGAGAGCAATTCTTCCTCCCATTTTCACTACTTCACTGATCTTTGCCTTGTTCATCTGTCACAACTCTGATCTTTAAATGGCTCTACTTCCTACATGTGATTTCACAAAAACATCAACCACAACGACAGGAACAAAACACAGCACATTTGAGTGAATCTCCTTCAGTTTGGAATCACATCTCCTTTCTCTTTCAAAATCTCACTATGTGTAAGGAGACTGCAAGAGTAGTTTAGCATAGGAGGCAACAAACCACTGCCTTTGTGCCAGCTCTAGACTGCTGTCTGCCTGGTCTCAGTGTATCCAGCCCACAAGCTAAGAATGAGTGTTACATTCCTAAATGCTCGAAAAAAATCAGAAGTGAAACAACAATATTTCACGACCAGTGAAAATTATAGGGAATTATAATTTTAGAGTCCACAATTAAAGTTTTTTTGTGACACACCACACTCACTTATGTATTGTCTGAGCGGTTTCTCCTTACAGTGTCAGAATTGAGTGGTTGTAACAGACACCTGCATGGCCTGCAAAGCCTAAAATATTTACTATCTGGTCCTTTATGGAAAAACATTGCTGATGCCTGGTTTAGAGGTAGTCCTTGGATATATTATGTTACCATATGTTTAGTTTCATTCTCATTGCTCTTCAGTGGACTTAAATTATTTAAAGCAGCAAAGTTTTGACTTTGACACTTTACATTTAAGTTTTTTTGATAGACAAACACGTCTGATAAATAATTTTGTGGTCTAGATACTATCTCTATCATTAATGTATTCAGTTGGTCTTTATTGAATTCCTACTAGGCTCTTTGCCAGATACTATGACTATAATATTGAGTCAGAGAAATGAATATACTATACTATAGTATATTGTACTATATAGTATACTATACAATAGTACATACAATATACTATAGTATACTGTAGTACTATATACTATACTATACTATACTATACAGTATAATATATAATATAGCATATTGCTTGACCCTGGAGTCAGATAGCCACAGTTTAAATTCTGGCTCTAATACTTTCTTGCTATGTAAATTGAGACAAGCTCCTTTGGTATCCTTATCTGTAAAATATGATACTATCCATATTTATCTCAGACCTCTCTTGTGACCCTCTAATGAGATAATCCATGTAGTGAAGTATCTGGCACATAGTAAATACTCAGTGTTATTATTATTATTATTATTAGACTATGATAATTTCTATAATGGGAGGGGGACCTGATTCAATGGAAACCATGAGGGAAGGCCAGCTAAAACTTCCTGGAGCAGTTCAACTTGTACTCATAAATCTGGTAGGAGATATAGAAAATATTATGTTTTTTGGACACTATCAGAACACTGCATTCCTGGCCAGTGTAAGGCAGGCTCACCCATTGACTGGCTCAGTTCTTTCTGCTTTGAGCTTGGCTTCCTCTTATGAGGCCTCAGCATTCTTTGTGATAAAGCCTCCTAGAGCTCAATGACCATCATATGCTAGCCTCTATGGCTGGTAGAAATCCATTAGAAGGAGCACTTCTTTGCAGGTGTAAATTCTTGCTGTTGGTGAGAGCTATGGAGTGCCAAACAAAATGCCTATCTGCCTTATTCTATTTCTCTTAATTGATAAAATACATGATGGGAAGCAATTAGTCCCACTGTATTAGTTTGTTTTCATGCTGCTGATAAAGACATAGCAAAGACTGGGAAGAAAAAAGTTTTAATAGGACTTACAGTTCCACATGGCTGGGGAGGCCACAGAATAATGGTGAGAGGTGAATGACATTTCTTACATGGCAGCAGCAAGAGAAAAATGAGGAAGAAGCAAAAGCAGAAATCCCCAATAAACCCATCAGATCTTATGAGACATATTCACTATCAAAAGAATAGCATGGGAAAGACCGGCCCCCGTGATTCAATTACCTGTTCCTGGGTCACTCCCACAATGCATGGTAATTCTGCGAGATACAGTTCAAGTTGAGATTTGGGTGGGGACACAGTCAAACCATATCATTCTGCCCCTGGCTCCTCCAAATCTCATGTCCTCACATTTCAAAACCAATTATGCCTTCACAACAGCCCCCAAAGTCTTATTTCAGTATTAACTGAAAAGTCCACAATCTAAAGTCTCATCTGAGACGAGGCAAGTTCCTTCTACCTATGAACCTGTAAAATCAAAAGCAAGCTAGTTACTTCTTAGATACAATGTGGGTACAGGTATTGGGAAAATACAGCCATTCCAAATGGGAGAAATTGGCCAAAAAAAAAAAAAAAAAGGTTACAGGGCCCATGCAAGTCCCAAGTCCCATGGGGCAGTCAAATTTTAAAGCTCCAAAATGATCTCCTTTGACTCCAGGTCTCACATCCAGGTCACACTGATGCAATAGGTGGGTTCCCATGGTCTTGGGCAGCTCTACCCCTGTGGCTTTGTAGGGCACGGCCTCCCTCCTGGCTGCTTTCACAGGCTGGTGTTGAGGTCTGGCTTTTCCAGGCACACGGTGCAAGCTGCCAGTGGATCTACCATTCTGAGGTCTGGAGGATGGTGGTCCTCTTCTCACAGCTCCACTAGGCAGTGCCCCAGTAGGGTCTCTGTGGTGGGGCTTCGACCCCACATTTCCCTTCTGCACTGCCTTAACAGAGGTTCTCCATGAGGGCCCTGCCCCTGCAGCAAACTTTTGTCTAGGAATCCAGGCATATCCATACATCTTCGGAAATCTAGGCAGAGGTTCCCAAACCTCAATTCTTGACTTCTGTGTACCTGCAGGCCGAACATGGCGTGGAAGCTACCTAGGCTTGGGATTTCCATCCTCCGAAGCCATAGCCCGAGCTGTTTGTTGGCCCTTTTCAGCCATGTCTGGAGTAGCTGAGACATAGGGCACCAAGTCCCTGGGCTGCACACAGCACAGGCCCACAAAATCACTTTTTCCTCCTGGGCCTCTGGGTCTGTGATGGGAGGGGCTTCTGTGAAGGTCTCTGATATGGCCTGGAGACATTTTCCCCATGGTCTTGGGATTTAACATTAGGCTCGTTGCTACTTATGTAAATTTCTGCTGCCAGCTTGAATTTCTCCTCAAAAATGGGTTTTTCTTTTCTACTGTATCATCAAGCTGAAAATTTTCTGAACTTTTATGCTGTCTCCCTTTTAAAATGGAATGCTTTTAACAGCACCCAAGGCAACTTTTGAATGCTTTGCTGCCTAGAAATTTCTTCCGCCAGATACTCTAAATCATCTCTCTCAAGTTCAAAGTTTCACAGATCTCTAGGGCAGGGGCAAAATGCTCCCAGTCTCTTTGTTAAAACATAACAAGAGCCACCTTTGCTCCAGTTCCCAATAAGTTCCTTATTTCCATCTGAGATCACCTCAGCCTGGACCTTATTGCTCGTATCACTATCAGCATTTTTGTCAAAGCCATTCAACAAGTCTCTGGGAGGTTCCAAACTTTCCCACATTTTTCTGTCTTCTTCTGAGCCCTCCAAACTGTTCCAACCTCTGCCTGTTACCCATTTCCAAAGTCGCTTCCACATTTTCAGGTGTCTTTTCAACAATGCCCCACTCTACTGGTGCCAATTTACTGTAATAGCTCATTTTCATGCTGCTAATAAAGACATACCTGAGACTGGGAAGAAAAAGAGGTTTAATTGGACTTACAGTTCCATATGGCTGGGAAGGCCTCAGAATCATGGCATGAGGCAAAAGACACTTTTTACATGGTGGTGGCAAGAGAAAAATGAGGAAGCAGCAAAAGTAGAAATACCTGATAAACCATCGGCTCTCATGATAGTTATTCACTAGCACAAGAATAACACAGGAAAGACCAGCCCCCATGATTCAATTACCTCCCCTTGGGTCCCTCCCACAACACGTGAAAATTCTGGGAGATACAATTCAAGTTGAGATTTGGGTGGGGAAACAACAAAACCGTATGACCCACTTCAAATGCACTTTGCAAAGTCTAATTCTTTGATGCTACTCCAACTATCTCTGGCTTCGTAAGTGTTACAATTGGACAGAAATAGGAGAGGAAAGTACAAAGAGAGATCTACTAGGAAGTAGAATCAGAAGGGAATCTTGATAGAATTCTGTCTGTGAAAAAATCATACCCAATGTCTGAAAGTGTCATGGTGAGGACACTATTATTACAAACGAAGAGCCTCTGCCTTTTGCAAAATATCAAAGTAGCTGATTTGAATGCTGCCCAAGTCCAGGGCTGATTTTGGTTGGATCATGGCAGCCTCAATTTCACAGAGACCCCTGAAAATATTTTAATTATGGGGTAACTTTTTGATCCAAATATTTTTAATAACATCACAGTCATACAGTTTACTTTGAGTAAGTGAAGTCTGTTCTTAGCTGCTTTTGAATTGTTTGTTGTATTTTGACAATGAAATCAACATAATGAAGTACCTAAGGGCAATTATTTTTTAAAAGAAAACAAGTTGGAATTTTGGTATCCTGTCAGCTGTGTGTTCTTGGCAAGCCTCATCCCTTTTGTGATTATAATGTGGGACAATTAGACCCATCTCAAAGAATATTGTGTGGGGTATATGAGTAAACATATGTGACAGTCCTGGCTTATTAAACACTAAACTGTAGCCATTATCATATTAGAAATGATTGCTCTTTGTCTCAGGCTTAAGGCAAAGATACAAGAATTCTGTCAATTTGCTTTATTTAGAATCACTTATCTTGGAATAACCTTCTCTAACCTATCAATGTAAACCACAACTTGATTGTTTAATTATGTGTTAAAATAGATTTTTAGTAACAACTTTCTAAAACAAAATTTTCTTTTAGAAAAAAAGAAGTCCGTATTAAACATTAACATACGGAAAAAGAAATTTCACTTAAATGAACCAGAAACACCTTTTTTTGGTGCTTAGATGAGAACTTGGTAGAAATTTAAGTAGTTAATTTGTGAACATTAGAACCTAAAAAAGTAAAGTGCATATTTAGGAGATGGCTTGGTTACTTGGAGTGCCACCACATCAGGTTGAAAAATGATGTTACTGACAAATAAAAAAAACGCAATAGTAATTAGTAACAAAGTGTATGGATGTTATTTTTCTTTACTGTACCAAAACATGTATTTTATGGGACAGGAATGGGAAGCTAGCCATAACCAAACATTTATACAGATTTATTTTAATGTTTGACTCCATGGGTGATTCTAGCAATGCAATCTGTGACAGATGAATTTAGTACATCCATGAGAATTAGATCCACAGCATCTAAGGCCACACATTCTCTAAGTTTCTTTGATAGAAAGCAACAGAAAACAACCCTTAGTTGATGAATGTCAAGTTGGCAGGTGTGGCTGGAGAGTATAATAGAAAATGAAGTTAGGGAGATTATAGCTGGGAAAAGTAGATATTGTAGAGCCTCACAGGTCACCATAATGACTTTTTGACTTTTTAAGCATGAGTGAAAACCATTGCTGTCATAAGTGAAATAGCCTAAAATATTTTGAAAGGATTGCCCTGGACACTGTGTGGGTTATATACAGTAAGGGGCAAAAAAGAAAGCAGGTTGAGGATAGTGGTTGGAGATTGAGGAGGCTTTGCTATATTTCAGGTGAGTTGTGATAGTGGCGTGGACACAGGTGGTAGTAGTGGAGGTGACAGGAAGAGGTGGAATTCTGGATATATTTTAAAAACAGAATCAACATGATTTTCTGATACATTACATGTGAGATATACTTTTTATATTCTGAGTTTTTGAAGAGTGGAGTTGCCAATTACTGTCAGGGGACAGAATGGAGGAGCAAGTTTGGGATAAGGTCAATAGTTCAGTTTTATAACACTGAATTTGAGGTAGTATCTGATTGAGTTTTTAGTTGGGTATAAGAATCTAGATTTCAGGGGAGAAATCTAGGCTGGAGATGTAAATTAGTAGTCTTGGGAACATAGGAAATATTTAAAGCAGTAAAACTTTGAGATCACTAAAGGCATCATCATTGATAAAGAGAAGCCCTAAGTGTGCCCTGGTGCACTACAAAATTTCAGGTAGCATTTCTCAACTTAAAATACACATCAGAATTTTCTGAAGACTCTTAAAAAATATTGATGCTGGCATCCCACTCATCGGATTTAATTGTGCAGTTCGGGGTACAGACTGAGTATTGGGATTTTTTTTTTTTTGAGACAAAGTCTCAGTCTATTGCCCAGGCTAGAGTGCAGTGGTGGGTTCTCTGCTCACTGCAACCTCTGCCTCCTGGGTTCAAGCAATTCTCCTGCCTCAGCCTCCCAAGTAGCTGGGACTACAGGCGCCCACCACCACACCCAGCTAATTTTTTGTATTATTAGTAGAGATGGGGTTTCACTGTGTTAGCCAGGGTGGTTTCAATCTCCTGACCTCAAGATCTGCCTGCCTCGGCCTCCCAAAGTGCTCGGCCGAGCACAGTGGCTCACACGTGTAATCCCAGCACTTTGGGATGCCAAGGTGGGCAGATCACCTGAGGTCAGGAGTTTGAAACCAGCCTAGCCAACATGGTGAAACCCCGTCTCTACTAAAAATACAAAAAATTAGCCAGGCGTGGTGGTGGGTGCCTGTAATCCCAGCTACTAGGGAGGCTGAGGCAGAAGAGTTGCTTGAACACAGGAGGCAGAGGTTGCGGTGAGCCAAGATTGCACCACTGCACTCCAGCCAGGGTGACAGAGCTAGAATCCATCTCAAAAAAAAAAAGCCCCCTGTGTAGTTCTAAGTTATAGGCAAGATGAAGAAACACTAGGGTTGCACAGATGACAGAAAATTGGCAAAAGAAGACTGGGAAAAAGCAGCCATTGAAGTGGAAGGAAAACCAGGAGAATGGAATGTCCTGGAAGCCAAGTGAAGGAAGCCTTCAGGGAGCCAATTGTGTCAAATACAGCTTAGGGACCAACTAGAAAACTAGAAAGAAGACTGACACTTGACCATTGGATTTAGAAACATAGAAATTATTGTTGACCTTAATGAAATAAATTTTGGTGGAGAATAGAGGTAAAAGTCAAGTGGTTTTACATCAAGAGAGAAAAGGAGACCATGAATCACAGAGAGTGGGTATAGGTAAGTCTTTTAGGGTTTTGCTATAAAGGGGAACAGGGTAAAGGGGTGGTAAATAGAGGAAGGAATAGGGTCAAGAGAGTTTTTAAGAAGGAATAAATAATGACATGTTTGTATACTGATGAGGTTGTTTCAATAGAAAGAAAAATTATTGATGTGGAAGAGGGAAGATTCTGATGAACCAACTTTTGTGAGTGAGTGTGATCAGATGAGACACAGTGCTTAAATGGAGGGATTGGGCTTAGATAAAACTGTTGATTCAGAGTAATAGGAAAAAAGGCAGAGAATAAAGGTACAGAATATTGTGTGGTATAGAATATTGTGTATAGAATAAAGGCACAGAATTTAATAGCCAAGCTTCTGAAAGCTATCTTCTGATTGCTTTTATTTTCTTAGAAAAGTAAACAGCAAGGAATCAGATTAGAGCGAGGGTAGGGGAAGAGTTATTGAACTTTTGAGAAAAAAATAAAAGGTTTGAAATATTTGTGTAGAAGAGTAGAAGAATGAGTGGATTAGGTAGAGGTGATCAGATTCTTGGAGCACAGAGGACCCAATTGCTCTTAAGTTACTCTTAATAGTTTTGCGTGGTGATATGGTTTGGCTCTGTGTTCCCACCCAAATCTCATCTTGTAGCTCCCATAATTCTCACCTGCTGTGGGAGGAACCCAGTGGGAGATGATTGAATCATGGGGGCGGGTCTTTCCTCTGCTGGTCTCGTGATAGTGAATGGGTCTCATGAGATCTGATGGTTTTTAAAACGGGAGTTTCTCCACACAAGTTCTCTCTCTTTGCCTGGTGCCATCCACATAAGATGTGACTTGGTCCTCCTTGCCTTCAGTCATGATTGTGAGACCTCCCCAGCCATGTGGAACTGTAAGTCCAATAAACCTCTTTCTTTCATAAATTGCCCAGTCTCAGGTATGTCTTTATCAGCAGCATGAAAATGGACTAGTACACATGGCTGTATGGTTTTATTTTCTAGCTACATACAGTGCTATAGAAGCAGAGAGAATGTAAATGGAAAGTTGGGTTTAACCAAGTGGGGAGCTATTCAGGTAAGTGTGAAGAAGAGAGATGGAGCAATTAAGTTCTGAGTGCTACAGGGAAATTATTATAATGAGAGATAATGAGATTTAAATTTGGCAAGGAAGGATGTGAGAAGACAAAAGAGTATATATCAATGAAATGGTGGTAGGATCAATGTATTGTAGAGTCTCAAGGTGTTGAAGAATTATTAGAGTTGGAGTAAGGAAGAGGTCACCCAGAAAGCTAGGGGGCAGTTGGAAAGAGAAAGGATTGAGATTAAGATTAGGAGGCTTACATTGTTGTGAACGTGTAAAAAAAAAATAACAACAGCCCCCACAAAATAATGGAAGACAGATTTATTGGAGGAGTGGAAGTTAAAAAAAATGAAAGGCTGGGATATTAGAAGAAAACGCTTCATGAATTCTGAAGTTACCAGTCATTATGACATGAGTAGTATTGGATGAAGTGACAGGGGGCCACAAGCTAAATTATTCAAAAAATGAGGGCATATGCTCCCAGGAGTTCTGGAGAAGATTGTAGCAAAATGGGATGGTAGTAGGTAGAGTCTAATGACAAATTCAAACAGAAGATAAGAATGTTCTTAAAGCAGAAATAAGGCACAGAAAGGATAGACACTCCTCTTCAAGGCCCATGAGTAGAATAGAAAACCTGGGCAAGAAAAGCAGCATTGTCAGGTAGAAGAGCAAGAGGTAAAGGGAATGTTCAGAAAAGAGTTTGAGGATAGAGAGGACTTTCCGTTCCCACATCCATATGCATCATTGGAAACTTTCCTATCCTTTCTGTCCTGTGTGGGATGTCTAGCTCTTCCTTTCTTCAGATGCTTGCCTGAACATCATTTCCTAGTACCTTCAGGGACTCATGTTTCAGTCAAACTGAGTCCTAAATTAGAACACTTGATATTTTTATATTCTTGACTCTGAGCTTGGAGGCATTTATTCCTTCTGTACACAAAGTCAGTGGGAATAGGTTGCTCTAAGAGATACAGGAGAAAATTCTTTTTGCATCGTTAATTATAGAAAATATTACTTACCTCACTAGGGTTACTGGGATTAAATGAGACTCTTAATTTATTTCTGGAGGAAAGACCAGGTAAGTTCTATCACCATGTCGATTTTACTCCTGCTGTTTCTCCTGTGACTATGACAAAGTAGACATTCAATAAATATAGGTACAAATAAATGAATGTACAAAGAATGCAATAAATGCACACATACATGCATATATTAATACCTAAATGCAAAAAAGCCTTACTATTATTCTTACTGGAGAGAACAGCAGTAGCAGCCGCATTCAACACTATCAATTATGCCTTCCTTCTGAAACACACTCTTCCTTCGGTGTCTGGGACATCCCATGACTTGGATTATCCATCTTCTCCTCTCCTACTTTGCCAGTTATTCCTCCTCTACTTAGCAATTATAGGTTGGAGAAACTCAGGCTCCATCCTGGGCCTTCTTCTCTTTTCACTGTATACTTTTTCCTAGCTGATTTTGTTCTCTTGTATAGTTAAAATTAAATAAGTGCTATGACTCAAATTACAGCTCTTCTAGGAACTTCTTTTCTGAGCATAGACCTATATTTAAGACTCTAACTTTTATCTCCACCCAGATTTCTTATAAATCCTTCAAATTTACAACTTTTGTAACTTATTCCTCATTTCTACTTTCCTGTATTAAGTAATCTACTAACAGAAATGGGGGCCATTCGTAATACCTCCATTTCCCCTCACTCATCCCCCCATATTTAATCAATTTTATCTCCTAGGTATCCATTGAATGGGATCTGTCTAATTCTCTGGGAAAAAAAGTCTCTTGACCATTTGCCTCTTATTGACCCAACCGCTTTCCTGTCTATTCTCAATGTTACAGCACAGTCATCTTTGTAAAATCCAAATCTGATAATATCAGTTCCTTGCTGATACCTTTTCCTGATGCTATTGAGAAAAACTCTTAAATCCTTGACCTGCCTGCAAGACCTTGCATGCTCTGGTTCTTACTGTCTTCATAGGCACCTGTCATTCCATTTTTTTTTTCTTCTCAGTGACCTAGGCTCACTGGCCCTATTGGCATGCCTTTGAGCCTGAGGTTACCCTTTCTCTTGAGGGCCTGCACCCCACATACATGCTCTTTCCTCTACTCAGATATTTTTCTATCCATACTTTGTCAATTTTCATAGCTGAGCTCAAAATTCATTAATCATCCTCTCCTACCCAATGCTAAGTCATGTGATTTTATTATTTGGTTTCATAGCACCCTGCTATGGACTGCATTCTGTATCCCCAAAATTCATATGCCAGAGCTCTAACTCCCAATATGACTGGTTATAGAGAGGGATTTTAGTAGGCAGTTAAAACTAAATGAGGTCATAAGGGTAAGGTTCTAATGGGATAGGCTTAGTGACCTTATAGGAAGAGGAAGCAAGATCAATCTTCTTCTCTCTCTGTCATATGAGGATACACCAAGAAGGTGGCCATCTACCAGCCAGGAAGAGATCCCTCACCAGAGTCCTGCCATGCTGGGGCACCCTGACCTTAGGCTTCCAGCCTCCATAATGGTGAGTAAATAAATTTCTGTCGTTTAAGCCACCTGTCGATGATACGTTTTTTTTTTTTTTTTTTTTTTTTTTGAGACAGAGTCTCACTCTGTCACCAGGCTGGAGTGCAGTGGCGTGATCTCGGCTCACTGCAACCTCTGCCTCGTGGGTTCAAGTGATTCTCCTGCCTCAGCCTCCCAAGTAGCTGGGACCACAGGCACATGTCACCACGCCCAGCTAATTTTTGTATTTTTTAGTAGAGACAGGGTTTCACCATGTTGGCCAGGATGGTCTCGATCTCTTTACCTCATGATCTGCCCGCCTCAGCCTCCCAAAGTGCTGGGATTACAGGCGTGAGCCACCGTGCCTGGCCGATACTTTGTTATGGAAGCCCAAGCTGAATAATAGACACCTTGTAATTATTCTTCATGCCACTTAATACCATTTTATATGACTAATTGTTTGATATATGCCTCCTTCATTAGTATGCACACTCTCAAAGGGAAGAAAACCTGTTTATCTTGTTATGCTCTGTATTGCTAATGTCTAGCAAGGTGCCTTTTATATTAGTGGCACAAATTAAATATTTGTTGAATTAGTGAATTTATTCGTAAAAATCACATTTGTACACAGATTGCACACTACTATATAGAAATATTTTATTAAAAGTGGCACTAGGTAATTCACTACTTTATGACAAATAACAGCAGAAGGAAGTGAGAATTAGGATTTGAGTTCATTCCTAACTCTCCCTTTCTTCAAACCTTTGACTTAGGCTGTTTCATTTACTTTGTAAAAACACACATGGTGTTAGGCAACATTGTAAAAGTGCAGAATACCTGATTATGATCAGTCAACATATAAGGGTGTATCACACATTTGTATGGTGTAGATTGAGACATTAGATATTAACCCAGTAGAACAAATGGTAAGAAATGTTCTTAGACTATTAATTCATAACATTTTTTAATTAAGAATCCAGCAAACCAATATTTCTTTCACCCACATCTCAATCCACATTTGCAATACTGTTTTTGTGTGAGAGGGAATATTATAGATTTTCTCTGGTAGATTCAAGTGGGACAGTGGATGACCTCTGCCGTGAAATAGTGTTTAATTCTGTTTTATGTGTTATATTTAACTTTGTTATACACATGAATGAATGTTTATTATATTCAAAGTAGTACTGATAAAGTAATTGTTTTCATGACTATACTAGTATTAGGCATGTGAACAGTCATCAAAATTGTTATGGTAAGCAGCTCTAAGATGGCTTCCAATAATTCCTGCCTCCTGGTATTCATGCCCTTGTGTAAAACCCTACCTTTGGGTGAAAGTTGGACCTAGTAACTTATTTCTAACAAATAGAATCAGAAATATATTATCTTCACAAAAACTCCCTAAAATAGACATTATTTCTCATCCTACTCAAATATGAGCAAAATTCACCAAAAATGTCACTGTGAGATTTGGTTATGGGCCAACACTGACATAAACTCATCTCTTTTGCTCTCTTACTCTCTCTGGTAGAAGCCAGTTACCATGTTGTGAGCTGGCTTATGGAGAGGCCTGTGTGTCAAGAAACTGAGAAAGGCCTCAGAAACTGAGGCCTGTGTGTCAAGAAACTGAGAAAGTGAGGAAAGGAGGCCTTTATTCCTACAATTCATGAGGAACTGAATCTTGCCAGAAACCAAAAAAATTGATCTTGGAAGTAGATCCTCCCCATTTGAGCTTTCAGATGAGATTGCATCTCTGGGTAACATTTTCATTGCAGCTTGTGAGAGAACTCAAAGTGGAGGCATTCAGCTGAGCTCTGCCCAAGTTTCTGACCCATAGAACCTCTGAAATAGTGAATAATTGTTGTTTGACCCCACTAAGTTTTGGGGTAGTTTGTTATGCAACAATAGATAAATAATATATTTGTTATGACTAATCATAACAGTTGATATTAACCTAGTAATTCATAGTTCAGGAAACACACTTAGCCAATATTAAGTTGATAAATGTTCTGAATGCCATTTTTAATGCCAGAAACTAAGAACCCATAGGTGGACCAAAAAAAATTATCTCTCTCCATGGAGTTTACATAGAATGGCTTCATAGAATGATTTAGGGGGTATTTCCTCTTTCTCTATCTTGTGGAATAATGTCAATAGGATTGGTACCAATTCTTCTTTGAATGTCTGATAGAATTCAGCTGCAAATCTGTCTGGTCCTGGACTTGTTTTTTGTTGGCAATTTTAAAAATCACCCTTTCAGTCTCACTGCTTGTTATTGGTATGTTCAGAGATTCCATATTTTCCTGGTTTAATTTAGGAGGGTTGTATATTTCCAGGAATTTATCCATCTCCTCTAGGTTTTCTAGGTTATGCATATCAAGGTGTTCATAGTAGCCTTGATTGATCTTATGTATTTCTATGGTATGAGTTATAATATCTCTTGTTTTGTTTCTAATGGAGCTTACTTGGATCTTCCCTCTTCTTTTCTTGGTTAATCTCACTAATGGTCTATAAATTTTATTTATCTTTTCAAAGAACCAGCTTTTTGTTTCATTTATCTTTTGTATTTTTTTGTTTCAATTTCATTTAGTTCTGCTATGATCTTCATTATTTATTTTTTTCTGCTGGGTTTGAGTTTGGATTGTTGTTTCTCTGGTTTCATGAGGCATGACCTTAGATTGTCTATTTGTGTTCTTTCAGACTTTTTGATGTAGGCATTTAACACTAGGAACTTTCCTCTTAGTACTACTACTTTTGCTGTATCCCAGAGGTTTTGATAGGTTGTGACACTATTATTCAGTTCAAAGAATTTTTTTATTTCCATCTTGATTTCATTGTTGACCCAATGATGTTTCAGAAGCAGGTTATTTTATTTCTATGTATTTGCATGGTTTTGAGAGTTGCTTTTGGAGTTGATTTCCAATTTTATTCCTCTGTGATCAGAGAGAGTACTTGATATAATTTGATTTTCTTAAATTTACTGAGACTTGATTGGGGCCTATTATACGGTCTATCTTGGAGAATATTCCATGTGCTGATGAATAGAATGTATATTCTGTAGTTGTTGGGTAGAATGTTCTGTAAGTATTTGTTAAATCCATTTGTTGTAGCATATAGTTTAAGTCCATTGTTTCTTTGTTGACTTTCTGTCTTGATGACTGGTCTAGTGCTGTCAGTGGAGTATTAAAGTCCATCACTATTATTATGTTGCTGCGGCTCTCATTTCTTAGATCTAGTAGTGATTGTGTTATAAATTTGGGAGCCTCAGTGTTAGCTGCATATATATTTAGAATTATGATATTTTCCTGTTGGACTAGTTCTTTTAACATTATATAATATTCCTTGTTGCTCTACATCTTTTTAAACAGCTGTTGCTTTAAAGTTTGATTTTCTCTGATATGAGAATAACTACTGCTGATCACTTTTGGTGTCCATTTGCATGGAATATCTTTTTCTAACTCTTTACCTTAAGTTTATGTGAGTCCTTAGGTGTTACGTGAGTATCCCAAAGACAGCAGAAATTTGGTGAGTTTTTATCCATTCTGCAATCCTGTATCCTTCAAGTGGAGCATTTAGGCCATTTACATTCAATGTTAGTATTGATATGTCAAGTACTATTCTATTCATTGTGCTATTTGTTGCCTGAATACCTTGTTTTGTTTTGTTTTTTGGTTATTGTTGTTGTTGTTATTGTTATATAGATCCTGTGAGTTTTATGCTTTAAGGAGGTTCTATTTTGGTGTATTTCATGGATGTGTTTAAAGATTTAGAGCTGCTTTTAACAGTTCTTGTAATGCTGGCTTGGTAGTGGCAAATTCTCTCAGCATTTCTTTGTCTGGAAAAGACTGTATCTTTCCTTTATTTGTGAAGCTTAGTTTTGCTGGATACATAATTCTTGGCTGATCATTGTTTTGTTTAAGGAGGCTAAAAATAGGACCCCAATCCCTTCTAGCTTGTAGGGTTTCTGCTGAGAAATTTACTGTTACTCAGATAGGTTTTCCTTTATAGGTTACCTGATGTTTTTGCCTCACAGCTCTTAAGATTATTTTCTTTGTCTTGACTTTAGATAACTTGATGATTATGTGCCTAGTCAATTATGTTTTTGTGACAGATTTCACAGGTGTTCTTTAAGCTTCTAGTATTTAGCTGTCTAGATCTCCAGTAAGGCCAGGGAAGTTTTCCTTGATTATTCCCTCAAATATATCTTCCAAACTTTGAGATTTATCTTCTTTCTCAGGAACACCAATTATTCTTAGGTTTGGGTGCTTACCATAGTCCCAGACTTCTTTGAGGCTTTCTTCATTTTTAAAAATTCTTTTTTCCATCTTTGATAGATTGGGTTAATTTGAAAGCCTTGTCTTCGAGTTCTGAGGTTCTTTCTTCTGCTTGTTCAATTCTGTTGCTGAGATTTTCCAGTGCATTTTGTACTTCTGTAAGTGTATTCTTGATTTCCAGAAGTTGTGTTTTTTTTAATTTATGCTATCTATTTCACTGAAGAATTTTTCTTTCATACCTGTATCATGTTTTTGACTTCTTTAAGTTCGACTTCACCTTTCTCTGGTACCTCCTTGATAGCTTATTAATCAACCTCCTAAATTGTTTTGGCAATTCAGAGCTATCTTCTTGGTTTGGATCCATTGCTAGTTAGCTGGTATGATCTTTTGGGGGTGTTAAACAACCTTGTTTTGTCATAGTACTAGAACTGTTGGTCTAGTTCCTTCTCATTTGGGTAGACTATGTCAGAGGGAAGATCTGGGATTCAAAGACTGCTATTCAGATTCTTTTGTCCCACAGGGTGCTCCTTTGATGTGGTGTTCTCCCCTTCCTCTAGGAATGGGGCTTTCTGAGAGCTGAACTGTAGTAATTGTTTTTGCTCTTCTTGGTCTAGCTACCCAGTGAAGCTACCAGGCTCTGGGCTAGTACTTGAGGGTGTCTGCAAGGAGTCCCATGATGTGATCCATCTTCAGGTCTTGCAGCCATGGATACCAGCACCTGCTCTGGTGGAAGTAGCGTGAGAGTGAGGTGGACTCTATGAGGGTACTTGTTTGTGTTTTCGTTAAGTGTGCCGGTTTTCCATTAGCTGGCCTACAGCCAGGAGGTCACGCTTTCAAGAGAGCATCAGCTGCGGTCCTAAGGGAGAATTCAGCCTTCCCCTGTGGACACCTGGTTAAGTATTCAGTTTTCTCTGGCAGCGCGCAGGGTCATAGAGCTCTCAAGACATTATGACCTTTGTCTTCAGCTACCACGGCAGGTAGAGAAAGACCACCTGGTGGTGTCTGAGCTCAGCCTCTCCTTGGACAGGGCTTGCTATAGCTACTGTGGGAGTTGGTGGTGTGGTTCGCGGTCCAATAGAGTTATATTGCCAGGGGGATTTTGGCTGCCTCTGCTAAGTAATGCAGGTTTCCAAGGAAATGGGGGAAAGCCAGCAGGCTTAGGCCTCACCCTCCTCCCATGTAGCCTGCAGTCCTAAAGGCTGGTCTCACTCCCAGTGTGCTCCCACAACAGCACTGAGTCTATTTCCAGGCAGCCAGTAACCCCAGCTGAAAACTTGCCCTAGACCATAAGCCTCCCTGTGGAGAAAGCAGGCAGGCTCACAGTTCCTTGGCTGTTTGATGGAGCCTGCAGCAGCAATCCACCTCCTTCAAAAGGTTTGTTGATTCTCTTGGCTTTCCTGGTATGTTCCTGCAGTAGTGGTGCTTCCATTTACTAATTATATAGTTTTGGGCAATTATTTGGTCTATTTCCTCTTCAGTATTGAAGTGGCTACATTGTCTAGGGTATATACCCAGGGTTTGTCATCTCGTGCCTGGAAAATTTTGGACACAAACACACATGAGGAGCTTAGGAGCAGAGGTTTAATAGGCAGAAGAAAAGCAAAAGAAAAACAGCTCTCTCTCTCTCGAGAGAGGGGCCTTCTGAGTGAAAAAGACCAGCTGGTGGCAGATGTGCTGGATTTTATAGTCTGGCTTGAGGAGGTGGTGTCTGATTTATGCAGGGCTCACAGATTGGCTTAATCAAGTATGACATTTACATAGTGCATGGGGAAGGCTGGTCTCTCTACCCTAATCTTATTATGCAAATGAACTTTCCCCTTGGCCAGCTCCATCTTGTCTGCTCCCTACTGTACATGTGACTGGCAGAGAAGGGAATATGAAGCCACCATCTCGAACACGTCTAGTCCCTAGTTCCTGCCAGCATTCACCCGTGCAAGCCCCCAGCTTGCTTGTCTATGTCTGCAGCTGGACTTTACAGGCTGCTCTTTGTTAGAAAATGTTTTGAGGCTGCTTTTCATTAAAAAGAAAAGCCTTACTGAGGACTCCCATACCCTTACTATCTGCCTAAGTGATTTCTTCTTAACTCCTATGTTAGTCTGTTTTCACACTGCTGATAAAGACTTACCAGAGACTGGGCAATTCACAAAAGAAAGAGGTTTCATTAGAATTACAGTTTCATGTGGCTGGGGATGCCTCACAATCATGGCAGAAAGCAAGGAGGAGCAAGTCACATCTTACGTGGATGGCGGCAAGCAAAGAAAGGAGCGCTTGTGCAGGTAAGCTCCCTTTTTATAACCATCAGATCTCGTTAGACATATTCATTATCATGACAACAGCACGGGAAAGACTTGCCCCCATGATTCAATTACCTACCACTGGGTGCCTCCCACAACACATGGGAATTCAAGATGAGATTTGGGTGTGGATACAGCCAAACCATATCAGCTTCGATATCATTCCCCTTCTCAGGAGTGGTAACCCTAACTGCTGTTAGAGGGTGTTGGGCGACAACTCTTTCTGGCTACTTCCTGCTGAAAAGGGGTGTTGTGTGGGGAACAGCAGCTAGGGCTTCTAGGGTTGATCTAAGTGTCCTTGGAAGAAAGGCGTGTCATGTGTGGTTAAGTCTGTAGCACCATTTGGAGTTTGATTGCTTCTAGGTGAGAGGAAACAATTCAAATTATAGTATTGAGTAGACAAGGTCCAAACATTAATATAAAACACATGAGCAAGAGGAGGCTTAATAGTGGAACTAACCAGTTGTACAAAGACTGGATGACTGGATGACTGAATGGATGACTGGAACTGAGTAGGATGAGTAGCCCTTGCTCATTTTCTTATCTCTTTTGATTTTCAGCTTCAGGTCTCTTATTTCCTCACATTGGTATCCAAGACATTCCGCTGGGCTGCCGGGGATTGCTCTCTCAGTTTTCCAGGCTTTAACTTGAGCATGATGTATCCAGGAATCAATACCTGTAACTTTTACTGCTGAGGGCATTGAAAGGAGAATGGTGTAAGGCCCTCCCTGCTTGGGCTTAGAGAAGGAGAGAGAGAAGGTAGAGACTTTACCAATACCAAATATCCTGGGTTAAATAAAGGTGGTCCTACTTCTTGGGGTTGGGCTTCTGCTACTTGAGTTAATTCCTGTTGAAAACGAGCCAGAGAGTTTACATGCTTGCCCAATTCAGAGGTCTCTTGGTCTAATAAGAAATCATTGGTGAGAAAAGGCCATCCATACAGCATCTCAAAAGGGCTTAGATCTAACTTTGAAGGGGCGTTTCTTACCTGCAGTAAAGCCATAGGAAGAAGAGTAACCCAAGGAAGATGAGTTTCTTGGGACAGTTTCCTGAGGTGTCTTTTGATGACATCGTTTGTCTTCTGTAGTTTTCCTGAGGACTGGGGTCTCCAAACTCAATGGAGATGATACTGTATACCTAGTGCCTTTGAGGCTACCTGTGTGATGGCTGCTTCAAATGAGGGGCCATTTCACTTTGGAGGCACTTAAGTAGACCAACACAGGGAATAATTTCATTAACTAACATCTTTACTACCTCAGAGGCCTTTTCTGTATGCTATGGAAATGCTTCTACCCAGTTAGTGAATGTAGATACCCATACCAGGAGGTATTGGATGTCCTTCATCTTTGGCATGTCGGTGAAGTCTATCTACCAGTCCTCCCCTAGAGAGCATCCCATCCTTTGGATTTGAGGAGGAAGGGACTGTCTGTTCATGGGATTACTATTAAGAAAGACTTCGCAAGCATTAACAACCTGTTTTACTGTTCTTAGTAAGTTCTCTCCTGAAAACAATCTTTGGGCACATTGATAAGTTTTATCCTTTCCCAAGTGAAAAGCTTGGTGATGGAATTTAAAGACTTTCCACTGGCTGGAGGCTGGCAAGTGGACCTTGCCATCCTCTGACTACAGCCATTCTGAGGGCTGGAAGGTATACCCTTGAGAAGTGGCCCGTTCTATTTCTGCAGGGGAATACTGAGGCTAGATTTCTCTTATGGAGCCTTCCCAGAGTAGAGGGGCTTGAAGTGTGTTGATGTCATAAGACTTCCTTGCTGCTGACTTGGCTGCCTGATCAGCTAGCTTGTTTCCTTAGGCTATTTCATTTACTCCCTTCTGATGTCCCTTACAATGCATCACTGCTACCTCTTGTGGAGGGAAAACTGAGGATAATTACTTGTTAATTTCCTGATGGTATTTAATAGAAGACCCATTGGTGGTAAGAAAGTACCTTTCCTTCCAAATGGTAGCATGAGCATGGAGAACTAGGAAAGCATACTTGAGTCAGTGTAAATGTTAGCTACCTTTCCCTTGCTTAACTCAAGTGTAAGAGCTGTCAGTTCAGTTAGTTGAGCACTTGTGCCTGGAGAGAGAGACAATAACATCATTCAGAGTGACTACTGCATATCCTGCCTTATGGATTCTTTGCTCTACAAAGGAGCTTCCATCCATGAAGAGGGTCCAATCTGGATTTTTCTAGGGGAGTTTCCCTGAGATCTTCCCTGGCTGCATAGATCTGTACCACGACTTGTTCACAGTCACATTTAGGTTTCCCAGCTCCCTCAGGGAGGAAAGTGTCTGGGTTTAAGTCAGAGAAAGTTTTTAACTGGATGGTGGAACCCTCTAACAATAAAGCTTGATATTTAAGGAAACTGCTGTCTGTTCACCAAAGGCTTCCCTTAGAGGACAGGAAACCCGCCATATTATGTGGGGTATAAACAGTCAAGTCATTTCCCAAGTTTAATTTGGAGGCTTCTGGGACCAGTAGGGCCACCGGGGCAATGGCTCAGAGGCATGCTGGCCATCCTTTAGCCACCAAATCAAGTTCCTTACTCAAATAACCCACTGGCTGTTGTTTGTCCTCAGGTCTGCGTTAAGACTCTCAGGGCCATCCCCTTCCTTTCTGATACTTAGAGATTGAAGGCCTTTCCTATGGGAAGGCTAAGAGCTGGTGCCTTAAGTAGGGCCTGCTTTAGCTGGTTAAAGGCCTTTTGAGCTTCAGGTTCCCAGGTTAGGAGATGAGTTGTAAGCTGATGGAGTTTCTCTTATGAGGTGACACAGAAAATGAGCTATCTCACTGTACTCAGCCTGCAAAATTCTGTAATGCCCCAAAATCCTCTTAGTTGCTGGAGGGTTTGGGGAGGGGGAAGGAGGAAATGTGCTTAATCCTTTCTTCCCCTAATGCTTTGGTCCCTTCAGACAGCACTAAACCCAGAAACTTCACTGAGGTTTTGCAAAGCTGGGCCTTGGATTTTGAAACCTTATATCCTCTGTCAGCTAATAAATTAAAAAGAGCTTCAGTGCCTTCCTGAGAAGCTTCCTCAGTTGGGGTACAGAGCAATATATCACCCACATATTGCAAAATCTTGACCTGAAGATGTGAAAACTCAGTGAGGTCTTTTGATAATGCCTGTCCAAACAAATGAAGGATATCTCAAAATCCCCAAGGCAGCACCATCCATGTTAACTGGATGGTTTGGTCAGAGGCATCTTTGAAGGCAGACAGGTATTGAGAGTAAAGATGTAATGGTATAAAGAAGAAGGCGTTCTTTAAATCTAGGACTGTAAACCATTTAGTTCCCTCAGATATTTGGGTCAGCAAGGTATAGCGATTAGGTACTACTGGATGGATTGGGACTTTGGCCGCATTAATGAGGCAGAGGTCCTGAACTACTCTTCATTACCCATTGGGTTTTTGCACTCCTAATATTAGGTTTTTGTAGGAGCTGTTACAGGGTTTGAGAGGACCCTGTATCTTCAGGTTATTAATAATAGCTTCTAGCCCTTTCTTAGCCTCTGGGTTTAGGGAATATTGCTCCTGGTTAGGAAAAGAAGTGGGATCCCTAAGATATATCTGAACTGGCTAGTGGTTAAAGCTTGACCAATTTTCCCTTGAGTTGTCCACACTTACGGATTGATATTAGCTTCTACCAGTGGGAGACAAAGCTATTGTCCTGGGGCTATAAGGATGCTGGCCCTCATGCAAGCTAAAACGTCTCTACCTAATAAATGAGTGGGGCTTTCTGGCATGATTAAAAAGCCATGTGTAAACATTAGGTTTCCTCATCTGCAACTAAGGAGTTGAGAAAAATATCAATTTAGAGTTTTTTTTGAGATGCCCCTGATGGTTGTGTTATAAGAAGAGCAGAGGCCTGGATTAGAGAGGAAAGGAGAGAGGCTGGCTTCAGTGTCCAGAAGGAGATCTACCTTCATTCCTTCAATTTCCAGAATCATCTCAGGCTCCAGTGCTGTAATGGCAGCTTGAGCTGCTGAAGCCAGGCGTTTGAACCCTGGGATCCATCAGTCCTGTTGGGCCATCTGTGAGACTGGTTCTGAACCCAGTGACCTTCATCTTCAAGGGCAGTCTGATTTCCAGTGGTCCCTGCCACATGCTGAACAGGGTCATGGTGGTTTCTTCTTGCTACCTGGACACTCCTTCTTAAAGTGCCCTGACTTGCCACACTGATAGCAACTAGTGGATGCACCTTGGGGATCCTGGACTTTGCCAGGCTTCAAAGCAGCTATTAGAGCCTCTGTCCTTCCCTTTTCTTCCTTTCTTTCTCCTGGTTCTCCTCCTGGTTCCTATTATAAAAGACTGAGGTGGCCACCTTCAGAGAGTTCTCTAAGGTACTATCTGGTCCTATAGCCTGCTTCTGCAGTTTCCTTTTAATATTGGGAGCTGCCTGTGTAATAAAATTGTATTTTAGGATGAATTGTCCCTCCACTGACTCAGGGAATAGGGTTGTGTGCTTTATTAGTGCCTCTCTCAGTCATTCCATAAAGGCTGCAGTATTTTCTTCTCATGGACAGTTTAGGGTAATTAAGGGGTTTGGCCCTAGTTCTTTATAGGCCCTCCAATACACACATTAAAAAATGTTTTCTTTTCCATTCATCTGTAGCACCACTGGGATTCCAGTTAGGGTTGTCAAGAGGAACTGCTTCTATTGGGAATGGTGTTTCCCTTTCCTATTTTCTCTTTTCCTTTTAGACCTAGGGTTTGGCTTAGGAGCAGTGTAACATCCCTCCATGAGAGGTCAAATACCCGAGTTAAATTTTGGAAGGCTTTTACATATTTATTAGGGTCATCGGAAAATTGGCCTAAGTCTCCCTTTACTTGCCCGAGGTCCTAAAATGAGAAGGGAACTTGAACCCTAGTGACATCACCTCCATTGTGCATTTCCTGTAGGGGTAAGAGTGAAGGTCGGGGAGTGGGAAATTTTGGAGATGGTGGAGGTAGAAGAGCTGGTGGTGTGGTTGGAAGTGGCCCCAGATAAGGGGAACTAGAAGGGCTGGGATACCCAACAGCTGCCTCAGATGGTTTCCCCAGAAGTTGCTTTTCTAGTCTTGGGGAATCATTCAGTTTGGTCCTGCCAGATATGATTGCTAAAAGGGCTGGGTTGATTGTGCAATGCTTGCAAAGTCTGGGTTGTCTTGCAGGGCAAAGAAAGCCTATGCATAAGTTACCTTGGACCATTTTCCTCCTGTCTGCAGAAAAGATCTAATTGTTGGATAATATTAAAATTAAGGCTCCCTTCCAAAGGTCAGGCTGGTTCAAGAGCATAAGAAGGTCATGCCCTCATGCAAAAGAAAATGAACTGCTTTTTGTTCAAAGTCTCAGGGTCAAAGAGTCCTTGTGTTTCAGAATGCACTCCAGAGGGGTGCAGGCTGAAGATGGTCTGTTACCCATTTAGAAAGAGAAGTGAGAAAAAGGCATTCCTTTAGTCTCCTTACTTTTCTTGCGACCCAGGGTGGATGGGAAGACAGTGGGGGTGTCCCCGCTGCTGGTTTTTTTCTCCATGGTTCCTGGGTGCCGGTAAGTTGTTGAATGTGCTGCCCATGGTTGCAGGCATGACCTCCAGCTGTGGAAACAGAGGAACTAAGAGACTGGGATTAGTCATAGTCATCCATGTGATTTTAGTCCTCTGCCTGTGATTTCCCTTTGACTTCCTAGACTTTTGTGACCTACCTGGCTCCTCAGGAAAAAAAAAAAAAAAAAAAAGGATCTTGGGAGAGACAATGTGACAGTTGCATTCAGGCAACTGTTGCACTTCCCTCCTTAACAGAGGTAGTGTGCTAGTTTGAGCTCTATATACTGCTGTTATAGCCCATGCTAAAGCCTTCACCCTTAGAGAATGGTTCTGGTTAACTTCTGAACTTAAAATTCCCTTACTAATTAAGTACCATTCTAATTGGAGGCAGAATAGGTGCCTTAAAATAACATAGGGACTAAATGACTATTGATGGGACAGTATAGAGACTAAAATTTGGCTTTGGAGGATATTTTACTCCTAGTTGTTGAAGGCAGAATTTTCCAGTTTACAGAAGCAACATGAAGCCTGATTTCTAGTAGAGAAGTGCAAAAAAAGAAGAGAATTGGGAAGCTAGAGTGTTTTGGTAAAGGACCTACAATGTGCCTCATGGAGAGGATCCCTATTCCACTAGGTGGTGCTGTTGACCTTGAAATGCCATGTGCTGTCCAGACCAAGGGCAGAGAGAGACCTGGAAGTTCCATGTGCTCTCCAGACCAACGGCAGAGAGTGATACTCACTGTGGGAGGGGGGACCCTCTCTTCCTAGAAAATCACAAAGACACCCTTTGAGTTATATCCCTGGTTACTACGACATTCCCTGATCTTGCCAAACAAGATTACTTCCCTGAACTGTAAAACTTCCCACACATTGCATACACAGAGAGGATAGGAGATATGGTGGTTGCAGATAGGAAAGGAGGAAATTATGATAGGAAAGTTGGAGATCCTGTTGCTGGCACCCCATTGGGTGGTCGGAGGCTGGGGTCAGTCTAGAAGCCTTTGGATAACACTGGGGAGTAGCCCCAGCCAGAAATCTTCAGTCACTTCAAAACCTCTTCCAGCCCCCCGTAACATCTAAGTCCTCCATGAAAGTAAGCTGGTTCAAACATAGCTAATATGCCCAGGAACTCGTGGGTACTGGGGGATTCTCCATGTTCTCCCCAGCGAGCCTCACATGCAAGTCTTTAAGAATGACAGCCATGCTGTGTTTTTAACTGGCTAACGGATGCCCATTATTGATTTGATTTGCTTCTAAAATAGAGGCTGAGAGCCCTGAAAACAGAGGACAAAGTTGGAGTCCGCTCCTCTACTCACTGTTTCAGTGAATGTTGTGCTTTGGTATCCTAGACGAGGTCCCCCATATGAAGTGGCTACATTGTCTGGGGTATACACCCAGGATTCGTCTTCTCTCACCAGGAAAATTTAGGACATGAACACACATGAGGAGTTTAGGAGTGGAGGTTTAATAGGCAGAAGAAAAGAGAAAGAAAAACAGCTCTCTCTCTCTCTAGAGAGAGGGTTCTTTGAGTGGAAAAGTGGAAAAGACCAGCTGGTGGCACATGTGCCAGATTTTATAGTTCAGCTTGAGGAGGTGGTGTCTGATTTATGTAGGGCTCATGGATTGGTTTGATCAGGTATGACGTTTACATAGTGTGTGGGGAAGGCTGGTCTCTCCACCCTAATCCTGTAATGGAAATGAACTTTCCCCTTGGCCAGCACCATCTTGTCTGCTCCTTACTGTACACATGGCTGGCAGAGAGGGAAGATGGAGCTGCCATCTTGAACATGTCTAGTCCCTAGTTCCTGCCAGCATTCACCCGTGCAAACTCCCAGCTTGCTTGTCTGCGTCTGCAGCTGGACTTTACAGGCTGCTCTTTGTTAGAAAATGGTTTGGGGCTGCTTTTCATTAAAAAGAAAGCCTTACTGAAGACTCCCATACCCTTGCTACCTGCCTAAGTGATTTCTTCTTAACTCCTGTAGCAGTGTCTTGTTCTCAGGTATAGCATTCCTCCTCAGCCCTTCACAGGATTATTTAAGTATCAAAAGCTACAACATAAAGAGAGTACCTGGCACAGTGTTTGATGCACAGTAAACATTCAGTATGTCCTACAGTCATACTGATTTCTTTTATTCAGGATTCAAAAAGCTTAACATACAATAATGAGTTTTTTTTCAAACTGTGGTCAAAATATTATATTTTCTAGAATTTTACAGCCAGAAAAGCCTTAAACCACAAATCTTAATTCTGTAAATGAAGGAACAGCTCTAATGAAGTGAGATGATGTGTCCAAGGTGGCATAGTTAATTAGTGATCTGATGTTGGCAGGAGAGACTCCATTTCTTACAGAGATCTCTTAGGGAGATATGCACCTATATTTCCCAATTTCCTCTCTTAGGTTTATCAGTGACTTGACATGCACAATCAGAATTTACCTTGAACTCTGCCCAAAGGCTCCTTTTGCCTGATCTAGATAACATATTTTTGTGTAGCAGTTTGACAAAGTATGACTTATTATAAACTGTAACTATATAACATTTAAACAAACTTAGAAATTTTATCTAGCTTTTGCAGGCAGTTAAATATATTTTAGCCCATTTCATTTTAAAAACATTGTCACCATTTATTTTACCACATATATAAATTAAGATATAAATACAAGGTAAATTGGGGACTAAACTTTAAGAATCAGAGTTGGTAGTTTCTCATTCTCTAAACAGGCTTTATTTCATATTTGAAAGCATAAGTGAAAATTTATACTGAACATAGAATTACCATTTACATAATCATGTAAGTGTGATAGATGGAGAACAATTACCTGTGAATGTGGGCAATATGCCCAGACCAGAGAGACCACTTTCTGAAATGAGAATAACAATATTTCTATGAGTTCAAGGATTCTTCACAAAACAGTCATCCTAGTTGGATTGATTTACTAAAAAGTAGAAGCCAATGAGTTACAGAGTTACTTAAATGATAGCTGCACAAAATATTTTTGGTTACCATTTAATTATAATTACACCCAACTTAAAAGGGATCCTTCTCATAAGATACATTTTTTTCTCTAAAGAATCATTTGCTAATACACATCGTTCCAGTCTAAATAGAGTGGACATATAAATTATAATCTAAATAAAAAATTTTTGCTAATAATTATGCAGGACAATAGGTATAAATTATCCTGGGAAAACCACACTATATGGTATTGTTAAGGGCATAACTGAAATAATGCATAGGGTTAACAAAATGGGAAAAGGTGAAGTTACTATTGATGCCTTCTCATTTTCCTTTCTTTGTACTTTTCACTACTTCTGATGCCTTATCTTTTATTGTGCTTCAGCCTCTCTTGATACCCTACCATGGGGTGTCTTGATGCTGTCTCTAGGTACTGTTGTGCACACCAATATTATTCCCTTTTCAGGTGAAAGCTGCTGTTCTCCTCAATGCTTATATTAAATTTAAATCATAACTTGGTGCAGAGTACAAGAACATTTTTAATGTCAAACAGTTCTATGTTTGAGCTTCATTCCCCCACTCTCTAGCTGTGTAGCTTTGGACAAGTTACATAACCACTCTTTTCCTTATTTTTGTATAAATTTCTGGATAATGCCATCTATTGAGGAGCTTAAAGGAGTATGTTCAGTTAGAATGGGATGAGCTCTGCTAGATACCCAACTCAAAGAGCTGTGGACTTGAGAATCTATTCTCTACCCGTTATATGAGGTTAAGCCAAAGACAGGACATTTTATCTCCCAAGCCAAAGTGTCATTTTGTCACACAACAATGATCCTTCTTTTCCTTTTGCTCCTTTACTTGAAGTCACTTGTAGTCCTCCATGATTTGAGATATAGATAGAGGAAAGACTGTATGATTGTAATTCTTTCATTTTAAGAATTAATATTTGGCTTTACTATAATCACCCAGTACCAAGATGTTGAGATGAATGTTTCAAAATGCTGAGATGTCAGGCACAGCGCCTCATGCCTCTAATCCCAGCACTTTGAGACGCTGAGGTGGGTGAATAACTTGAGGTCAGGAGTTTGAAACCAGCCTGCACATGGCGAAACCCTGTCTCCACTAAAAATGCAAACATTAACCAGGCTTGGTGGCGTGCTCCTGTAGACCCAGCCACTTGAGAGGCTAAGGCAGGAGAATCGCTTGAACCTGGGAGATGGAGGTTGCAGTGAGCTGAGATTGCACCATTGCACTCCAGCCTGGATGACAAAGCAAGGCTCTGTCTCTAACAAAGCAAAAACAAACAAACAAAAACCAAAATGCTGTAACTCACCAGAAGACAGGACAGGGTCTCCTAAGGTATTCTCTAACAAGGTAAGTAATTGGATTATGATGGAAAGATGAGGAAGGTATTATTCTCTTTCTTTTTTTTTTTAAATAATTCTGCAAATTTTGTTCATTTTCTCTTCATCAGATCAAAATTCTTATGTGTATTTAGTACTTCAAAAATCCATTTGAAAAGCATAAACTAATGTAATGATTATTAAACATGGCTTTGAATCATGAGAAATAAAAAAATTAACCCGCAAACAATGTGTTATTTGCAGACATTTCAATAACAATTTGAATCTCTTCTTATCTATGCAGTCAGAAACAAAACATGATAATCATAAACGTAAAAGAGTCCTTTTTTTTTTTAAGTACAGAGCAAGAATTCTACACATCTGGTCATAATTTAGCAGTTTTTTTTCATATTATAACATGCATTTTAAATGTATATTTCAATTGCTATTTATTTATTTATTTATTAATATTTTACTTTAAGTTTTAGGGTACATGTGCACAATGTGCAGGTTAGTTACATATGTATACCTGTGCCATGCTGGTGCACTGCACCCACTAACTCGTCATCTAGCATTAGGTATATCTCCCAATGCTATCCCTCCCCCCTTCCCCCACCCCACAACAGTCCCCAGAGTGTGATGTTCCCCTTCCTGTGTCCATGTGTTCTCATTGTTCAATTCCCACCTATAAGTGAGAATATGCGGTGTTTGGTTTTTTGTTCTTGCGATAGTTTACTGAGAATGATGATTTCCAATTTCATCCATGTCCCTACAAAGGACATGAACTCATCATTTTTTATGGCTTCATAGTATTCCATGGTGTATATGTGCCACATTTTCTTAATCCAGTCTATCATTGTTGGACATTTGGGTTGGTTCCAAGTCTTTGCTATTGTGAATAATGCTGCAATAAACATACTTGTGCATGTGTCTTTATAGCAGCATGATTTATAGTCCTTTGTGTATATACCCAGTAATGGGATGGCTGGGTCAAATGGTATTTCTAGTTCTAGATCCATGAGGAATCGCCACACTGACTTCCACAATGGTTGAACTAGTTTACAGTCCCACCAACAGTGTAAAAGTGTTCCTATTTCTCCACATCCTCTCCAGCACCTGTTGTTTCCTGACTTTTTAATGGTTGCCATTCTAACTGGTGTGACATGGTATCTCATTGTGGTTTTGATTTGCATTTCTCTGATGGCCAGTGATGGTGAGCATTTTTTCATGTGTTTTTTGGCTGCATAAATGTCTTCTTTTGAGAAGTGTCTGTTCATGTCCTTTGCCCACTTTTTGATGGGGTTGTTTGTTTTTTTCTTGTAAATTTGTTGGAGTTCATTGTAGATTCTGGATATTAGCCCTTTGTCAGATGAGTAGGTTGTGAAAATTTTCTCCCATTTTGTAGGTTGCCTGTTCACTCTGATGGTAGTTTCTTTTGCTGTGCAGAAGTTCTTTAGTTTAATTAGATCCCATTTGTCAATTTTGGCTTTTGTTGCCATTGCTTTTGGTGTTTTAGACATGAAGTCCTTGCCCATGCCTATGTCCTGAATGGTAATGCCTAGGTTTTCTTCTAGGGTTTTTATGGTTTTAGGTCTAACGTTTAAGTCTTTAATCCATCTTGAATTGATTTTTGTATAAGGTGTAAGGAAGGGATCCAGTTTCAGCTTTCTACATATGGCTAGCCAGTTTTCCCAGCACCATTTATTAAATAGGGAATCCTTTCCCCATTGCTCGTTTTTCTCAGGTTTGTCAAAGATCAGAAAGTTGTAGATATGCAGCGTTATTTCTGAGGGCTCTGTTCTGTTCCATTGATCTATATCTCTGTTTTGGTACCAGTACCATGCTGTTTTGGTTACTGTAGCCTTGTAGTATAGTTTGAAGTCAGGTAGCGTGATGCCTCCAGCTTTGTTCTTTTGGCTTAGGATTGCCTTGGCAATGCGGGCTCTTTTTTGGTTCCATATGAACTTTAAAGTAGTTTTTTCCAATTCTGTGAAGAAAGTCATTGGTAGTTTGATGGGGATGGCATTGAATCTGTAAATTATCTTGGGCAGTATGGCCATTTTCACGATATTGATTCTTCCTACCCATGAGCATGGGATGTTCTTCCATTTGTTTGTATCCTCTTTTATTTCCTTGAGCAGTGGTTTGTAGTTCTCCTTGAAGAGGTCCTTCACATCCCTTGTAAGTTGGATTCCTAGGTATTTTATTCTCTTTGAAGCAATTGTGAATGGGAGTTCACTCATGATTTGGCTCTCTGTTTGTCTGTTGTTGGTGTATAAGAATGCTTGTGATTTTTGTACATTGATTTTGTATCCTGAGACTTTGCTGAAGTTGCTTATCAGCTTAAGGAGATTTTGGGCTGAGACAATGGGGTTTTCTAGATATACAATCATGTCATCTGCAAACAGGGACAATTTGACTTCCTCTTTTCCTAATTGAATACCCTTTATTTCCTTCTCCTGCCTAATTGCCCTGGCCAGAACTTCCAACACTATGTTGAATAGGAGTGGTGAGAGAGAGCATCCCTGTCTTGTGCCAGTTTTCAAAGGGAATGCTTCCAGTTTTTGCCCATTCAGTATGATATTGGCTGTGGGTTTGTCATAGATAGCTCTTATTATTTTGAGATACGTCCCATCAATACGTAATTTATTGAGAGTTTTTAGCATGAAGTGTTGTTGAATTTTGTCAAAGGCCTTTTCTGCATCTATTGAGATAATCATGTGGTTTTTGTCTTTGCTTCTGTTTATATGCTGGATTACATTTATTGATTTGCGTATATTGAACCAGCCTTGCATCCCAGGGATGAAGTCCACTTGATCCTGGTGGGTAAGCTTTTTGATGTGCTGCTGGATTTGGTTTGCCAGTATTTTACTGAGGATTTTTGCATCAGTGTTCATCAAGGATATTGGTCTAGAATTCTCTTTTTTGGTTGTGTCTCTGCCCGGCTTTGGTATCAGGATGTTGCTGGCCTCATAAAAGGAGTTAGGGAGGATTCCCTCTTTTTCTATTGATTGGAATAGTTTCAGAAGGAATGGTACCATTCCTCCTTGTACCTCTGGTAGAATTTGGCTGTGAATCCATCTGGTCCTGGACTCTTTTTAGTTGGTAAGCTATTGATTATTGCCACAATTTCAGCTCCTGTTATTGGTCTATTCAGAGATTCAACTTCTTCCTGGTTTAGTCTTGGGAGAGTGTATGTGTCGAGGAATTTATCCATTTCTTCTAGATTTTCTAGTTTATTTGCATAGAGGTGTTTGTTGTATTCTCTGATGGTAGTTTGTATTTCTGTGGGATCGGTGGTGATATCCCCTTTATCATTTTTTATTGCGTCTATTTGATTCTTCTCTCTTTTTTTCTTTATTAGTCTTGCTAGCGGTTTATCAATTTTGTTGATCCTTTCAAAAAACCAGCTCCTGGATTCGTTAATTTTTTGAAGGGTTTTTTGTGTCTCTATTTCCTTCAGTTCTGCTCCGATTTTAGTTATTTCTTGCCTTCAGCTAGCTTTTGAATGTGTTTGCTCTTGCTTTTCTAGTTCTTTTAATTGTGATGTTAGGGTGTCAATTTTGGATCTTTCCTGCTTTTTCTTGTGGGCATTTAGTGCTAAAAATTTCCCTCTACACACTGCTTTGAATGTGTCCCAGAGGTTCTGGTATGTTGTGTCTTTGTTCTCATTGGTTTCAAAGAACATCTTTATGTCTGCCTTCATTTCGTTATGTACCCAGTAGTCATTCAGGAGCAGGTTGTTCAGTTTCCATGTAATTGAGCGGTTTTGAGTGAGATTCTTAATCCTGAGTTCTAGTTTGATTGCACTGTGGTCTGAGAGATAGTTTGTTATAATTTCTGTTCTTTTACATTTGCTGAGGAGAGCTTTACTTCCAAGTATGTGGTCAATTTTGGAATAGGTGTGGTGTGGTGCTGAAAAAAATGTATATTCTGTTGATTTGGGGTGGAGAGTTCTGTAGATGTCTATTAAGTCCACTTGGTGCAGAGCTGAGTTCAATTCCTGGGTATCCTTGTTGACTTTCTGTCTCGTTGCTCTGTCTAATGTTGACAGTGGAGTGTTAAAGTCTCCCATTATTAATGTGTGGGAGTCTAAGTCTCTTTTTACGTCACTCAGGACTTGCTTTATGAATCTGGGTGCTCCTGTATTGGGTGCATATATATTTAGGTTAGTTAGCTCTTCTTGTTGAATTGATCCCTTTACCATTAAGTAATGGCCTTCTTTGTCTCTTTTGATCTTTGTTGGCTTAAAGTCTGTTTTATCAGAGACTAGGATTGCAACCCCTGCCTTTTTTTGTTTTCCATTGGCTTGGTAGATCTTCCTCCTTCCTTTTATTTTGAGCCTATGTGTGTCTCTGCCCGTGAGATGGGTTTCCTGAATACAGCACACTGATGGGTCTTGACTCTTTATCCAATTCGCCAGTCTGTGTCTTTTAATTGGAGGATTTAGTCCATTTACATTTAAAGTTAATATTGTTATGTGTGAATTTGATCCTGTCATTATGATGTTAGCTGGTTATTTTTCTCATTAGTTCATGCAGTTTCTTCCTAGTCTCAATGGTCTGTACATTTTGGCATGATTTTGCAGCAGCTGGTACCGGTTGTTCCTTTCCATGTTTAGCGCTTCCTTCAGGAGCTCTTTTAGGGCAGGCCTGGTGGTGACAAAATCTCTCAGCATTTGCTTGTCTGTAAAGTATTTTATTTCTCCTTCACTTATGAAGCTTAGTTTGACTGGATATGAAATTCTGGGTTGAAAATTCTTTTCTTTAAGAATATTGAATATTGGCCCCCACTCTCTTCTGGCTTGTAGAGTTTCTGCCAAGAGATCTGCTGTTAGTCTGATGGGCTTCCCTTTGAGGGTAACCCGACCTTTCTCTCTGGCTGCCCTTAGCATTTTTTCCTTCATTTCAACTTTGGTGAATCTGACAATTATGTGTCTTGGTGTTGCTCTTCTCGAGGGGTATCCTTGTGGCGTTCTCTGTATTTCCTGAATCTGAATGTTGGCCTGCCTTGCTAGATTGGGGAAGTTCTCCTGGATAATATCCTGCAGAGTGTTTTCCATCTTGGTTCCATTCTCCCCGTCACTTTCAGGTACACCAATCAGATGTAGATTTGGTCTTTTCACATGGTCCCATATTTCTTGGAGGCTTTGCTCATTTCTTTTTATTCCTTTTTCTCTAAACTTCCCTTCTCGCTTCATTTCATTCATTTCATCTTCCATCGCTGATACCCTTTCTTCCAGTTTATCACATCGGCTCCTGAGGCTTCTGCATTCTTCACGTAGTTCTCGAGCCTTGGTTTTCAGCTCCATCAGCTCCTTTAAGCACTTCTCTGTATTGGTTATTCTCGTTATACATTCTTCTAAATTTTTTTCAAAGTTTTCAACTTCTTTGCCTTTGGTTTGAGTGTTCTCCCGTAGCTCGGAGTAATTTGATCATCTGAAGCCTTCTTCTCTCAGCTCGTCAAAGTCTTTCTCCGTCCAGCTTTGTTCCATTGCTGGTGAGGAACTGCGTTCCTTTGGAGGAGGAGAGGCGCTCTGCTTTTTAGAGTTTCCAGTTTTTCTGCTCTGTTTTTTCCCCACCTTTGTGGTTTTATCTACTTTTGGTCTTTGATGATGGTGATGTACAGATGGGTTTTTGGTGTGGATGTCCTTTCAGTTTGTTAGTTTTCCTTCTAACAGACAGGACCCTCAGCTGCAGGTCTGTTGGAGTACCCGGCTGTGTGAGGTGTCAGTCTGCCCCTGCTGGGGGGTGCCTCCCAGTTAGGATGCTCGGGGGTCAGGGGTCAGGGACCCACTTGAGGAGGCAGTCGGCCCATTCTCAGATCTCCAGCTGCGTGCTGGGAGAACCACTGCTCTCTTCAAAGCTGTCAGACAGGGACATTTAAGTCTGCAGAGGTTATGCTGTCTTTTTCTTTGTCTGTGCCCTGCCCCCAGAGGTGGAGCCTACAGAGGCAGGCAGGCCTCCTTGAGCTGTGGTGGGCTCCACCCAGTTCGAGCTTCCTGGCTGCTTTCTTTACCTAAGCAAGCCTGGGCAATGGCGGGCGCCCCTCCCCCAGCCTCGCCGCCGCCTTGCAGTTTGATCTCAGACTGCCGTGCTAGCAATCAGCGAGACTCCGTGGGCGTAGGACCCTCTGAGCCATGTGCGGGATATAATCTCCTGGTGCGCCATTTTTTAAGCCTGTCGGAAAAGCGTGGTATTCGTGTGGGAGTGACCCGATTTTCCAGGTGCCGTCTGTCACCACTTTCTTTGACTAGGAAAGGGAACTCCCTGACCCCTTGCCCTTCCCGAGTGAGGCAATGGCTCACCCTGCTTCGGTTTGCACACAGTGTGCGCACCCCCTGACCTGCGCCCACTGTCTGGCACTCCCTAGTGAGATGAACCCGGTACCTCAGATAGAAATGCAGAAATCACCCGTCTTCTGCGTCGCTCAAGCTGGGAGCCGTAGACCGGAGCTGTTCCTATTCGGCCATCTTGGCTCCATTAACCTATTCTCTTTCTTAAATAATTATTCATAATGTTTACTTGGGAGTTTTCTTTTCATTTCTTTGCTCCCATTGCCCCAAAGTCATTAACACATTAGTAAAATCTATGGTGTTGTGATTTCTGTTAAATTATAGGACCCAAGGAGCTACTGTTACTAAAAATATGGTCTTGTCACCAAAATTATGCCTGATTTTAAAAGGTTCTCTGAAGAATTAAATGAAATGATAGCAATATCAGCTATATAAGTTGATTAATCATAAGTTTTCTTCTAACAATATTTTTTCATATCCTGTCTGAGTTAGCATTTCAAAAGAAAGATACTGTGAAATAATCTAACAAGACTTTATAGTATTTAATGGGGCATTTCAGAGGGCCTGACAGAACTTTGGGAAGACACATTTGGGCCCGCAGAGATACTTTTAGGTCCAGGGAGGAAAAATTGCCTTTTTCCTACCAAATCATTTATTATGAAAAAATTTCAGACATGCACGAAAGTTGAAAAGATTGTATGGTGAACACGCATAGTCCCACTACCTAAATTCTATAATTAATATTTGCTATATTTGCTTAATCACACATCTTTTCATCTATCCTCACCTCTATCAATTTATCTTGGCTTTCGAATGCATTTCAAGAATTGCCTTTTAGGAGCCTCTTTAATTTATATCTCAAAGACATTTTCTTTCTCTGCTCAAGGTTAAAGCTAACTGATATGGTTTGGCTGTGTCCCCACTCAAATCTCAACTTGAATTGTATCTCCCAGAATTATGTGTTGTGGGAGGGATCCAAGGGGAGATAATTGAAGCATGGAAGCCAGTCTTTCCCATGCTAGTCTCATGATAGTGAATAAGTCTCACAAAATCTGATGGGTTTATCAGGGGTTATTGCTTTTGCTTCTCTCTCATTTTCTCTTGCTGCTACCACATAAGAAGTACATTTTGCCTCCCACCATGATTCTGAGGCGTCCTCAGCTATGTGGAACTGTAAGTCCTATTAAACCTCGTTTTCTTCCTAGTCTTGGGTATGTCTTTAGGCAGCATGATAACAAACTAATACAGTAAGTTGGTACCAGTAGAGTGGGGGATTGCTGAAGAGATACCCCAAAATGTAAAAGTGACTTTAGAACTGGGTAACAGACAGAAATTGGAACAGTTTGGAGGCCTCAGAAGAAGACAGGGAAATGTGGGAAAGTTTGGAACCTCCTAAGGACTTGAATGGCTTTGAAAAAAATGCTGGTAGTGAGATGAACAATAAGGTCCAGGCTGAGGTGGTCTCAGATGGAGATAAGGAACTTATTGGGAACTGGAGCAAAGGTGACTCTTGTTATGTTTAAGCAATGAGACTGGTGGCATTTTTCCCCTGCCCTATAGATTTATGGAACTTTGAACTTGAGAGAGATGATTTAAGGTATCTGGTGGAAGACATTTCCAAGCAGCAAAACATGCAAAAGGTGACTTTGGTGCTGTTAAAAGCATTCAGTTTTAAAAGGGAAACAGCATAAAAGTTCAGAAAATTTGCAGCCTGATGATGAAGTAGAAAAGAAAAAGCCCATTTTTTGAGAAGAAATTCAAGCTGGCAGCAGAAATTTGCATAAGTAGCAAGGAGCCTAATGTTAAATCCCAAGACCATGGGGAAAATGTTTCCAGGCCATATCAGAGACCTTCACAGAAGCCCCTCCCATCACAGACCCAGAGGCCTAGGAGGAAAATGTGTTTTCATGGGCAGGGACCTGGGTCCCTGTGCTGTGCACAGTCTGGCAACCTGGTGCCCTGTGTCACAGCCACTCCAGCCATGGCTGAAAGGGGCCAATGTACAGCTCAGGCTGTGGCTTCAGAGGGTGGAAGCCCCAAGCCTTGGCAGCTTCCGTGTGGTATTGATTCTGCAGGTATACAGAAGTCAATGATTGAGGTTTGGGAACCTCTGCCTAGATTTCAGCAGATGTATGGAAATGCCTGGATTCCCAGACAAAAGTTTGCTACAGGGGCAGCGCCCTCATGGAGAACCTCTGCTAGGGCAGTGCAGAAGGGAAATGTGGGGTCAGAGCCCCCACATAGAGTCCCTACTGGGGCACTGCCTAGTGGAGCTGTGAGAAGAGGGCCACAGTCCTCCAGATCCCAGAATGGTAGATCCACTGGTAGCTTGCACCATGTTCCTGGAAAAGCCACAGACACTCAATGCCAGCCCATGAAAGCAGCCAGGAGGGAGTCTGTACCCTACAAAGCCACAGGGGCAGAGCTGCCCAAGACTGCTGCTATCTTTTATAGCAGCGTGACCTGGATGTGAGACCTGGAGTCAAAGGAGATCATTTTGGAGCTGTAAAATTTGACCGCCTCACTGGATTTCAGACTGGCATGGGCCCTGTAACCCTTTTGTTTTGGCCAAGTTTTCCCATTTGGAATGGCTGTATTTACCCAATACCTGTACCACTATTGTATCTAGGAAGTAACTAGATTGCTTTCAATTTTACAGGCTCATAGGAGGAAGGGACTTGCCTTGTCTCAGATAAAACTTTGGATTGTGGACTTTTGGGTTAATGCTGAAAGAGTTAAGACTTTGGGGAACTGTGGGGGAATGCATGATTGGTTTTAAAATGTGAGGACATAAGATTTGGAGGGGCAGGAGTGGAATGATATGGTTTGACTGTGTCCTCACCCAAATCTTGACTTGAATTTTATCTCCCAGAATTACCACGTGTTGTGGGAAGGACCCAGAGGGAGGTAATTGAATTGTGGGAGCCCGTCTTTGCCGTGCTATTCTTGTGATAGTGAGTAAGTCTCATGAGATCTGATGGGTTTATCAGGGGTTTCTGCTTTTGCTTCTCTCTTATTTCTCTTGCTGCCACCATATAAGAAGTGCCTTTTGCCTCCCACTATGTTCCTGAGGCCTCCTTAGCCATGTGGAACTGTAAGTCCAATTAAAGCTCTTTTTCTTCCCAGTCTCAGATATGTCTTTATCAGCAGTGTGAAAACAGACTAATACACTAACCTATAACAGTTTTAAACAAAATAGAAAAAAAGCTATAAGCAGATTTTTAACTGAGTTTCCATATGTCAGAATCTGCTGCTTGAGGGTACTTTTCTAGTTTGTTAGAAATCTAACTTCCAGTTGTCAACACTACAACAGGAATTTGTTCCTAAGATGAATAACTTGATTATTTCATGGGATTGAAAATAGAGAGCCTTCCTTACTTATTCTTTTTCTTTGCTCCTTGAATATTTTTGCATATCCTTATCATCCATAGACAGCTGTGGCAATGCATGGGGTGAAGAAGTAGAGGAACCTAAATATATATAACTATTTGCTTCTGTCATTAAATTGATGTGATAGCAGAGAGAGTATAGTTTTGTGACTGCAAGAATTTTTCCATTATTTCTAATTCTAAACCACTGAAAGCTTATGAAAAGAAAGCTTGACAAAGGCCACATTCTGCAACCAACACTCATTGAGTATGGATAAATCTATGGCGGGAATGAAAAACAGAGATAAGCAACCAATTACTACCGTATTACCAAGGATATGAAATTGGCTCTAGTTAAGGTGTAAAACTGCTGTTAAAAATATGTGCATATGTCAAAAATTTAAAGGAAAGTTGTTGAAATAATGAACAAATGAAGTAAAGTAAAAAAAAAAAAATTGTTTTGCAGAAGACCTTGGAAGCAATATATTTGACCCAATGAAATCAATGCTAGAGCAAATTACATAAACTTGAAAGCAAAAGGGGAAGGAAAAGGAAATAAAAGGAAGAAAAGATCCTCTAAGAAATTGTCTTAACCTCTATGGCAGAATTTTTGAAAAACTTGTCCTTTACAAGTAAAAGAAAACAAACTGAACCTCCATTTCCCCATACCTACTGTCTTTTATTTTGTTCTCTATCTTTGGTGAAGGAACATTTTTAAAAAAGAAAAACTTCCTTATGTTGCAGACAAATATATTTGTAAACTACAATGAGAATAAATAACTAGAAAAATGAAATACATAAAGTTTAATAGCTCCTATTTTTTATTAAGCAGGTATTAAATTGCTCTGTTAAATAGCTCTAAAGATTTAGAAACCCATCCACTCAGTTCCTCTACTTGTGTAGACCAATAGCAAACAGTCATGGACAACAGTGTGCAGAATGCTGTGACTTAGATAAGGTGTCATTGCGTTTTGAAGGTTAATACTCAAAAAAAAAAAAAGAGAGAGAGAAACAAATATGAACAAACCTTTTGTTTTGAATGACTTATAACCCTTCTATTTTCAACTCCTAAAGAGTCAACTAGTCATTACCAGTTTCTCTATCATAAGTCAGTAAGTGTTTAATTTAACTATAAGGGTAAATTTACATTTTATAAAAAGCCAACATTTTTAATAAAGCAAACTAACCATATCTGTAAGAGAGTGTCTATTAGCAAACTCACTGATTATGGTATAGAATTATAATCTAAAAAATGGTTGCCCTTCACGGAACTATAAAAAGTACCATAATCAATGAACTTGTTAATTGACATTCTCTTACAGATATGCTTGGTTTGATTTTTCTTAATATGTAGTCCATTAGAAAAAGACAAATGGAAGATTTATTACCTCTCTTCTTCTCCCCTCCCTGCTCTACTCTATTACTTGTCAAACTTTATCTAGTATCCCATCTTTCAGACTTCAACTGCCACATATACACCATGCCTTTGATAAAATACCAAAGCAGTTGAGAACACTCATAATATTTTCACTAGTACTTTACAGAAATAAATCTCTTTATTGTTCTTAAAAGACAGTTATCAAAAAGATAAAGTGCAATACTTTCAAAGCAATGTTAACTTATCTCTAATTCTGCAAAACTTATCTTCACACCACAAGTGTTAAAACAGACAGAAACTCCATCACTTCAAAAACAGCCAAATTAAAAATTTAGCTTTTGAGCTCAGAGCTTAATCTTCACACCCGCCAGATTCACAGTGCCCAATAAAGTTTCATACTTTCATTTCTGATAAAGTTGTTTCAATAATGTGTGTTATCTTTTTACATCTTGAACATATGATTTATTGTATTTAACTGGCTATGTGATAAGATTTTTTATGAAGATTGATTAGTGTATCACTAGGCCAATCAGTATCATAAAAAGGTAAAGACTGAAAATATTAAAACCTGAATTGCCAGTTAAAACAGTTGAGCAGTGAAATGGTGGAAGAAGCAGCTGCTGTATTTATTATAGTTTATGACAATTTTTGGATGATATCATAAACATTTCATAAATATTACACATTCTCACCTTACTTCTTGAAATATAAAAAACAGCGATTCTTTTCCAATCATTGTACCTATGTGTGTTTAATGGGCCTTGCTGGAGGGAGGACTGTTTTTAGCAGAAACTCATTAAATTGCAGACATTTCGGGAATTGTGTGTAGTAGCAAAGAAAAACCCTGGAGCAGCTATACCGAGCAAGAAGGAAAAGTAGCAGAGAAAATTCCTAGGAATAAGATATTGACGAGCCAGAAGTCAGTGGACACTGTAATCTTTGTGTCCTCAAGGAACAATGTCGTTGAAATAGTCTGACATAGATCCAGAAAGTGGCTTACCTATTTATTTTGTTTATTATTTGTTTCTCCCTACCAGGGTGTAAAAATCTATGAAAACATGGGGTTTTATCCTTTTTAATTCACCACCAAATACCCTGTGTTTGGCACACGGTATTCGTTCAATAAATATTTGTTGAATGAATGAATGGATGCCTTGTCCTTCTGAATGAGTGTGTTGGGAAACATGCCTTCCACACCAGGAATTACTTATGAGGCTGCTTTGTAACACTGGGAATGAAGGCAATTTGACTATGGGAACTTAAACATTCTCAGTAAATCAAAAATATCTTTTCAGTCAGTAGAGATCACCAAAAAGGGTATAAGTAACCAAGAGATCCATTTGACTGTAACTGTATCTGAAGGGGAACTTTCTAGCTAAAAAATACTCCAGATTTTTATTGTTGTTGTTCTTTGTTTTGTTTTTGTAAGCAAACCCACCCCTCACTTTACCAGGATGAAATGAATAATGAAAGCACATCAACATATTCTTGAGAGAACACAGGGACTGGGGCACAATGGGTTGCACGCAGTGTGGGGTTATTTAGGGTCAAGATGGCTCTAGAGCAAGCAAACAACGTGTGAGAATTTGGAGATGTAGCTAAAGCATTTTAGGACAGTAATAGTGATATCAGGCAGGATCTGAAGGTTTCATATGGTTACACGGGGATTTTGGCAGTCTGATATTCTTTAGTGACGGCAATTTCTGATTACAATTAGCAGCAAATAATTCTGGAAATGAAAAGTAAGTAAAAAATAATCTGGGCATCCACTGTATACCCCTTGTTTGCCAGCAGTTTGACAAAAGTTCCTTAATTGTTCTCAACTTTATTAATTTTTGCCTTAATTCTCTACCCTCCTCAAATCTTGATCAATTATGGCATTGTGTTATGGCTATAAGCTGATTATTAGACATGAGGTTCTTCCAGTTGAGATTTGGCCATCTTAACCTATTTTGTCATCTACCCAACCTCTAATAGCAGAACAAAATGGTACAAAAAAGTAAGCGTAATCTAACAATCTAGATTCTGAATTAGACAGAAATATAATGGAGTGCATCAATGAATAAGATATATTTAATAAGGACAGGTTGGAATTAGGCTAAAATTAACATAATTTTTAGTGATAGTGCAGATTTAAAATATGAACACCTATTTGGGTTCAAATATGGATGCCATAACTTTACTATGAGCTTAGGTATTTTTTCTGATTAATTATTTTATGTTTAATATTAAGTATAATAAGTCTCTAAAATTCTATATATCTCTATATAGACTCTGTATAAGCTAATGTATATCTCTATAAACTGACTTCAAACCATTTTGAGAACATACCCACAGACACACACAGAACCAATAAATACTACCCCTCTCCAAAAAATGAGTAGACTCAATCAAATTAACAAAATTTAATTCACATACTAAATTCCCAGTATTTAGTAAGGCATGTGATTACAAATATTAATCCAAATTCATCCAGGATTATAAGTGAGGTAAAAAAAAAAAGAGCTACTTTAAAATAGTCTTTCCATTAAAGAATATTGAGTGTCTTAATTTATTAAATTATTTGGTTACATATCTGAATTTAATTGTAGTTTTTTATATGGGTCTATATTTAACTTTAATTTAGGCATTTTGGTGTGTTTGTCCTTGTTGTTTAAATGATTAATTTCTCATATTTTCTCTTTGTTTTTGTATATGGAAGACATTCACTTTTTGCATAAAAGTCTTGTTCCCAATCATTTTGCAGATATTTTCCATAAAGTCTAATCATTTTTAATATAGTCTCTTAGGATTTTTTTTTGTAAACAGTCTTATTATGTACAAAACATAATAAATTTGACTTCTTTCTTTTTTTGAAGTAAATAAAAGGGTAGACTTTAATCTTTATTTACAGGACACTGAGAGATATGAAATTCCATATAGAAATAAGAAACCCATTCAAAAGACAAGCTTCATACAGTATGTACAATTTGGAACTGTTCAAGTATCGTTTCAGCATAAAAAGTGGTACAATAACAAACCCCATTTAAAAAGAGTTCTTAGTAGAGAAACAGTAAAACAAACTTATACCAAACATAGTACACAACTTTTTGCCTCAGTTACATGATCTAAAAGTTAAAGGTCCCAGCAGTCCCATCCTGAACTTGGAAGGTACAGCCTTCAGAGGTAGTTTCTGGCACAGAAACTGATCTTCCTCTTCCTCTACAGAGAAATACTTCTCAATTAAGCTTAACAAAGCCTTACACACAGACTCATTTTCATGGTTTTGTAGAGCTTCAATTTTTTCTAAGCCTCCACATTCTTTACTCATACTGGGTTTCTCAGTTTCACCTAGTTTCTCAGGAGCCTGAAAGATATTTGAGATGGCATCCAGGATAACCAGAATAAACTTGGTATCTCTTGCTGTTAAGAGGTTCATCAGTGGCTTTATTATGCCACAATGAACGGGATATACAATCTGTTCAACTGTTCCACTGCTGGAATAGTTGGTCACGGCCCATACAGATTCCTTTTTTGTCTTAAAATCTGCCTTAGAGAGAACATTGACGAAGAATGGAACTAATCCATGATTCACGACTTGCTCTATCTGATCCTGGTGGCCAGCTGTGATATTTGACTGTTAGTTTTGGGGTTGATTAGCAGGCTAGGAAAGACGGTGAGTGCTCCTGCATTGATCACAACCTGAGTCTGTTCATCTGTACCAGTGACAATATTCCCAATGGCTCTTAGTGCTGGAGTCACAAATGGCAATTCGGAAGCTCCTAGAGACTTCACAAGTTGGGGCAAAACTCCCGTTTTCACGACCATGTCAATTCATTCATTTGGACCACCAGAAAGGTAAGGAATAACCTAGCAGATATCTGCTAATATTTCTGGATCATCATGATGCAGGAATCAAACTAACGTAGGAAAAATTTGCTCAACAGAATCTAAAGGAGGTGCCAGTATTCTTGCGGCAAAGGTTTGAAAGTGTCCACATAAGATTACGTAAGTAATCGCATGCTAAAGATGACATATCAGGAACTGCAAGAAGAGCCAACAGTGCGTCAACTGCACCGCAGTTGATAACCAAGTCTCGGAAAATGGAACCATCACCTGCAATGTTTCCTACAGCCCATACAGCTTGTTCACTGATGTGAGCATGGGGAGATGCCAACAGAAAAATGAATGCTGGGATGGCACCTCCGTCTACCACAGCCTTGGTCTGTTCTAATGCCCCAGAAGCAATGTTAGTGAGTGCCCAAGCAGATTCAAACTGAATGGGACTACAATCAGTTCTTCCCAAGAAGGACAGAAATGTTGGAATCAAACCAGCCTGGATTATGTTGTCTTTGGGGGGGGGGGGGGGGGGGGGCTGGTTTTCTCCAGAAGGTAGTTTCCTGGCAGCTTGAGTAGCTTACAGCTGACTTTCCACATTGTTGTTATTTATACCTTTGACAATGTCATCAACAGACCAATTTACAGTATCCTGGTTGTTGCAGTTCTTCTGCAGCGGAGAAGTAGCATCATCAGGAAATGAGCTTATATTTCTCCTTCTTAGCTTTCCTCAGCTCCACATTGACTTCTATTCTGTGATGCCTCATTTCTGTGCTGTCTTTTTCTTTGTTCTTGAATCTGTTAAGTCGGGTGGCTGGTGTATTAGCATTCTCATTGGTGCGCATGGATATGAGACAAAGGGAGGAAGCTGCACAGGGGGCCCAGGTTTCCATGGGAGGCAGCAGAGGCCTCAGCAGCTGAGGGGTGGCTGAACTCAAACATCCACCTCAGTGCAGCACTAAGACCGCGTCAAATTTGACTTTTATCTGATGCTAAATCACTTTCCCTTGCCTCACGGTTTTTGAGTTGTGAGCATGTGATTTAGCCATGGCTGAGTGTGAGCCCCTGCCTGCGACTTTAAATCTTGTGGAAGTGAAGCCAACAGACAGGCCAGGGAGAGAGATTGTTTGCTGTAGCTGTAGAGCAGTTGAGAGCCTGGTGGTTTAATGATGAGTGCTTGATGAAGCTGTGGGCCTCTTCAACAGATCATGGTTAGAAAAGGATCTGAGCTTTCTCCTTTTTTAAATTTCCTTTCAAATGCAGTTCTCCAGCTTTCTAGTTGATTCTGTAAACTCTCCAGTATCCTTCTAATTAATTCATTTTCTGTGTGAATTAACTGCATTTAGTTTCAGTTGTCTTCAACAAAGAATCCTGACAGGGTAGAGTGTAGGGTGGAGGATGGTGATGCAATAAAATAAAAATTTAGAAAACAATAATTACGTTTGGGGGAGCAAATAATTTTTGGATTAGCTAAGTAGAGGAAATGGATGAGAATGACTGATCAGGAAAGATAAGAGAGGGCTTTAAATTAATAATCTCAGATTTAAAAAACATCCTATGGGCTTTATAAGTATTTGATGATTTTTTTTTAAATAAAAGTATGAGTTGACAAAGCTAGTCTTATAACACTGTAAAAATGAAACTTTTTTAAACCTTAATTTCAGTGCAAATTGAGAATGACTTGATAGGGATCAAATACCTGCTTTGGATCCTGCAGGGCTCCCTGCACTGAGCATGCCAGCAGACTGGAAACCTACCACTGCTAGTGTTTGTGACCTCCCACTTCCACTTTTTAAATGTGTGGAGTGGAAGAGACCAGAGAGAGAGAAGATTTTTCTGGAAAAAGGTACCTGTGTGTTATCTGTCGCCTTCCATGAGGGAATTACATGGAATGTGTCCTGGGAACTGCAGTCAAAGGTCCTAGCAGAGAAAATTTAAAAAACAAAACA